>NC_000002.12:58978231-59281261 GCF_000001405.40 Homo sapiens
GTGTCAAAAAACTAAGAGAAGTAGTGCCACAGGAAAAAGAAAACTGATGATGTGTATTACTTTTTTATATTGCCATTTGAAAGCATTGTTTTTGTTTCACAAAATAATGTTAATTTGAAAGCAAAAAGCATAAATGAATAATCCGTTTGAAAAATTCCAAATGATGTATTCAGGAGTGTTTGCAAACCGTTGTCCCTTTTCTGCCTTGGGGTGGAATCTAACCACTGTACTTAATTATGCCAGAAATTTCAAATGAAATCAAATGGAAGTCCTTTCCAAGTTAAAGGTAACCCAGAGAAGGCCTGAACTAAGGCCTTTTATCGTGCAAGGTTAGTGTTAGAGCAACTCTGATAATTTCTAGGTTTTTTTTTTTTCTCTTTATTTCTGCTGTATCTCTCAGCAGAGGTTTATTACAATAAACTTGGATACTAAATGAGGCTTTATTAGTTAGGGTTGGGCAGAAAACCAGCTGTAACATAGTGACCCCGGGTAGGAAGCCAGACCAGAGTAATTAAGACATAACATGGTAAGGGGGACAAATAATGAATACACTCAGTGACCTGATGCCGAGCCATGTCCCCTCTCAATGCCTGTTTTTGTTTTGTTTTGTTTTGTTTTGTTTTTGCTTTTGCTTTTTTCCCCCTTTTAAATTAGTAGTTCTCCTGAATTGCCTTTTTATTACACTTCGGTACAGATGATCTCCAAAGTAGTAAAAATCGAGGAAAATATAGGCTAGTGTTGGAGAAACTTTAACGTTTAAAGACAATTCTGTTTATGTGATGTGATTGCTATCATTCGAGACCAGAGGTTGATGATCGTTTGCTCTTCATCATACAGCGTTTCTCTTACCTGGAGGAAGGCTAATTGAATAATATCCTGGGCCAAGCGTGCGTCTCTTCTGAAACGGTCGTATTCTGCTATATCTTTCTGGTTTCTTCCCTTGATGCTGACTCCTTTTGGTTTCTTCCCTTGATGCTGACTCCGTTTGGCCGAGAAAGAAGCCAACAGGGCTCCCCAAGGTCTCAGAAGGTGAGGAAGAACCTCACTATACTCTTTGTGCCATGTTAGACTACCCAATGGAAAGATTACAATAAGGCATCCTCTCATCACAAACTCCTCAAGGAGTCTACATTGGAAGTCTGTGGACACTTCAGGACAAAACGGCTCTCCAGGAGTGTGCCTGCAGTTTTAAATAGTTCACAAAGTTTCCGTGTGGATGCAACCTGACCTGTTCACCCACCCTTTCAATACATTTGCGTTTGGAATAAGGATGTTTGCACTGGGAGATAAGAGCTTTATTTTTAAAATTTAAAAAACCTGACAATTGCTATGGCCTTCCAATCTTTTTAGTAATACTTGCTCTCCTTCTGTTGAAATGTCATTGGTTAACACCTTTGCAAATCTTGAAGTTAAATGGGATCCTTACTCATAATTCCAAATCTGACACAGAGTAGGTACTTAACATAAACTTATTAACTAATTATCTGTCTGGGCATGTAAAGTGATGAATTAAGGCAATTATCCAAATAAAGGAGCCCAATAAAATGCAAAACAAATGTTCCAACAAAATCAAACAAAGCATCTACATTCCAGTAATGAATGTTAAAACATTTTGCTTTTTATTTTCTTGACTTTTAAGACTACTTACTTCAATTCTCCATTTGTTTATGTATCCCAACATAGCCAAAATATTCATGAAACATGATACACCTAAGAGAGATGTTTTTATTTTTTTGGCAAGACTTTAAATCATTTGCACCTCAGTTTATTCTTGGTTGAAACAAAATCTTCACCAAGTTCCTCAAATAGTAAAGAATTACTAAGTAAATTCTAGCCTAATGTTAACAGAAGAAGAGCTATGAATGAGTCCATTACAGCTCTCTTAAGTTGTCCATTTGCTCGACTTCAGGTGTAAAGGTTTTTTTTTTTTTTTTGGTTTGTTTGTTTTGTTTTGTTTTTTTCTGAAAAGATTGCCTAGCTGTTGTGAGGGAGCTATAGTATTCTCAAAAATGTGTCATTTTGTGTTATGAAAGCATTGGCATTTCTTTTGCCTTCTGTGAATCATATAGTAGTTGGCATCCTGAATTAATCAATACAAACATTCTGCATCTAATGACAGTTTATTCTAGTGGGGTAAAAGTCCTGGGAAAAGTGAAAGAAAGAATTGCCCCTATTTGATTTTAAAACAACTCCGTTGGCTTCTCATCGCATTGAGCAAAGGAGATATATTGTAGGATCGCTGCTTTAAAAGCTTCTTTTTAAAAATTGATGTGTTTTAACAAATTAGATAAATAAGATACTTGTAATGGTACCTAACATTTTCTTCCTCAAGACCTTTAATATAGCATAGTTTTAGCTACAGCATAGTATTTAGATGAGTGATTTCAGGAAATTTGTAAGAGTTTTCTCTATATTTGCAACTTTTGCTTATTATTAGCATAATGTATAAAAAATTTAGCTCTTATGGAAAGAGGGTTTGCATCTGTCTTCTTTAATGGCTAGAGCAAACACTCATGCTTCAGAAGAAAGGACTATGGTTGTGGGTGGTGGGGAATGGCTACAGGAACTTTGCTTCTGTTTAACAAAACAGAATTTCTTATTCAACCTGAAAATAAATGTTATGATTTTTCTTTCCCTAATCCTTTCAATTTCTCCTGTTTTGCTGGGTTTTATTTAAAAGTCAGGCTCAGGAAATTCAGAGCTTTGAAGAAATAGTTTGCACATACTTTGAGTAAGTTAAGAAAGTTTTCCTCTTTCTGGTTTTAAAGTGAAGGTTAAAAAAAAAAAGACATCCCCACAAACTGGAAAGAGGTCCTTGGGCTAAGTCAGACTCCATCCACTGCTTAGCTGAAAACATAATGTAATCTAGAAATTTATAATGATAAAAGTTACATTTCCCCATCAGACCACTGTTAAAATTGCAAAAAAACCTGTGTATTAAGCACATAGAGATTGTCCCCTAGAGCATGTTACAGGTAACTTCGAATAAAGGCAATTGCTGCTGTGGTCTCAAAAGATGGGCAAGTGCTCTTTTCTTTGGAAGATATTAATGCTGATGCAGTAAACATTTTCGGAGCGACTTTCCCAGAGTGGAGTCCTTTGCTTGTTCCCCGTTCATGCTCTTGCCTGTTCTTTGTGCTTGAAAAGAAGAAAACTGACAGCATATAAAGAATGGTGAATGGAAGATGGACATAAATCAGAAAGAAGGAAGTGATTAGAGACAGACCTAGAAAACCGTCTTCTTTCCCGATGACTGCCTTGTGAACTAAGAAAAAAATACATCTATTGGCTCCTAGAAGCATCGTGTATGAATGAGTGTGCGTCTCATCTACCCTTTTTTAATATTTTCTAGCTTCTTAAAAAACACATTTTATTTTTAAAATTAAATAGAAGTTTTAGGTTTCTTTTAAAGGTAAATGGTGTTTCAAGGCATTCACATTAATCCATATCAAAGAATAATATAGTTGGAAAGAAATTTAAAGATTATCTGGCAGAACATTTTCAAGGGATTTGGGAGGAAATCAACTATGTTTAGGTTTTGAGAGCATTTTGATCTATCTATCTAACACCTGTCTGTTATATACATAAACATACATGTGTATATATGTATATATGTAATTAGTGTGTGTGTGAAAATTATAAGAATCGTCATGTACATCTAGCTTCTTATCTCCAGTGACTGCATGGAAAACAGCAGTGTGCAGATAGTGGATACTGTTGGCAGCTCCAGAACCACTTGCCACCCCTCTCCACCTACCTATGAGCTCTTAACACATTCCCTTGCCTTCTGGTTTCCAGTTGGGTTTAGGCAACAGAAGCATGAGCAGTACATTTGTAGGACAGGAGGGGAGTGAGTTGGAGTATTTACTCCCCTAGTCTTAATAGGCCACAATTTGTCAGTGGCTAGGAGAATAGTATACTACAATCCATCTAATCATTCATTAAATAAACATTTGTTGAAGCCCACACCATATCAGGTGTTGAGGACACAATAGAGGCCAAAGGCATGAGATCTCTGTTCACAAAGAACTTGTTTTAAAACAGTATCTTTTCTGATTGCTTTCATTTTTAATTATGACATATTTAAAGATTTTGTGACTTACCTTTCACAGAAAAGTTTTTTTGTTTGTTTTTTTTTTAAGATGGAGTCTCGTTCTGTTGCCCAGGCTAGAGTGCAGTGACATGATCTCGGCTCACTGCAACCTCTGCCTCCTGGGTTCAACCGATTCTCCTGCCTCAGCCTCCCGAGTAGCTGGGACTACAGGCACACACCACCACACCCGGCTAATTTTTTGCATTTTTAATAGAGATGGGTTTTCACTGTGTTAGCCATGATGGTCTCAATCTCCTGACCTCATGATATGCCCACCTTTGCCTCCCAAAGTGCTGGGATTACAGGCGTGAGCCACCACGCCTGGCCCGAAAAGGACCTTTTTTAAAAGAATTGGAACAAAAAATGTCAAAAGCAATTGTAAATGTTAGTAGTAATTTGATACATTGATGGCAAATAGATTGTATATACCAAGGAACTTGCTGCTTAAAAAGAAAAAAAAAAGAAAGTAAAATGAATTTTAGTTACTTTTCAATGAATATTTGAGTAGCCAGGATACCAAATGAATTAATAAAATAGTAAAGCGAGGCGTGTAAGTTGGGAGATTATATTTCTTGTCCGGAATACTCTATACTGTGTGAAACACATGCATTGAACTAGGTTCTAAGATGAATTAAAAACTGCAGATGAGCTTTGTTTAACACTTTCAGGTTGTTTTGATGGAGGAAAGGAATTCATCATTCATAGGAGAACTTACTTGAGTTATAGATTTGACAACTAAGACTGAATATACATAGTGATAAAACATCTGCTCAAGTATTGTCAAAAGCTCAGTCAATTTTGTGAAGAAATCAGTCAAGCCTGTTGCTTGGTGGCATGTAGACAAAACCACCAACTGATCGACTGAGTTTTTCACTTTTGAATGGGTTGTTTGGCATCTTGTAGACCCAGCCTATGATTATACTGCCATCTGTATTCTTTCTTACATCAGGCTTATTTCAGCCACAACTTATACATGCTGTTTTGAGAAGAACTAGTCAATATTTTGGTTTGTCTTTAGCTATAAGAGCGCCGTAGACAGTCTTGCGTGAACTTGGCTCTGCCTTGCTAATTCTCTGTCAGTTCTGGCAGCTATAGGAATTTAAGTTCATGATGTAGATATTTGGATTCCCCTCAAAATAAAAATAAAATATGTAAAATAAAATCTTAAAATAGGCTGCTTTCCTTTGACAAAAATACCCAAATTCCTAGAAATGGCCAGCCATAGTCAATATGTGTATATATATGAGAGTATAATTTTAATGTAAAAACAATACAAACAGAATAGAATATTTTGAAGTTAACAATTGCTCATGTTATCTTAGTTCTCAAACTACATGAAGCAATTGAATAAATCTTCCTTTTCCAAATTCAACTGTTCATAAATGCTTTTGCAACTCTAAGATACTATGTGAGGCTGGTAGAATTGTTCACTCAAAATTGGAAAATAAAATATTACATGTTTTTTGTTTTGTTTTGTTTTGTTTTTTTTACTAGCACTATCACAACTTGCAGTCTCAAAATGTTACAATGACTACTGGGACCCATTATTTTTTCCAAACATCTAGGCTTAAAAAAGAGTGAAAGTTTGAGCTTTGGAAGGCAATGAATCGTGAATGAGCTTTTGCATAACCTTCAAACTGCCCTCCGATTTTAATAGGCGAGAGCTGCATTGAAACATGTTTCTCTATACATACACCTGAATCAATAGTATCTTGTCTTTGTTTTGTCTTTTTTTTGTTGTTTAATGAAAGTTGGAAAAGTGATAAATCAAAGCAAATGAGGAAGAAATATGTAATTTTTATTTGATCAAGTATTAGAGTGGGCAGATTTAGGTTTTGTGGACCCTGAAATGTATACAATGTGGGAAACCCATTTTTTAATAATGTATAAAATTATAAATAAAACATTAAACACAAAAGTGAATGTTTATTTAAATGAGAGGAAAAAGGTCTTTGGAAGGAAGATGCTTAAATCAGGGAACCTAAAACTTGAATTTCATTAGTTTTACAATACAGCTAGTGATGAAATAACAGAACAACAACAATAAAAAAATACCTGGAGTTTGAGGCATGAAAATAATTTGTCACAAAGATATGATTTATGATATCTTACATTTAAAAATCTTTTGAGTACCCATCATTCATAAATAACACTTATATAGGGTCATCTGGGCTTCTTTTTTCCGTTGTTCCAGTAGAATCTGAGTTAGCTGACTCTATTATCTTACAAAACATTTTAGAATCACTAAGTAATGACCCTTTAAACACAAGGAGACAGGAGCATATTACCGGAAGAACTGTGCTGCCCTTAGAGGAACTGTAAAGGAATAATTGAGGGCTGAGAGGCCACAGATTTTTGCCTGATGTGTTATCGGCATAGTCAGTTTACAGATAAGTAAAATTAAACCCAGAGAGGAGAGGCAACTTGCCCAACTTCCCACAAACCACTAATGGCAGAGGTGAGTTTAGAAGCTGGACCTCTGGACAGCCAATCCAGAGCCATGCCCACTAAGTCTGACTCCACATCAACCTCCCATCTTCAGTTTTTTTTCACTGAGACCACTTAACCACCTCATAGTTGTAGTCACCACTTCTGCTCTCCAGACTAGCACTCTTAGAACTACCTGGTGAATTGGAGTGTCTCCTTTTAGGTCGATGTGGTACATGTCTAGTTTGTATCAACCTTCTGAAAATGTTATGGTATTTACACTTACTTTCTCTGACCACTGAAACCACTTGTGGCTGCATTGCATTCTGGCAGTTGTGAGTAATGTGATTAGCACAAACCCAGGTACATGATTCTCTCTTTTAAAATATTGCTTCCAGTTATTTCTTTTATTCACTCAGACAGACATGGTATAGGATTCTTGAGACTGTTTTTCTAGCAATTTAACAGAAATTATCTGTCTTATGAAAAGTAACTAAAAATACTGGTTTAATATAAAAATACATAGCATATCAATGATATGGTAAGAAGGTTAGCAGTTTGCAGATGTCAAAAACTAAGTGAAAGTACAAACCCAGAGAGCCAAGCAAAACAGTGAGTATGATTTGTGTTCTTAGGATACTCATCAAACCAAGAAGAACTTGAGTTTTCTTTTCACATCTTCACAGGTCACAGGAGATGGAGGACTAGTACCCACAAGGGAAGGAGATGACATCTCATAGGTAACCCTCCCCATAGATCTGGGACCCCAAACAGCCATCCTCTAAAAGTAAATAGAAATGTCACCTTCCCCTAAGGGATCAGCAAGACAAATTGCTCTTCTCCAGCCTTGACCAGAAGAAAAAACTCTTCTCCAGAAATTCATACTACAAGCCAGTCTTCACTGGCTAGGTTTGCAGATAGAGTCCACAGCACTTGGGTGTGCTCAAATAAAACTAAAAGCGTGCATTTAATTAAAGTGATGCTGAATCAATAGGCTCTCCAGGCACGTAGCAGAAGCAAATGCAAATCCTATTTAAAGGAACCTCTTTTCAATCTAAGCCTCAGTAAATTTGCATAAACAAAGTACTAAAGAATATGAATTCAAGTTCAATCACAAAACATACAAACAAAACAGTAAAAAACATGAGCAAGGATAATGTGAGCCACAAACTTCCTACTTTAGAAACATATTTTAAAAGAGTATGGGATAAAGAGGTTTAGCATATCTAATGAATTAAAATAGGGGATACAAATGAGTAAAAAAGAGGAGTCACCATAAAAATGACCAAGCAGGTATAAAAATAACCAAAGAGATCAATGGAAGAGACACTATAATAATTGAAATTAAAAACTTAATACCAACCTTCTAGATTAGATTAGATATAGATAAAAAGAGAATTCATAACCTGGATTATATTTCTGAAGAAATTATCTGAAATGCAGTATAGAGAGACAAAGACATAGAAAACATCGCAGAGTTATTAACAGATATGGAGGATAGAGTGAAAAAATCTAAGGCATGTATGTACTTGGAGTTTTCGTAAGAGAAGAGGTAAGCAGCATGTGAAAATAAAATGGCTGACAATTTAAAAATATTAATTAACAACATCCATCCTCAGATTAAAAAAAAACCAAGTAGGATAAATGTAACCATCCACATTTAAATATACAATAATGAAAATGGATATCACCAAAGATAAAGAGATGATTTTAAAATCAGACAGAAAAGACAAATTATCTAAGGATGATGATTAAAATAACAGTTGACTTATTAGTGGCAACAGAAGACAAAGAGAATAGAGTAAAATTTTCAGAGTATAGAAAGAAAATAATTGTTGAATCTAGAATTCAATATTCCACAAATATTTTTTAAGAATAAGGGGGAAATAAAGATATTTTCATCAAAGAAGTCTGAGATGCAAGGAAGAATGATGATCAAAGAAAGTAATAAATATGTTTGTAATCAAAACAAACATTGACTATATAAAACAATAATTGCCACTTTTAAGTTTATGAAAGAAAAAAGTAATATAAAATAAAAATACATAAAGCAATAGTGCTTAAAGGGAAAATATTATTAGAGTTATAGTGTTCTAACATCATTGATTTGTTCAGGAGGGTGAAGATAATGATTAGCTTTACAATTTCATAAGTTAGCCTGCGTGTTAAGATTCCTAGAGCAGTCACTAAGAGAAATGAAAGAGTGTTAAGTAAAAAGAAAAAACAGAATGAGAAAACATATTCAGTTAATTCAAAAGAAAAAAAATAAAGCAAAAACAAGTATAGAAAAGGTAGGACAAATTTCAGTTTGAAATAAGGTAGAAATAAACCTAAATATACCAGTAATTATAAGAAATGTAAATGATTAAATAATCCAGTGAATGACAAAGAAACATATATAACACACAAAAATGTAAATAGGTTGAATATGAAAGGATAGGGAAAGGTATCTCATCAAATACTTTCCAAAAACAGAAAAGAAAAGCAAAAGATGTAAGTACAGCTTGATTACTAGACATTAAGCTAAAAAGGATTATTCAGATTTAAAAGGTAACTGTGTAATAATAAATGATTCAATTCACATGGAAAATATAAAATTTTAAAATGTTTGTCTCCTAAAACACATAAAGCAAAATCTTTTCCTCTAAAACAGATAAGGCAAAAATGAAGACAAACAAGAATAAATAAATTTATTATCATATTGAAACATTTTAACAATGCCTATCACTAACTGAGAAAAATAAATCAGTAAGATTTGGAATTGAACCAGGTGTAGTGGCTCATGTCTGTGATACTAACACTTTGAGAGACGGAGGCAGGAGGATCACTTGAGCTCAGGAGTTCAAGATCAACCTGGGCAACATAGAGACACTTTGTCTCTACAAAAAAAATTTTAAAAATTAGTCAGTCATGGTGGTACGCGCCTGTAGTCTCAGCTACTTGGGTGGCTGACATAGGAGGATAACTTGAGCATAGCATATAGAGGCTGCAGTGGACCATGTTTGTGTGACTACGCTCCAGCCTGGGCAACAGAGTGAGACCCTGTCTCAAAAAAAAAAAAAAAAAAAGATGAAATTAAAAGACAATTTGCAAGCTTGATCTAATGAACCTAAAAAGAAGATTCATATTTTTCTGTTCTTTTTCAAAATGTAAAGCTCAATCTCAAATGTATATCATCACCACATAATTCTGCAAGAATCTCTAAAAATACACAGCCTTGTTTGTACATGACTGAAACCAAAATTATGCCTGATAAAATTATGAATGATTTCTTGGTATTATCCAAAATCCAATTCATACCATATGAAAATGGTCATGATTGTTTAAATGTATTTTCCACTTGGTTTATTGGAAATGCAATCCAAACAATTGCCTTCCTCTTTACTTCTTCCCTTTTTTCATCAGGCCACTGAGTGGTGGAAGAACTTGGGTCAGTTCTAAAAAGTGTCTCACATTCTCGATTTCTCTGATTGCTTCATTGTGGTGTTAATTAACTCATTCCTTTGTCTCCTGTATTCTCTATAAATGGAATTTAACCCTGAACTTGATTAGATTCCCTTTCAATTTGGGAGTCTTGGTTGGGGGGAGTACTTAATATTACATCACAACCAGATGACACCACACTTGATTGTCCCTCTGTTTGTAATGTGAAGATTGATCATTTGGTTCATTTGGTCATTGCCTGATCCCTTCACTCTTAAGTTCTCCATCAAGCTGGGTGTGGTGTTGCACTTGAAGTCCTAGCTTCTTGGGCAGCTGAGGCAGGAGGATCACTTGAACTCAGGAGTTTGAATCCAGCCAGGACAACATAGTGAGATACCATCTCTTTAAAAAAGAAAAAAACAAAAAGTAAAAAATAAATAAATAAATTCTCCATCAATCTTTCTCTTAATAGTGTCATCCATGATGACCATTGTCTAAATCCATTATTTCATTAGGTTTTTCAAAATGACATTTTTTATTTTCAAGTACATGGAGAATATTTGCGAAAATTGAAAATATTTTGCTATAAAGCAAGGATCCAAACATTAATGTATATTCAAGAATTTGTATCATACAGACCACTTTGTCTTGTCACTGTGAAATTCAAATGAGATTTTTTAGAAAGATAACTTGAAAAATGTCAATACTTTAAAATTCTATTTTAGTCAACTTTAAACATAATATGAAAAAATGTAAAAGCAAATTTCATTTTTAAGCTAAAATTAAAAATTTCTAATCAAAATATTGGAACACTGACATCTAGCAATGTGTAATAAAGTGGAATTCTTTTCAGGAGGAAGATTGATTAAACATTAAGAAAATCACATAATTCAGTTTACCAACCTAAGAGATAAATGGGAAAAAAAGATGGCATGATTATATTAATAGAGGAAGTAAAAGCCTTCAATAAACTAAACAGCCATTCATATTTTTTAAAGAAAGAAAACATAAAAGAAAAGCACTTAGCAAAGTAAAGAGAAAGGGAAATTGTATTAATCTGATAAATAGTAACCTACAAAACCTAGTACTTTACAGTACTATGGTGAAAGAGTTGGCTTTAACATCATAAAAATCACAAGGGTGTCTGCATCAGCAATTCTGTCTGACATTATATTGTGTGTCTTAGCTAGTGCAGTAAGGGAAGAAAAATAAAGAAAAGGTATAGAAGAGGCTATATGATGTAACCTTTAAGGGTTGGACCAGACTGCCTGGATTTAAATCATTTCTCTATTGCTTACAAATTAAGTAATGAACAAGCTTAACAAGCTTAGTAGCTAAGTATTTTATTCTATATGTGCTTCAGTTTCCATAATGGAAATAATAATACCTACCTGATGGGAGGTTATTAATGTTAAATTAGTTAATATTTGTAAGTGCTCAAAATAGTGTCTGACATGGGAGGGAAACAACACACACTGGAACCTGTCAGGGAGTGTGGGGAAAGGGAGAGCATCAGAAATAATAGCTAACAGATGCTGGGTTTAATACCTCGGTAAGGGGTTGATCTGTGTAGCAAACCACCACGGCACACATTTACCTGTGTAACAAACCAGCACATCCTGCACATGTACCCTGGAACTTAAAATAAAAGTTGAAGAAAACAAACAAACAAACAGAAAATACACCAATAAAAATAAAAGTGGGATCACTAAAAAAATAAAATAGTGTCTGAGACATGATAGGTACTATATGTGCCTATTAAATAAGTATAATAGAAAGAAAAAAGGAATTACTCATCACAGATGATAAGACTATGTAGAAAACTCAATAGCAATATAATATATTAGAATAAATTAGATGGTAAAGCAGGTGTGTTGAATACAAAATCAACACATAAAATTAGTAATTTACTACATACAAATAAGTAATGTTGAAAAACACATTTTAAAACAGATAAATTTTACCATGACATAAAAAAATCAGGTGCCTAGTAATAATTATAACAAAATGTACATATGCTATTTGTGGAAAAATAAAGCTTTATTGAAAGAAAATAAGAAAATCTAAATAAACAGAATTATACCATGTTCATGGATAGGAAAATTCAATAGTATAAAGATGTTAATTTTTCCTAAATTGATTTACCGAATTGTGACAGATGATTTTTTTCTAATATGGACATAGCCAGATTAGAAAGTTGGGAGTGTGTGTGTCTATGTTCATCCCCTTGAATTTGATGAGCTATGGTAGAAACAATAATATTTGGTACTAAGGCTAGGTCATAACTATTGATGTGATTTCTGCCTGTTCCTCTTGGGACTCTTATTTGTTCCAGAAATCTGGTCTCATTGTCATGAGAAAGTAGAGAAATCACGTGGATAGGATACGTGAAGCAGTTTTGAACAACAGCCCTAACTGAAGTTCCAGCTGACATCAGCTTTCACTTCCAGATATATGAACAAATTATATATATGGCCACCATTAGACAAGAGCCACATGAGAGACCCTCAAGAAAGAACTGCCTAATTCATCTCAGTTAACCCCCAGAACTGTGAAATATAATAAATAAAAATGATTCTTTTATGTCATTAAGTTTAGAGTGATTTATAACAAAACAATACATACTTAGAATGAGTCAAATTATTCTGCTTAAAATTCCTACTTTTTTTTTTAACTTGCAAGCTAATTCTAAAATGATAGATACACCTAAAAAAGAAAAACAAAGTGAGGGGTCTTTCCTTTTCAGACATCAAAATTTATAATAAACTAAAAAATAAGTTAGGTGATATTGCCATAGGGATAGACAAATAGATTAATTGAACAGAAGAAAAAAATTACACTGAAATCTAGCAGTAATGATGTGGAATTTTTTTCCAGAGGAAAGAATTAATAAACAAGGTTTACATATAGAGGCTAACTTAATTTATTGGCATGAAAATTAGAAGGGAAAGAACAGACTTTAATGACTGGTGCTGGGGAAAGAAAGCAATTATCCAATAAGAGTGCTTTATAACATTTAGAAGATGATACAAAAGAAAAACATTTACCTAAAGCTGTTCAATGAATGTATGTTGAATGATTAAAGTTACTATAAGATTCCCTTATGAAGTTTTATTTAAATTTATTATATTTTATCTGCCCAGCTTTTCCTGTGGCATAATTGTTACCAGAAAGGTGCCCAAATCCAGACCCCAAGAGAGGGTTCTTGTATCTCATGCAAGAAAGAATTCAGGGCGAGTCCATAGAGTAAAGTGAAAGCAAGTTTATTAAGAAAGTAAAGGAGCAGCCCCGAGGGCTCCTGGTTGCCCATATTTATGGTTATTTCTTGATGATATGCAAAACAAGGCATGGATTATTCATGCCTCCCCTTTTTAGACCATATAGGGTAACTTCCTGATGTTGCCATGGCAACTGTAAACTGTCATGGTGCTGGTGGGAGTGTGGCAGTGAGGATGCCCAGAGGTCACTCTCGTAGCCGTCTTGGTTTGGGTGGGTTTGGGCTCGGTTCTTTACTGCAACTTGTTTTGTCAGCAAGGTCTTTATAACTTGTATCTTGTGCTGACCTCCTGTCTCATCCTGTAACGTAGAATGCCTGTCTGGGAATGCAACCCAGTAGGTTTCAGCCATATTTTACCTAGCTCCTATTCGAGATGGAGTTGCTCTGGTTAAAACGCCTCTGACATAATGGTTTAATTTTTCAAAGTATAGAATTATAACAATTATCACGATATTTTAAACTTGGAAGTAGGAACTTCCTAATACTAAAAAAAAAAAAAATCTATTGTCCCTGTGGTTTGGACACAATATATCTTCGTTTTATTAGAGTCAATAATAAATACTATTGTCTAATAACTTATACTCAAACTCATAGTAATTTAGCTTATAAATTCAGAGTGTCACTTTTAAAAAGTTAAGTGGTCAAATGATGTTAATATTTTAGGTGTACACTCTTACGTGGAAGTAGGAGATTTATTATTATCCTGCCTATATATAAGTCCTTCAAGCAATGAAGGAATGAAGAGTTTGCTGTGCCTTTAATTTTGGCCACTCACTACATGATGATGCCTCATAAGGGAATTCCTAGTGTGCTCTTCCACTCAATACAAACATAAAAACAATTTCAGTTGCAGAAAATGGGAGGACAGTGGAGTACTACTTATCCACTGAACTCCATTACCATCTATAGCTGCTTTGAATAATTGACCTCACTTTTTTTTCTTTTTGCCAGAATTAGTTGGATAAATGCCTTAGTTTTCCATTTTACGTAATCTGTGTAGACAGAGCCAAAGAATCCCTCCTCCGCCAAACACAAGCTTTCCCACTGCACAAATGATGCTAATGCCCTTGATTGACATGACACAGCACTCTAAACCATTTGCCTCCAGTGAATTCATCAAGCAAGAATGTCTGAAAGCAGAGTAACTCCTCTGTTTAAACACTTAAATGCACAGCAAATAACTGCTCGCCTTTTTTTCTTCACTAGTCTGCTGTCTCATGGAGCAGTGTATTATTACAGATAATCTACAATGAATAAAGGACAAAGCATTCTGTATTCAAAATATACACACGCATTTGCCAAGTTTACTGAACCTGTGATTTTTCAAAATAAAAGATACAATATTTATTTCAAAAATGATATAATTAAGAGGGGCTTACTACAGAGCAGCAACTACACAATGCTATATAACCAAACCATAACACCAATAAACAGGTTTTGCAGACAGACACCTATTGTCAGTAAGATTAGTTGAACTCAAAATAATGCCAGGAAACCTCTTTCATGCTTCAACAGAACATAATTTGTTTCAAGTAATGATGACTAGTTATGTATAATTATCTGATTATTGGGGAAAAAACTTGCCTAAACAACTTTGGTGTGCTGCATTATAAGGTTTCATTTAGTCTCTGAATTATTTAATGTTTATGTAGTTCTGAGACAAACTGCACAATTCAAAATCAATTAAAACATTTGCCCAGATCCCCCATAACTTGTAAATTGGCATGACATGGTAGGATACATATTAAGTTGGAAGTTTTTTTGGAAACTAGTAGAGGCTTCAAAAACTAATGAGGTTTTCCAGAAGAGAATAGTTTATAAATCATCAGTCAATAAAAATGATTCATGAAATTATATCAATTTTAATATAAAACAGCATAATTCTTATCTCATGTAGGTAGACTTTTAAGATGTATGAGAAAGTGAATTGCTTATACCATGTAAATGAAAATAATCATTCAGTGTCTAGCACAGTCTTTCAAATCAGGAAAAATATTTAGATTCATACACACAAAATTTTTAGTCATTGTTATTCTTCCAGGTTACTTGGAAACACAATGAATGAAACTAATGTTATTTTCTATTCGACTGGCATAAATTAACTTTGCTTCTTGGAACAATTTATTTTGAATACTTGCCCAATGAGTTAAAATGCTGAATATTTTTTCTTCCTAGGTGACGTCCTAGTCCCCTATGGTGGGAAGAAGGAAAGAACTTAATCTTCCCATTTATCAGGGAAAAAAAGGATTGTTATTATATTTAAACAATTTCCTTTTATTTTTCTTTTTCTTTTTTTTTAGTGATAAGGTCTCGCTCTGTCGACCAGGCTGGAGTGTAGTGTCATCATCAAAGCTCACTGCAGACTCGACCCCCTGTTCCTCTTCAGCCTTCTGAGAAGCTAGGACTACAGGCACATGCCATCATGCTCAGCCTTTTTTTTTTTTTTTTTTCTTGAGACAGAGTCTCGCTCTGTCCCCCAGGCTGCAGTGCAGTTGTGCGATCTCGGCTCACTGCAACTTCCGCCTCCTGGATTCACACCATTCGCCTGCCTCAGCCTCCAGAGTAGCTGGGACTACAGGCGCACACCGCCACACCCACCTAATTTTTTGTATTAGCTGGGTTTCACCATGTTAGCCTGGATGGTCTTGATCTGGTGATCCGCCTACCTTGGCCTCCCAAAGTGCTGGGATTACAGGCATGAACCACTGCGTCCAGGCCATTTTTTTAAGGTAATCTTTTTGCAGACAGAGGGTCTCGCTATGTTGCTCCGGCTAAACTTAAACTCCTGGCCTCAAGAGATCCTCCCAAAGTGCTGGGATTATAGGTGTCAGTCACCACACCTGGACTATTTCTATATTATGTAAATTTAAGATAAATGTATAATGATTTGGAGCTTAGATTATCATCTCCTTGCATTGACATTATTATCAGTTGATAGTATTAGGAATGCTTTTGCAGCAAGTAACATAAAATACTATTTATCTGACTTAGGCAAAGAGACACTTCTTTTTCTCATGTCATAAGGAGCTCAGAGATAGGCAGGCAGCTGATGACATTAGTTCCATGACTCAATCATGTTGGAGTTAATATCAGTTGAATTGTTCTTGGCCTTTTCCTGATGAGTCCACGATTACTGCCTCATCTCTTGACATTGTGTACATGTCAAGGTGAGGAAGAAGGAAGGAGACTGAGATGCCAGCATTGCCCATTGCTTTTAATAGAGAAGGAAAAACTTTCCCCAAATCTACCCCTGCAGCAGAATTTCTTTTCACTGCAGTCAGAAAGATGTTCACCTGGCTAACTCTAGTTGCAAGGGTGGAAGTGAAAATTAGAGGTTGTTTTTTCTTTATCACGAAGATGGGCAAGGGAGAAAAAGATTGGACTAATTTAAGAACAACTTGTTTTATACTGATGTTATCTAATATTCTAATTATAAAAGAGTGATTCAGCTGATCACTTATACACATGAGAAAGTGAGAATACTATTTCCCTGTCTACCTCTCAGAACTGTGTGAAGGTTAAATGAGATAATATACATAAAATTGCTCTATAAACTATTAAGAACTGAAAATAATTTAGATTGTCAGTGTTGATATGGGAACACAGCTTCAAAGATAGTATGCAATGACACCCTTATATTAATCACTTCAATTTAGCCTTCCCATTTCCAGAAACTCAACCTGCAGGCCTATAAACACAGCTGTATACAATTTCTGACATAGAGCTGCCTTAAGATACTCACAATAAGTGCAGAAAGAAAAGACAGCAATAAAACCAATTAGAAATAAGGTACTATACAGGAATAAAGATGATGTAATATAATTTTTAATGGGCATCCTGTAGAAAACTTCTAGAAGAATCCAGAAAAATTTCACAGTGTAAAAGTGGAAAATTTCCCTGAAATTAAGCAAAATAACTGATTAAGTTTAAAGATATGATGTTCCAGGAAAAAAAAAACTGATAAAAATTTAGCCTGTTTAAAATATTAAACTTCTAGTAATTTTTTAAAAAAGATTTTATTTTAGTCATTTCTGCACGCAATAAAAGCAAGTAAACTATTACATAAAAAAAAAAATGAGGCCAGCCTAAGATCTCACCAGCAGCACTTAGTTTCAAAAGACTGTAGAACAATGTGTACGAAGTCCTGCTATTAGAAAAGCGTGGCCCAAGATTCTTATAACCCAGGTATAAAAACTAAAACTAGATATTCTTAAGCACACAAGAACTTGGGAAGTAGATCTATAAGCCCATCTTGAAATGAAGAGATTTATGAAAGTGAGTACTGGGCAACAAAGAGAAGAACCAAAATAAATATCTCAAGAATGGAGAAATAATTGGAAGTGACTGTTTAGGTAAATACAATCCTCAGCTAATATTGGAAATTCAGTTTTGAAGACTAAGTTTAAATGCTATATGCCTTGATGACATAAAAATAATACAATGACAGTGGGATTTTTTTTTTGTCTATTTCTAAGGGGAAGTCAAACCTTTCTAAATTTGGATCTCATTCTAAAAACATAACTTCAAACACCTATTATTTTGATGACATTTTATTTTTAGACTTAGATATATATTTTTAAAATTGTAATACAGCATTAAAAATATTTATTTAGTATTCAGAAAATTCTTCAGTTTGTCCACACAATTTAATTATAAAGATTGGTGCAAA
Source organism: Homo sapiens (assembly GCF_000001405.40). Classification (NCBI taxonomy): domain Eukaryota; kingdom Metazoa; phylum Chordata; class Mammalia; order Primates; family Hominidae; genus Homo; species Homo sapiens. The sequence continues at coordinate 58,996,121 of NC_000002.12, forward strand.
AGTCATTGCAGGTTTTGCCATTACTTTAATGACATATACAACTAATTTAGTAGTTTTTTAATTAAAAGAGCATGTAGATTAGCATCTTATTTTAATAAAATGATTTTATATATGTGTGTGTACATGTATATGTATATATACATATAAATATGTATCTTTTGTTGTAAACAGACTAATGCATCCCCAAAGATGTCACATCGTCATCTCCAGAATATATAAATAAGTTATAATACATGGCAAATGGGAATTAAGGTTGCAAATAGAATTATAGTTGCTGCTAATCAGCTAACTTTAAGTTAGATATTCTGGACTGCCTGGTCAGGCCCATTATAATCACGAGAGTCCTTAAAAATGGAAGAGGGAAGCAGATGGTTAGAGTGATGCAACCTGAGAAGGTTTGAACTACACGCGCCCGCTTTAAGGTCAGGAAAGTGGCCACAAACTGAGGAAGGTGTGCAGCTGAAAGTACTAATTTCTCCCCTAAAGCTTCCAGGAAGGAAGCGGACAGCTTAGTTTCAGCCTCCTGGGATTTATAGCCTACAGAACTATAAAATAATATTTTTGTGTTGTTTTAAGCCATTTAGTTTGTGGTGATTTGTTACAGCAGCAATTGGAAACTAGTGTGTATTTCAATATGTTTATATGCAAATAAACATATAAGAATGATGTCCCATTACAGTTAAGGATGGCTAGTTTAGAGTGGCGGGATTTACACAGTTTTAAACATGATTCCTGTGCTTTTCTGCATGCTTTTAAAAATAAATTAATATACTATTTCTATTAGGAATTTACACGAAATATATACATTTCTCTGAGAAGCTCAGTAGAAAAAAAACACTTGCTTTACTTCGTTTAATTTAGAGTTTTCCAAATATATTTAAATGTAATGTAAAAGAGGCCAAATTCTTTACATCTTATTAGAAGGTGGAATTTCAAGAAACATGTCTACACTGAATAATTGATATCCAGTACTGTCCAGGTGATAAGTATTTTATTCATCCTGATTACTCAGAAGTTTAGATGTGATCCATGTGTGGTACACTTAATTATCAGAGTTGGATACACTCACTGTTCTTAGTAGAAGAATCATATAACACAAAGGTATGTGTGTGAGAGAGAGAGAGAGAGAGAGGTAGAGAGAGAGAGCGAGATCTAAGCTTAAGTAATTTATTCCCCCAGTTATCAGTAAGAAAGGAGAAAGGTTTTATGGCACCTAGCTAATGGTCAGTTTTTATAGCAGTTATGTAAATGTGACTAACAAGTGAATTTTTCAACTTTGATTTGAAGCTGTGGATATTAGGTAAATTCCATCCAGCGTTAGATAGAATGTTAGCTAAAAACCCAAAAGATAATCCATCCATACTGGAGAGAGTTTCCATAGGTCCTTTAATTGCCTCTTCTTCAAACACTTTAGCTGTCCTTTGGAATTCATGCTGGTGTAGAAATAAAAGCAGGTGATTGTAGTCTGATAAATGCATGCATCTAAAAACGAAGATAAATCAGTTTTCTTTGGGTGTGATGTTTGGTTTAGCTCTACCATCTTTTAACACCTAGATAGGGATATAGATTTGCATTCTTATTTAAGAAATAAAGTCAGGCCAAGAGTGATGGCTCATGCCTGTAATACCAGCACTTTGAGAGGCCAAGATGGGAGGATTGCTTGAGTCCAAAAGTTCGAGACCAGCCTGCATCTCTACAAAAAAAAAAAAAAAAAAAAAAAATGAAAAAATGAGCTGGGTGGGGTAACACATGCCTGTAGTCCCAGCTACATGGGAGGCTCAGGTAGGAGGATCATTGAGCGAAGGGAGGTCGAGGCTGCAGTGAGCCAAGATTGCTCCACTGCACTCCAGCCTGAGTGACAAAGTGAGACCTTGTCTCAAAAATAAAAATAAAAGAAGTCAACAGGGAGTGAAAGTTTTCATTAATTACCCAATAGTATTTACCTAATTCTTTGGAAATTCATTTAAGGACCGTAGGCTAATGGGGGAAAATAAGGAATTTGGCAGAATTTTTGCTGCTCTGGAAAGGAGAGTGGTGGTGGCTAGTAAAACTTTTCTAAAACTAAAATATCTATCTCATAGCACTTGAACTCAAGAAAGAAAAATACTGAATTGGTTGAATTTAGAATTTTTTTTCAAAAGAATTACTTATTGCAAATAAGCAAATGGTACTCCGTGAAAAATTTTAAGTCAAGTTCTCTTTTTCCTGTGATTCCAGAAAAATTATTTACTTTCTCTCCTTCCTTCATTTCCCCTTTCTTTTTTTTTTCCTCTCTTTTAAACATTTTAGCAGTAAGGCAGTGTATTGCTAGTGTTGTTGAAGTTAAGTAAAAACTGAACACAGGATATTTCTATTTTTGTAAAGAGTAAAAAAAATATAAAAATGATAATAAATGCTTACAAAAATAGTTTTCTTTTCCTTGCTGAGTGCTATTATGTCTTTCTTCTTTGCTTTGACTTTTCTCATGCCCATCCCATCCTCACCCTTGCAAGCAAATATAATTCTTATATGTTCTTTTGGCAAAATACCTACTCAAAGAAGAAAATTCCTACTTTTTGTGGATGCTTTTAATAGGTACTGATATGGTTTGGCTGTGTCCCCACACAAATCTCATCATTATAGGAACTACAGTTCCTATAATCCCCAGGTGTGGGAGGGACCAGGTGGAGATAATTCAAGCATGGGGGCAGTTTCCCCCATCCTGTTCTTGTGATAGTGAGTTAGTTCTCATGAGATCCTATGGTTTTATAAGGGGCTTCCCCCTTCACTGGGCACTCATTCTCTCTCCTGCTATCCTGTGAAGAGGTGCCATCTGCCATGATTGTAAGTTTCCCGAGGCCTCCCTAGCCATGAGGAACTGTGAGTCAATTAAACCTCTTTCCTTTATAAATTACCCAGTCTTGGGTATTTCTTCATAGCAACTTGAGAACAAACTAATTCAGGTGGTTAGATTTGACATCACAGTTTCCAAAGTCTAAAAGGGTATAGTAACTTGGATGAAAAACATATTTACAGGATTCAGAAAAAATATAATATGCAGAAGCTAAAGGGCTGGATTTTCTTGGTTGGGAAAATATATTTTATGCAATTCCCGAGTTGAAGTAAAGACAAATGAATGTCCCCATGATGTAATCACTGAGTTGAAAAACCAGGTGATCTTAGCCTTCAAATTCCCTTTTAGCACAGTAAGTTTTAATTTTTTTTTAATATCTTGGTTAGTAGATGGGTCAATATTTAAATGGTCATTCATCATTTACCATATAAAAGAAAAGCTATGACCTGAAACTGATTTTTACAGTTGCAGACAAACAGAAATAATCATTTTCGAGACCCTAAAGCTGTTACTTGAAGAATGTCATCATTTTATCCTTATTTTACTTATTATTTACTTATATATAAGCCAGTTTTTGAGAGCTGCACCCTGCAAGTCCTGGCTGTAAACAGTTTCTTCCAATTCTCTACTACAGCAAGTGAGGAGAAGAAATAGGACTTTCTCGAAATCAAAGTTATATTTCTGACAGACTCAAAGAATGAGGCCAAACTCACAAAGCCAGCCATAGCAGTCCTGGTTCCCATGATGGGCCAAGCTCCTGTATTCATGATAGGTAGTTGGGTGACTACTAAAGTGTCTGAGAGTAAGTGCAACACTTATTCTTAGGATAGTCCTTGTTCTTTCAGACATTCCAAGAATTATTCCAAATATGTAGACTTAACTTTTGTAAACATTTGCTACCTTTTTTATTAAATGACATTTGTTGGAATGAAGAAAAAGGTAATAATACACTAGTTGGGCAGTGGTCTTCATGAAAATTGATGAGTGACTTGACAAGACATAAAAAATTATTAGAAGAGACATCCTAGTGATTGAGAAAGAGTGGAAAAGCTCTAGAGTCACCTAGAACTGGTTTAAGTCTTCCCTCTGCTAAGTAACAGTGTGGATGCAAGCAATGTTTCAAACTTTTTCTGGCCATATTCTTCTTATGGTCAGAAACACACACACAAAATAACATTTGTGTCAGAACAGATGTGAGCATAAAATAAAAACATATATAAGATGCCCACTAAATTGGCTATGTAATAGGAGTGCAATAAATGTTAATTCACTCCTGGTTAATCACTCCCAGACCCAGTAATTCTCTTTGACTGTGTCAGAGCAACCTCCCCTACTATGGATATCCTTGGAATGTAATTCCAGGCCAAATGTAATTCAGTCGTATACTAAACCAGGTGGAATACGTATAACAGGCATCATTTTAGATCCATACCCCCTTCTCTTCTTCCCTCCTATAAGAACAACTGTTGGGTTGCCAACTATGTATCAGGTACCGTGCCAAATCCTTATATATTTTATTTCCTTTAGTTATTATAACTGCAATGAGGTAGTAGATATTATTCTAAGTTACCACAGAGGGGACTAAAATTCTGAGAAATTACGTAGCTCAAAGTTAATCAGCTACTAGTTGACAATTCTGTAGCCACATCTTTTCCCCCTCCCTCAGTTTACCTCCAAGTTCTGTGATGTCAGAGAGGTTTCTGAGATACGTAAATTGGCCTGAGTACTCACCATGACAAATGACTCAACACATGAGCAAAAATAAGAGCTTTGTGATTGTTCTGAAACCACTGGATAATGGCAACACACGCAATTTTTAGTTGCTCTGCGCTTGCTGGTTGATGGCACTGCACTGGGTTCCAGGGCTGCCATGACATAATATGCCAGGAAACAGGAGAACTGCCATCACTTATCAAATAGTGCATAGGGAGATGGTGGGAGAAACAAAACTACAACCAGGAACAAGGGCTAAACTGAAAGACACAGATACTGTAAGGCCAAGAATGTGGATGTGGTTTTTAGTAATTTCCTTCCCCTGCTGTGCGTCTGTATTTATGTTCACTTTTCCACCACCTCTTTTGGGTTTCCAGGAAATATGACTGGGAAGATATGGATGCCAAAAGCACATCGTTTATTAAAGCTTCTGTCCAGAACCCTAATATGGTCCTGGTCTCTAACCAGCAGAGGCAGACAGTGTAGAAACCACCAGGAGCCCTCAAGTTCCTTTTCTTTGAAGTCTAGAACTGAGTTAGGCTTAAACAGCCATCTCTTTTCCCACGGTCTTCCTGTACCTCATAAAATCCTCCAAATCCATAGCATAGCTCTGATCCAAGGAGAGAGGAAAGGACATAGTTGGATTTAAAGATTTTTTTAAGGCTTTTACGTTCCCCTCCAAATGCTGAAGTTTTAAGCTCCTGTAATTTCCTTGTAAATTGTTAACAGACCCTTCCTCATGGTACAGTAGGCATTTAATGGCCAATGGAAGACCATTTGATCACAAAATACAGACAAAAAATAGTTGCACTTTTAAAATCAATTGCTTTGGAAAATAGAGAATGAGAAAAAAGTTACAATGAAATAATTGGTAACTGTATTAGTCTGTTCTCATGCTGCTGATAAAGACATGCCTGAGACTGGATAATTCATGAAGAAAAAGAGGTTTAATGGACTCACAATTCCACATGGCTGGGAAGGCCTCACAATCATGGCAGAAGGCAAGGAGGAGAAAAGTCACAACTTACATGGCAGCAGGCAAGAAAGAATGAGAGCCAAGCGAAAGGGGAAACCCATTATAAAACCATCAGATCTCATGAGACTTATTCAATACCATGAGCACAGTATGGGAGAAATTGACCCCATGATTCAATTATCTTCTACCAGGTCCCTCCCACAACACATAGGAATTATGGGAACTACAATTCAAGATGAGATTTCTGTAGGGACACAGCCAAACCATATCAGTAACTTATAAAAGCAACTTTGTATTTTATGTTTTTTGCTTTTTTGTTTGTTTTTGAGACAAGGTCTCTCTCTGTTACCCAGGCTGGAGGGCAGTGATGTGATCTCAGCTCACTGCAGCCTCGACCTCCCAGGCTCAAGTGATCCTCCCACCTCAGCCACCTGAGTAGCTGGGACTATGGGTGCATGCCACCACACCTGGCTAGTCTGTATATTTTTTTGTAGAGATGAGGTTTCACCATGTTGCCCAGGCTGAACTTTTTAATTATCAGAAGAACATCTGTGTACACTTGAAAAATAGATAGTGATACATCTTCTCAGGGTACTTATTTATTCAACCTCCAGGGAATTTTTGGTGTGTTTAATGGGATTTATGGGCCCCTTGAAGTCATTTTGTAGCATTCCCACAAAAGAAAGCCCCAGCTACAGATTGAATCCCTAATCTTGGTAATGGGAAGCTACTAAGGATTTTAATGACATATACAAGGTGATGTCTCAGGGAGACTGACTGACAAATCATTGGAGACATAAGGGATTAACTGTAAGGAGATTGATGATTACTGTATCCAAAGTATAAGATTTTGAGGTCCAAACCTAGGTAGTGGCAGTAGAAACAAATATTAGTTGATAGATATAAAGAATATTTAAAGTTTAGAAACTTTTTTTAACCTGGATATTAGAAGAAAATGAGAGATTCCAGAATCTTAAGTCCTAGTGGTTGGGAGATTGACGGTCAAACACAGTTGGCTTTGGGAAAAAGATAAATTCAATCTTAGCTATCTTGAAATAATGGTGATATACTCACCAGTGTGTGTGTGCAGGGGAGGGAAATGTTAAATAGGCAATTAGAAATATGTGAATGAAGTTCAAAAGATCGTGACTATGACTAGAGGTTATGAAATCATTTCTGTAGAAGTGATTGAAACAACAAGAAATCAAGAATGTACTCTCCAAGATAAAGATTGAAGAGCTGCCACAGTTGAAGAAGGATCTAGAGTCAACCAGAATTAGCCAACATTTTCTGTAAAAAGCCAGAGAATAAACATTTCAGGCTTTGTGTTCTAAAGGTCACTGCTGCAACTAATTAACCACGCCATTGTATCCCAAAAGCAGCTGTAGACAATATTTAAATGAATTGGCATGGCTGTGTTCCAAGAAAAATCTATTTACAATAATAGGTGATGAGCTGGATTTGGCCTGGAGGCTTTAGTTTGTTGACTTCTAGTCTAGAAACTTAAGCTCCATAAGGGCAAGGATCATGTGTGCCTGATTCTCTGCTGTACCCCCAGCACCTAGAACAACACCTGGTTTGCAGTAGGGTCTCAATAGACATTTGCTGAATTGATGAATACTGTGGTGGAATGACTATGTCCATATTTAGCTTTGTTGGAGCAACAAAGAAAACCAAGAGCATAGTAAGAGTTATGAAGATAATTAAGATCCTATGACATAGATGAAATTAAGAAAAAAGTGTATCAACACAAAAAGGTCTAGCAACAATGATGACTTAAAGAGATGTTGAGGAATGAAGAGTTATAAAAAGTCACTTTTTTGACAATTAGTTGTAAGTCAGATATTTAGGTATAAAAGACCAGAATAAGAGACCACAGGAATGTTATCAAAGACAGATATATATACACAAAATAGCCTGGGGGTTGGGGTGAAAGTTGTTTTGTGGAGTCTGCATGATTTAATAGTTACTTCCCTTAACATTTTTAAGTTTTTAATCAAAAAGATTTTTTTCAAGTATAATTCAAAATCTGTTAATTAGATTCTTATAAATCTAACATGAATTTTTAAACTGTTTGAGGGAGAATCACACTTGTTTTCAACATTATGTAAATAAAATAACCAGCCTGAGTAATTTTTTAAATAGTTGTGTTGATATTTGTCAAGTATTCTTTTAACTTTTTCTCCTAAATATATGAGCTTAACTTTTGTGAATTTCCAACTTCACTTTATGAAGTTGATATCAAGCATTGGATTTAAATATTTTCTTTTTATTATTGGTTTCCAACATTTACTTTTTCCTTCCAGATTATCTCACACAGAGCGTTGGAATTACTTCATGATGATTTCAAAGAAAATTTTCTTCTCTAAACACTCTTATCCCAAGGTAAATTGATGCATTTCTAATGAATAAATTCTGGGAGGAAAACATCAGCATTTTTATACTTCATTTCAGAGTATTTAATTCCCTCACCCTTAACTGTAGAACTGTAGCCACCTGTCATTCTAAGTTTATGCAGTCATTTATAACAATGGGAAACTATTATTTTTTGTACAATGTTGACCACCTTTGTGTCATTTGATACCTAGTGTGTTTAGTTTGTTATGCCTATGCAAGTGAGAGAAAAACACTACCATAAACATGTCTAATCATGTCATTGAAGCTTTTCTTGGAATAATTGGAGTGTGATGATGGAGCAGGGAGAAAGGAGGGGATGGAAATTGAGGAAAAGGGTCTCAGCCTGAATTTTCCAAATTGGCTATTTATCTGGTTAATTCTTCATCTTTCCTCATCACCATGTCTGAATTGAGAAAATCTTCCTAATGATAATAAACTATGTCAAGAACAGATGGCTGATTTGATGTGATGAAAATAGCTATGTCAATTGAGGGTATTTTTTTCCTCACCCGTTTTGCTTTTCATCACTCTGGGGTTGGTGGTTCATATATTTTTTTTCTTTTACAGAATATGCCCTCAGCCCAATATAATGTGGTGAATCTTTCCCCAAAAGCAGTTTGGGCCTTTATCTCTGAAAGAAAGAATGAAGAAGTGGCTTAAAAAAAAAGTGATTATCACCTTTCCTGCCTTTTCAGCTTTAGTTAAGTTACTTTTGGAAGGATCAGTTTACAACAAATGTTTAGTGTCAGGAATTTTACAGTTTCATAGGCCCTGACAGCTTGGCATGAAAAGAGGTGGCATTATGTCAATTTTAAATGAGTATGCCATTTACATACTAATTAAACTTTGCACTAGTGGGGTGAAAGAATGTCATTTTGAGCACCCCAGTTATTCTGTTTATATCATTGTTGTCTATTTAAACCATCTATTGTTTGGCATGTCACAGCCTCATCCCCTAAATGCCATTTTATGACCTCATACTACTTAAAAAATATTACCCCACTGCTTGACAAATCACACAGAATCAGTGTATCTAAAAGCAAAGGGGATTCCTTGGATCACCTTGCATCATTATCACACCTAGTTCGATGGTGATGATAGTAACAATTAGCTTTTATTAATTACTCCTAAATGTCAGGCATTTCACTAAACTATTTTTAATATCTTAATTCACTTAATTTAAAAAATAAGTTGGGAATGCCTATTACAACCTTTTTGCACATGGAGAAATTGGGGTTGCACAGTGTGTGGGTGAGCTCTTATTCACTATACTCTGTTGCCTTCTGCTTTACTGTGTCCATTGATCCACAGAAGGTCCCACTGTGGTCAGATGTGGATAGGGTTACCAAAAATATACCAAGCATAGGAATTTTACTCACTATCTCAACCCATTTACTTCAGGGAGAAAATGATAAACATGAAAGAGCAGTTGCATATTACATGATATACTATTCATTGGTTATGTGATTAATGTATCACTAATACAGGCTCATATAACATACATATTTCCCATCACTTTTCAGTTGCATCTTATTAGTTGCAGTCTTCCCTGGTCTGTTGATGATGTTTTTACATAGAATTCCATGTGTTCTCTGTGAACTTGATTCAGGAATACTGATAGTGTCTGTTAGCTTATAAAATGAAAAGTGATTAATACTTTTTTGGGCTATTTTATCCTCTTGATTCACATCCACAAATTCGGTTTATTGGATTTGGTTAAGGACATTTTTTCTCACTGTATAAGGAGCAGAATCAACATTAATATCACACCTGTGTGGGAGTTGGCCTAACAAGATTGGCAGTGACAGGAGTAAGATCAGAACTTTTCCTGGCTGGGCGTGGTGGGAGGAACCCACCATCCTTCTGGGTATTTATACACCAGTGCTGAGAGCCTGGAGTTGGCATTTCTTGGCATTGTCAACAGAGTGCTGGTCTGCACTTCTTTCTTTTTTAAAAAAATGACAGAAACAGAAAGCCTAGATAGTTGACATTGAAATAACTTGCCAAGAGAGGGTTGAACATATGATCCCTTTATAGCTTTTTCCTCACTATTTTCTGCAGTCTTCAAGGTTGAAATACTTCCATGATAGAGTCAAAATCCAGGGGAAGAAAAGGAAGAAAATATACTTTAGCTCTCCATAATTCCAACCACCATATCGCATTTCATGAAATGTGACATAGTTTTGCTCCACAAGCTTGCCAAGGGGAAAAATATATATCTAAATTTTAAGCTGATAACTCGAATGGTTCCAGAGATATCAACTTGTGAAAAGTCACAATTTTGCATTGTGCTGAAAAGCCACCTTACAATACAGGGACTACCATCACTCTTTAATATCCAGCAGAGTCCCCCGCTGTGCTTTGTCAGTCAGTAGCAACATCCAAGTCTTCCCGTAAAAGTAATTCACACTTTTTTCACAACACTGTTGCTTTAATTACCACTGAACTCTGCTGATGCTCAGGCAGGCCTGGCAGGACCAAGGGAGGGTCAGAGCCACAAAAGAAGCAAATAGCTTTTTTCCCTCCTTACTTTATTATTAACAAACCATCTTTGATGGAAATGTTCCTAGTTCTGAGGCCTAGACTTAACTCTGGGCCCCCTTGGCGTATTCATTATCAAAAGAGACTCACAGATGCCATTCTGAGAGAGAAACACAAACACACACACACACACACACACACGGGGCGGAGAGAGAGAGAGAGAGAAATAGTACCTACAATCCTAATTAGAAATTAGAAATTTTGGCAAAGAACAAATATAGCAATTCAAAACTGATAAACAATGATTCTGCTTCTTATACAGCTTTTCTTTTCTGCAAATGAACTTACATTTCATACTGTATAGTTCTGCTGGATGAACGTCAATTTATCTGTTTATTTATTGTGGATTTTTCTTCAGGATTAGTTGACACAATAAATTATATATCAAAGGAACCACAGAACTGACAAAATCTACCAGTGCATAAAAGTGATACGAAAAGCCTATGGTTTATAAATAATATGACAGCAATATTATAGGTATAACATCTTGTGTGCATAAGGCACCTTTCATTCCATATCACAAAATGTTTCTTCACTGAAACTATTCCTGTGAAATGAACTTCTGAAGTCTCCTTCACGCAAAATAGGAAGGGGCCCATCAGGAACTTCATATACACTTTTGGGGAAGAATTAAATAATGTTGTGAACTTAGGGAAAGAAACTGAAGGACTGCTAAGCTTTCTCCTGACTCTAAATTCCATGTTTTAAAAAATTATAATTTAAAGTTACACTGTAGGCTTGTCTATGTATCATCAAGTACTTAATGCTGCTATTATTTATTATTTACTGACTTATAATCTGACTTACCACAAATGTGCAGCATTTAGCTGGAAAGTGTGGTGCTGTGATAAGTTAATTAATATAAGTGAAATAATCATCGGATTCTATTGCAGACCATTTGATTCTTATAAGTCCCCTATGATTTGGTCCTAATCTTTCTTACAGACATCTTTATTTCCATCTGCATATATCCTATACCTCAGTGGTTTCAAAATCTGATTGATTATCAAAATGTCCTGGGGGAGAGGAATTTAATAACTTAAAATACTCTAGAAGTAGGGTGTAGAATCTGTAGTTCTAAAGGGGCCTTGGAGTTTTAGATAATGTACTAGGTTTGGTCAATTTCTTGAATCAAACTTTTTCCTTACTTTTGGTGCTTGTCTCTCAGCATCTTCTGTGGAAATCTTACTAAACTTCCCAGTCTTAGTTCTAATACTCCACACCCCAGGCAGCATTTACTGTTTCTTCAGCCAGTAGTAGCCTCTGCCTTCTCAAAACCCTGATAGTACTAAATACCTTCCCTAAGACTTAAACCTTCTATGCCAAGTTGCCATTTTCTATATTTTCTTTCTCTTTTCTCATATATTTATCTATAAATATAAGCTCCTTCAGGGTACAAGTTAAAACATTCTATCTTGAAACCACATTGTGTAAAAAAGATGCACTTATGCATCTGTGTAATGAATGCATGGATTTCATTTTCTATGGCATGTAAGACTGCACATGAAGTGGAAATGACTAACTCATGTTCATATCTTCATTTGTGTGACATAGACACAGTGCAGCAGACTGAATTTTCCAAAGATTGCTGCGCTGGTATATATTCTATCCCACGTTCTTAAAATGTTGGCACAAGTGTTGAGAATCCTCCATTAAGAGTGGTGTTTATATTCTTTCACCGTAAACCCAGGCAGATTTTTTATAACTGCCTCAACCAAAGATAATGTGGTGGAAGTGCCCCTCAGTGACTTCTGGTGGTAGATTACAAAACTGGTAACACAGCTTCCTCCTAGATTTCTCCCTTGGGAGTCAGTACTGATGGGTAACAAGTCTGGCTACCTTGGAGCCTCCTCGCTGGAGAGACCACACAAAGTGATAAGGGAGCTCCAGTGCTTCTAGTACCCAGCAATTTGGTTAAGACCTCAAACGTCATGGAGCAGAGAGAAGCCATCCCAACTCTGCCGTAATGTTAAGGCACAGGATCTATGAACATGACAGGTGACCATTTTATGCCACTACATTTTGCGTTAGTTACTCAGAAGTAGTAATCGGTACACCTAACTTTAGTCACTAGAGACCCCAAATAAGCAAGATAAACAATATTTCGGCTCTTATACAGCTTCTATTCTTTGCTAAAAATAAATAAGATTGAAACCTTTCATCTTGTTAATTAAAACTGTTCTATTTTTTAAATGGCTTTATTGAGGTGTAATTGACGTATAATAAACAACCCATATTTAAAGTATGCACTTTGATAAATTTTTACATATTTACGCACCTGTGAAACCATGACCACAGTGATGAAAATGAACGTATTCATTATCCACAGGGACTCTCCTGTCTCTTTGCAATCCTTCACTGCATGCATGCAGCCACTGTGCAGCTTCATGTCACTTTAGATTCATTTGCATTTTCTAGAATTTTATATGATGTGAAATCACATGTATGTATTCATTTGTTTCTCTTAGAATGATTATTTTCAGATTCATTTATTTGTTGCAGATATCAGTAGTTATTCCTTTTTATTACTGAGCACTATTCCATTGTATGGATATACCACATTTTATTTACCCATTTGAATTGTTTCCAATTTTTAGCTATTACAGATATAACTGTTGCTCTGAACATCATGTACAAATCTTTATGTGGACATGCACTTTTATTTCTTGAGTAAATGCCTAGGAGAAGAATGGCTTCCTCTGTGCACTGTAGCCCAAAAATTCTCTCAAGGAAGTAAGGTGGGACAATGTTAGGGCTTACCTGACTTGTTTACCACTTATAAGATACCACTCTCTTCTGTCACTTAATTGGACAATGGTCTGAAAACTGTAGGTCTCTGTGTGTGTGTGTATTGTGTGTATTCATATAATACACATGTATTTATGTATATGAATATATGAATATGAATATATACATTCATATATTCTCTCTTTACTTGTTCAGGTGGGAGGGTAAATATAGTCCCTATTACTCTACCTTGGTACTTTCTCATTTTTTAATTCCCTTTTAGGTTAAGGTCTTATTAAGAGGCAGAAGAATATTTGCCCCCTCCTTGTGTCTTCCAGAAATATGCTTTACAAATGCAAATGGGCATTATTGTCATTAAGTAGAAGGCTTCTGAAGTCACAATATCACAATGCCTGGTTTTAACTCAGGATTCTGCTACTTATTAGCAGTAAAATGTTGGATAAGTTACTTAGCTTCGCCAAGCCTCAGTTTTCTCGTCTTCATAATGACATCGATAACAGCAGCAACAGTAATAATAATACCCATTTCATAAGACTGGTAGAAGGTTAGAAGAGAAATCATGAAAAGTACCAAGCCAAGTGTCTGGAACATCATAAACTTTCAATAACATGCTATTGATTGTTATTGGTTTAATTTTAGGAGAAGCTATCTGCACAATAAGAAATCGTGTCCAACCCTTGGATTAAAAAAGCATGGCAAATAGCTTTAATACCATTGTATGAAACACTTAGTAATAAAGGTGATTCCTCACACACTCTGAATAAAGTCTCTGGGTTTCATTCCCTTTTCTAAATCCCATCACTAGAGAATTGACATTCTGCAACCTTTACACACAAAAGCTTCAAGAAATTCAGTCAAATCATGTCAGAGATCTGGGAAAAGAACTTAAAGTTCGGTCAACAGAAATGATCCTCTCAGAGAAACTTGTTCTATCCACTAGGGCTGAAGGAGCGTAGATGTGATGTGGAGCCTAATGCACTTTGTAGAGTGAGTTTGCAGAGGGAAGCTCTCTGTTTTGAACAGAGAGAGTTTTCTGATGGAGTGAGCTCTATAGCTAGGTGAGTAGACTGAGGCGGATAACTAGCTAGCTTCTAGGGTTCAATTTGCTGATGCATTCAACTTTTAATTAGGACAATATTGAATAGCTAGTTAAACTCTGTGTCTGTGTGTGCACGTGTGTGTATGTATTTGTGCAGGCAATGGAGAAATCAGGTGAAGGGGGGTCTCAAAATTTTTCCTTTCCTTTATGGCAGTTTGAATCTATTTGGAGACGCTGGACTGAATGAGAGTTTTAAAAAAAGCTTTTAGCTGCTCAAAAATGTAAAAGATGAACATTAAAAATCCTAGCCCCTTTTTAGGGACTCTTATTAGCAACCTAACCATGCCTAACACAAGGCTTCCATGTGCCTCAATGTGAATGGGGCCACCTGAGGAGGCTGTGTAATGCTATGGGCCAAGTGGAGCACCAAGGAGGAGCTTTGGTGCCAAAACAGGATCTATGGATTATAAAAAGGCATTTTTTTACGCTACTCTGTGCAGTACCATTTTACAGTTAGGCAAAAGCTGTCCTTGCCTTAAGCCCTGTGCTTTTCTGGGCCCATTTTTTTTTCTTTTCTTTTCTGGGCTTTTTCAGTCCTCCTTAAGGGGTAGGGTATCCAAAGAACCAACAGACTTTCTCACCTGAATCCTGGACATTTGCCCCCTTGTAGGTCATGCTCTAAACATAATAGATCCCCAAATTCCCTGCCTATGTGGCCCCAAACCCACCGTAGGGCCTGTGTAGTTCCATCTTCTTAGGGATGGACTTTACCAATGGCCTCTGCTCCCCTGAACCCTGGTGTCAACTGACCATGGAGATGTGGAAAAATATATCCGCACATGTGAGGACCCTCACAGTGGAGGGATGGGAAAAACAGGAGGTGGGTGGGAGGCTGAGGTTTGGTTTTCCTCTTCTGTCAGTTCCAGCATCAAACTTCAAGGATCCCAAAGATTCTAAGTTGAAACTTAGACTTCCAGGTTGTTATTACAGCCTATTAATCAAGACAGAGGGCTAGACCTTATTTTAGTCAACAGTTTGCTAGCTTTATTTATAATGAAAATATTTCAACCTACATTTATGTGGACCTCCCTTTGTATTCTTTCTCCAGGCCCTTCAAATGTTAAGGGTAATCATTACTTTGTGACTTTATCCCAAGTAGATTCTTCCTGCTCTCTCTTGCCCATCTCCCTCACGTACAATGGGAATATAAAACAAGAGTCAGAGGGATAAAGCAGTGATGAATCAGGTAAATTCTTTTGTCCTAAGGTGTCCACTTTATGATCTACTGTGTAACTGCCACTTCTGCAGTTTTCACAGACAATGTAATGAAAAGCAACCTGATACTTTCCTCCTTGGCATCTTCAGAGGAGATGGGCAGCAATGTGTTTCTTAAGTCTGGAAATCTCTGGGTCTCTAGTTACTCTCAGTGTATCCTTTACCCTCTTCACAAACTCTTTAAAATTCTGAGGCTGTTCCATGGGTGCCTGTTTTTGATATGCTTCTCAGAGATATCACATGGTCTTAACAAATTCTATGACTAAATTATCCAGGTGTGGTGGTACACACCTGTGGTCACAGCTACTTGAGAGGTTGAGGTGGGAGAATCACTTGAGCCCAGGAGGTTGAGACTGTAGTGAGCTGTGATTGAGCCACTGCACCCCAGCCTGAGTGACAGAGCAAGATCCTGTCTCAACAACAACAAAAATTCTAACACTATTTTCCTTATTTCTCCTATATTTAAGTCCTGGTGAGCTTGTTACCTTTGATGTTATACCCGCCATCAACATTTGGTGAGAAGGGAGGGTTTCTCCCCAGAAATATTGACTTTCTTCTTTTCTACCTTTTTAACACTTATTCTTTCTTCAGTTTGCAGCTTAAGATTTATGTCTTCCCAATGAACACGTCTATAAGGTCGTAGGAAAGAAGTTAAGTGTGGAGTCATATAGAGATAGAACTGGATTTCAATTCAATACTTTGTGACTTACTATGTTATCTTGCACAGGTCACTCAAACTTTCTGAGACTTGGTCAATCAGTAAATGGGTATTAGGCAACTGTTTCCAAATTCTGTTGGGAGGATTAGATGATGTCATTGACGGAAAGCATCTGGTGTGTTTTTAGATAGATCTCATCTCGTGTTGACTCCCAGATCAACATAAGTACTTCTTCCTGTATGTGTCCATCACACCTATCACAAACCCCAGATAGCTGGAACAATAACATAAGGACACCAGGCCATAAACATAATCTAATGCATTTGAGCGAGAGCTACCAGTTTTATTCAGCTGCATTTTAGGGGACAGTCAGAAAATGTTCTAGTGAGGTGGGCTAAAACCAAGTTGGGACAGGCATTTTAAATTAAATGAAGAAATTTGACCTACTGTTATGTCTTAGAATTCCTCAAGTAGATATGTGAGTTTTCCATCTTCTTTAGATAAAATGTAATTAAACATCTTAAAGCACCTCAGCTTAATGTACACAGAATGGTGACATGTTGCCAAAGAAAGCTTTGGGACTTTGTTGCCTACAACTACGCGACAGCTTAGTAACCAAAGCATGCTTGCTATTACATCAATGATAAGTTCTGAATAAATTAGCTACGTCCAACATGGCATAATGCTTTGGATCATGCAAGTGAGACTATCATATTCCTAATTATCATTTTCCCCCAAACTAGACAAACTGTTTTATAGGATTTTTCTTACTGCTTGTGTTTCAAAATGAAATTCTTACCAATTTGGGATACTAATGATTTAGCCATGTACCAAGTTGGAGTTTCTCCAGTGTGCATGTGCTCCTTATGAAAATGAAGAAGGCAAGCTGCCAATCAAAAGACTAGTTGCAGGTTGCAGGCAAAGACCAGATTGGTGATAATTGCTGGCATGGTGCCTAGCACAGTGTCCCATACACAAACATGCTCAGAAAATGCTACTGGGTCCAGTCAAGGCTTCCATATTCCAACTAAGAGCCCTCCCTTGAACACGTAACATTTGTTCAACCTAGAGTTGGAAGGAAGGCAGCGGTATGGACAATCTCCAATTAGCCAGAAGATTTTAATCTACTTTGCAGAACTAATCGAATGGTTGTGCTTCCCCAGTGTTCACGTGAATTGCACCCTAGCTGGAAGTTAACAGACTAAACAATAGCAGCAGCAATTAAGTGGATATAAATGAATGTGATAGGCTAATTCTCACAAGGAGAACATCAATGTGTCAGTGTCAGTGCACTGCTGCCCGGAATAAAGAAGGAATTGACTGGGATGAAGAAGGTAGCAATGAACAAGATGTAGCAATCTTGTAAGGACATATATTCCTCAACTAGATTAGTTTGGAAATTCTTTGGATATAAGCAGAAGGAATAAAAATAAGTAATGATAGCAGTTCTCTTCTACATATCCTCTTGTGGGAGGAAAAGAAAGAAAATACCACACTTTCACATAAATACATTCAAGGTATTATACCTATGGTGTACCTTAACTATGAAATAGATTGTTGGATATGGAATAGGGTAAAACACAAATCTACTTACAATGAGGAGAAGGACATTTTCATGACCTGGGAAGCTGAGAATTCAAAAGAGGACAAACTTCCTTGGCCTTTTTCATATTTGAAAATGGGAACTGATTGACAGAATAGAAGGCTATAAAAGCTTATTGCTGCTGGGTTTCAGCAGAGTCTAGAAAGACAGAAGAAAATATGGCGCAATAGGAAAACTTGAGTTTTTGCTTAAGTTCTTTCCTTTGGCACTTCGATACTTTAGGGAAATCTCAGCATCTGTAGACTGGGGTGTGAGACTTGGAGAGAATGTGAAATTTGTAAAGATTATTTTACATGCTGCCCCAGAAAATTCCTTTTGTTTAAAGCATCTGAGAACATTGTCTGATTTCATTTTTAGCTCTTTTGAAAGAGAAGAATCTGATGAATGCAATGGGTTCAGCCTGACACCCTGCCTTCTGTTTTTCAGGGCATCCTAAAGTTCCTCTGGAATGCATTGGGTGGGAGAGAAAGTTCTATGTCAACTCTTCTGGCAGAGGTGAGTCTAAATCTACCTTTCCTCATAAATCTGCAGAGGACATCCCTGAATGTGTTGACTCTCTGGTCCATGCTGAACATATCATAAATGGGCCTGATTACTATCATAACACATTGCCTGTCAAAAATCAAAGGATGGAATAAGAGAGTAAATCAGATGCATAAAGGAAGAAAGACAATCATAATGTCATAATACACTGTATGGTATATACAGTATTTTATTGAAGAATAGTTTCCCAATGGGCAACTGAGACATTAGAGTAAACCGGAAGTTAATCAAGATTAATAGATTGGTAGAATAAGAGAATGAAAAAAAACCCATCTATTATCTGGAAAAGAAAGGTGGGTACATACAGAGTCTTTTTAGAGTATGTTCAGATGATTTAAAAAAGCATAGTCAGAAATAAAAGTATTGTGTGAATATGAAGAATATTAATTATCATCATACCAACATGTTATATAAGCCATTACTGAAATTAAGCTATACATGAATAAATGGCATGCATAGTTTTGGTTCTTCACCTTTCTATAACTTTTTAAAATTGTTTGACAGAAACCTATAAGTTTTTGTATCTGCCAAGATCAAGCCTATGACTTTGGCTGCTTATATAAATAAATTTTATCGGGAAAAGGTTGTACATGAACAATTGAATTATCAGAAGGAAATATAAATCTAAGTTCAGTTAAATTAGTTGTATTGATGCAGGATTTTTCTTGATCACTTTGCCAGCTGGAGACTTTTGGCTGATGATGCCCCTGACCGGGCTTCGCTTAGCCCCAGGCCTGCCACAGGAGGTGTGCCACTCACTTGGCCCACCAGGCCGTGCCTGGCTTGCACACTGGCTCAGCCCACAGCTGGCTTGGGCATGCCCCAGTCCACCTGTGTTACAGCTCATACTCATGTTCGGCGTTTCCCGAGTTCTTGTCCTGTGTCCAAGAAGAATGAGGTTATGCTGACAATCAAAGGGTGAGGAGGGCAGAGACAAGTTTTATTGAGTGATAAAACAGCTCTCAGCAGAGAGAGGATGTGAGGGTGGTCCCCCACCTGAAGTCAAGTGGTGCCTCTTTCAGTGTCACTGGGTCCTGGACTTTTATGGGGTCAGAATGAGGGAGTGCATGCTGACTGGTTTGTGAATACGCAAAAAATGCTGAAACAAAGGCACCACTCAAAGGTGGGCATGACAGTGTAAAACACCAATTAGGGAAGGGTAGGTATATGAAAAATAGGTGAAGGGTGGGGATCAGTCAGAGAAAAGCATGCCAAATGGGAAGAGAGGTTCTCAATGTGGTCCATGGATTTACTTGGGACTTGTAGCTAGGCTTTAAACTGTCCTTGGCTTGAAGGTGGGATTTTACCAGGGACCTGCCCTATCTGCCTAGGTTGTTCCTGCCTGCTGCTGCTATTAGCATTATTGACCCAGCTCCAGTCTTTTTGTAGACAAAGCCTCAAAGAAGCATAAAAAACAGTATTAAGGACATTTTACTTGACAGGTTTAGATAGAAACATTACAAATTAGCAATTCCTTTCCAATAAAGCAAGAAATGAAACAACCAGTAGGAGAAGTTGAGCTATTATGCCTCAATAATTTACATTGAATCAAGAATTTTTTGAGACACAAAATCTTTAAGGTTTTAATGTAACAACCTAGTGAACCATCTGACCTGTATGTTTATTTGAAGACTAAGGTAGTACTTGCATATGGGCTGGCAGGAGGAAAGGAAAGTGAATGTAAAGTAAAAAGTTCAAGCAGCAATACTAGAATTGTTCTTATGAGAAGAAAATGTGAAAACAATGAAGCATGGGTAATAGGGTCCTATAAAATAAGTAGTATGCATTTAAAAGGCAAGAAAAAATCATGGCATAAATTTGACTCCACGGAGATAGATTACTGGTTTTATCTGAAAGAAGGCAGTGCTTTAGACATACCTGGTATTATGAAACAAATGTGGAGTTTGAGGAAATATTAATCAATTTTTCCATGATCTACAAATGCGTATTTTTACAGAAGGAACTTTTTCTTTCTGTGTACAAAAATTACATAAAAATGTATTTGTTTTATGCTAACAGTGAGTTAGGAAGTTAGAACTAGATAACCTTATACTTTTTTTTAAGTAAAAGAAATAGCAGCTCAAATGATCAACTTATAGCCATGTTCTTGATAAAATTATGAAAATAACAAATGACATGATAGAGATTTTAAAATAAATTTTGTTTGCTGATCCCTAATCACAAGTAAAGAACATGGTCTTCTTTTGTCCTAATATGTTTTCCTTAGTTTCTGACTTTTGGCAACATCTCCAGGCAATCAGCAGGGAATGGAGGGAAATTAAAGATATGTATCCTAATGTTATTGGAGGAGAAAATGTTGTTCACTTACTTGAAGTCATACAGTCTAGTCACAGATAAAAATCTGGTTTCATAGCATCTAATTTGATTCTTACAAAAGGTGTGAGCATTCTTTGCTTTTGACAAAAACAACATGAAATAACTTGCATGGTAGATCTAACTTGTATGAGTGGTATACATTGTTGCAGGAACTACTCTAGATATTCAATGCACACCAGTCTATTTTGTACTTATAATAAGTCAATAAGTTAAATATTTAGGATAAAGGGCTTGTTAAGGCTCTTCCTGCCAGTGAAGGGCAAGGGCCAAGATTTCAACTGGTGAACTGCCCACTAAAAGGATGTTATGAAGTCTCTAGTGGTAATATGCGTAATTTTGGAACAGAATAAATTAAATGGAATAATGTTATTATCTGATAATTTTTGTCACTTTTCCATCAACCCATAAATGTCTTCTCCACAGAATTCTTGTCATTTGACAAGTATTTTTGGTATTAAAGAGAACAATTTTATCATGGCTAAAAATGGATCAGAACTTGAATACATCTTTTTTTTAAGGCCCAAATTCCAATTCCTATCTTAATACAAAGAATATGAGGGAAAGGAAAGAAATGAAAGAACAACAGAAAGAATGACAGAGGGACAGAAAAGGGGAAAGGAGGGAGGGAGGAGGTGAAAGAGAGAGAGAGAGAGAGAAGAAAGGGCCCAGGTAAAATCTGTGGTCATTATAAATGTTTTTGAAACTGTTTCTAGACATGGAAAGAAATGGGTACATTTTTCTGACAATGATATATCTATTAATATAGCTAATATATCTATATGCTATGTATATTCAAGGAAGATGAACAGGAATCAACAGCAATATTTGGCCATGAATGCTGAACACTAGGATATGCAGTCTTTGATCTTTGTCAGAGATAAAGTAATTAAACAAATTATTAAAGATAAAATGATTAGGTCGAGCATGCTGGCTCATGGCTGTAATCCCAGCACTTTGGGAGGCCAGGCACAGTGGCTCACATCTGTAATGCTAGCACTTTGGGAGCCCTAGGCAGGTGGATCACTTGAGGTCAGGAGTTCGAGACCAGCCTGGCCAACATGGTGAAACCCCATATCTACTAAAAATACAAAAATGAGCCAGGCCTGGTGGCATATGCCTGTAGTCCCAGCTATTCAGGAGGCTGAGGCAGGAGAATCACTTGAACCTTGGAGGCAGAGGTTGTAGTGGGCCGAGATCAGGCCATTGCACTCCTGCCTGGGAGACAGAGAAAGACTTGGCATTACCCGCCCCCGTCCTGACCAATAAAAGATAAAATAATTATAATGGATAGACTGGCCATGCCGAGATCCATCTATTTCACATGGGCCCATTTCATGTGCATACATGAAATGATTTTTCTAGGCACAAAATACGTTAGTAGGTCTTATTATGAATCGGAACTATTTCACCCCAAGTTCCATGCCTGTTTTTCTATTGGTTGTATGGCAGCATCCTGTCTTATTCAGACTCTAAAATGATAACAGAGTGATGTTATTTGGTACGAATTCGTGTGCATGGGCCAGGTGTGTTAGCCAGTGTGCAGGTAGTCAGTACGTATGTAGCAGCCATGCTCTATTCCCAGTTCATTAGCTTGGCAGGTGACACGTTGGCCTCTGCTAGGATGCAAAATGCTCTCTCAGATTCCAAAGATTCTGTGTCAACTGTTATGTACCAATCATTGACTTCTCTCTGTGTGATGTGGGGTTAATGAGGAATGACAGGTTGCTTTTTTTTTTTTGCCTCAGTATATGGAAGCTGCCAGGCACACTTAACCCAATTGCCATTATTTTGGAACTAACGTCTGACATATGGATCATATTTTAACCTATAAGTAGATATACACATGTTCGATATGAAGCAAGTGTTTGCAAAATATCCCATGTACATAACAATGTCATACATGTTTATTCATGGTGGAATACACAGAATTGGATTTATAAAACATTAACTCTATGTTCATAAACTCTCTGCAGTTAACTAAACCAAAGATAGAAGCTTTCTAAAGGAGCGACAGAATACCTCTAAGGAACATGAGTGACTTTTTAGTAGTCTGATATAGAATGAAAAATGCAGACACAGTATTTAATAATGTGCTAGAGTAGAGACAGTGAATACAATCACCCTCCCTCCCCGGCTCCCCCGCCCTGCCATGATCTTTATTAGCTTTGTCCTGACAATCTGACCTACTGAGCTCTCTCCAGCCCTGACAGCCACATAAAACCTACAAACAAATAGGGAACCAGTGCAGCCTTTTCAGATTTAGGATCATGTTCAAGCTTATGAATCAGATTTTTCTATGTGTGGACATGACAACTATGGAAAAACTGTAATTTAGGACATATTCTCTTTATCCTTTTATGTAGAATTTCACTTTAATGTGATGCAAATGACAGTAAGAAATACATTCAATGAATGTTAAAGCCTTCCCATTAAAAATTCTGTATGCATTTTACATTCTAATTCATGTACAGTCAAAAACCCTGATAAAATCACAGTGCTGATTTGACTGCTGCACTTATCGTATTAATGAGGATACTTTATGCCTTTTGAAAATTGGGATATGGTCCATTATGTGATTGTAAATGATGTGATTGTATCACATAAATTTGTTATTCAATCCCACCCCTCCCTTCAGTCAGCTTTGTATATAAGAAGATTCACTGGTGAGCCAGAATTGAGGCTGGAAAACTGAACTGCAAATGAGACTTTTCTTCTTTTGTCTTTATTTCTGTTTATAGAAAGGAATATAATAAACATGCATACGTGTGTATGTGGGCATATATATATATGTATATATGTATTTTTTCTTACCTTTTTTTTTTTTTTAATTTCCCTAAAACCACAGGGAAAAGCTGACCGAGGAAGTCAAAATGAAAGAAAGAAGCAGACAGGACTGAGGCTCCCTGAGGTACGTAGCACTTTCTTCCACAGCCACGGAAATACGCCTTTTACTTTTTCCTGATTTAGGATTGTCTAACACTTGGAAGCCTTCCCTTCTCCCTCCTACAATAAGTGAAAGGTCTGAGAACTGTTGTTGGCCAAGGTTTCCTGATTTTTGGTTGCATTTGCATTCCTAAAATACCTACTTTTCTCTTTATTTATTTTTCTGTCTTGCCTACCTAGAGACACAAACACCCTCCCTGACATCAAGATTTCCAAACTCCCCACATAACAAATTACAGCACTGATCACAGAAGCATCTTCAGAACTCTCAGATTAAAGCAAAGGAGGGGACCACTGGCTGTTGGCTGAGTAGTTCTTACGGCCTCGAAGGGTTACACATTTAATTGCCTCTTTAATGACGGTCCCAAGTCTTATGATTATTGGAGAGAAGCTCATGCACCAAAGGTGCTTTCTGGTCCTAAAGCCATGGCAATTATCATTTGTTGTCTGTACATCTGTGTTTTATAAATTTTATTTTTGGTTTTGGATTCCTGAGTATTTGTAGGCTGGCCTTTTCTTTCTTTCTTTCTTTCTTTTTTTTTTTTAGTTTTGTTTCTTTTTTGAGACAGTCTCGCTCTCTTGCCAAGGCTAGAGTGCAGTGGTGCAATCTCAGCTCACTGCAACCTCCGCCTCCTGGGTTCAAGCAATTCTTGGGCCTTAGCCTCCCCAGTAGCTGGGATTATAGGCATGCGCCACCATGCCTGGCTAATTTTTGTATTTTTAGTAGAGACAGGGTTTCACCATGTTGGCCAGGCTGTTCTCCAACTCCTGACCTCAAGTGATCCACCCACCTAGGACTCCCAAAGTGGTAGCGTTACAGATGTGAGCCACCATGCCCAGCCTCCTTTTTCTCTTTATTCCTTAAAAAAATGATCTTTTGTTGCCTGGAACCTGGAGTAAGTGATATTGCCCTTCACGGTAGAGCAAGCTGTGGTGTGAAGTTCATAGAGTTTGAAATACAAATGCCCAAGTTCTTGCCACTCATCTGGCATCTCATATTTCTGACTCTCATTCTTGTTCACCTTGGTACCTGACCTTTAGGCCTTATGAAGCTCTGAGTTTTCTCAGAGCTCAGATGCTGTGGATGAAAAACAAAAATTAAAGTTTGGTCTCCGATGTGTTCTAATATCAAAAATACAGTACCATGTTTCCCTTACTCTCTTCCAGGAGAGATGTCAGAGGGAATGATTTCCACATTATAGTAAATTTGATGGCACGTCATTTATAATTTTACAAATATTTACAATTATTGTAAATTTTATTTTTTAAATAGCACATGGGAAAAGGTAAGTTTTTTGACTAAGATATACCAAAAGCTTACAGGGGGTCTTTCCTGATGGGAGGTAGGTTTTTTCTTTTTTTTTCTTTTTTTTTTGTTTTTTGAGATGGAGTCTCGCTCTGTCACCAGGCTGGAGTTCAGTGGTGTGATCTTGGCTCACTGCAACATCCGCCTCCCGGGTTCAATGATTCTCCTGCCTCAGCCTCCCAAGTAGTTGGGACTACAGGCACGCACCACCACGCCCAGCTAATTTTTGTATTTTTGGTAGAGATGGGGTTTCACCATGTTGGCCCGAATGGTCTCCATCACTTGACATCATGATCCGCCCGTCTCAGCCTCCCAAAGTGCTGGGATTATAGGCGTGAGCCACTGCGCCTGGCCTTTTTTTTTTTTTTTTAACCTTATTTTAGATTCAAGGCCAATAAGAACTTTATACAATCTTCTGGACAAAGCTTGCTACATCCTAATCTCTGCAAATCCACTCTGTTCTATTCACCGCTCTCCTTATTAATCAGTTCTACAAAGCTGTACCCTTCTCAGTACTGTTACACACACTGCATTTTTATGTTTCTGTTTCAGAGTGGCCTTTTCTATATTTTTGCTTTGCCTTGCATTCAATTACCCATAGCTTGTCCTGTAGAATAGGATACTATCACTGCCTACATTTAGGCCACAGCACATTATGTCATCTGGAGTCATATATTTTACTTCTGCCTCTTTTAGGAGGAAACTCATTTGAGAAATCTTGGCTCTGCCTTTGGGGAGGAATCATTTACCTTCTTTCATCTGGGCTGAAATTTGCCTCCTCATTTCTTTTGTTAATAAAAAAAAGAAAACTTATTTACATCTTCTCAGATCCTATTAGTTAGCTCAATTGCCTAATTGTTGCAGTTTTAAGAAAGACCTAGTCATTTTCTTACTTTCCATCCTTGTTGGTCTATTTCTTGGGTTACACAATTCTACATTCATGTCTGCCTACTTTCTTTGAGAACCTTTTTCTGTTTCACTTTGCTGTGCAGCATCATGTGCATGGTTCATTTCCTTGCCACACATAGGAAATATGGCTAAACCATCCCACTACAAAAGAGTAGAGAGAAAGATAGTGGGCCTGGCAATATCGCCCATCACCTTGACCTCTCTGTCTGAGGATAGGGGCAGGCTGGAATCTGTGTTTCTGTATGAATTTGGCCTGATTTTTCTTCCCTTTTTTCTTCTCTAATGTCTTAATAGTTCCTTAGAATGAATTTCCGTACCTAAAATGGATCTCCCCCTTTCTCTCTTGACAACGCTGAGTGAACCAGGGTGTGAGATATTACCCATGCAGTCCACTCTCTGAGAGGTATCGCTGGATGAAGCCATGCTGCTCATCTGCCATTCTGTACCCAACTGTGGATAATAACGGAATTGATTTTACCTGAGGAAAGACAAAGGAACCTCGGGCTGCTTTTTGCATTATTTTGTTCTCAGGTTATTCTGCTCTGAATGGTGAGATCTCTCACTAGAATATTGGGTCACATTTAGCTTTCTTTATGGCAAATCCCCTGTGTGGGAACTTCTGGCAATGAGCTGTGAGGTGTTACTATTCTGTGTTTGTGTGTGTGTGTGTGTGTGTTGTCAAAGTATAACGAGTAAGTTTATGTTTTCAAGTCCTCTGAATGCTTTTTCTTTTTTAAATGTGTTTTTAAGAAAGCATATCTTAAGTTGGAGACTAAAACTTGGCTTTCAGATCCTCTGGATGGTGACTTTAAAGAAGTCTATTCTTGAATAAATTGTAATATGACCATAGATAAGCCAACCTACACATATTATAAGGGCAATAATGATAATAGCCATTATAAATTGAGTGCTTAGTACTTCTCATGCATGTTCTAATTGCCTCATGCTTATTAATTTACTAAATCCTTATAATAACTTCATTAGGCATACATTATTTTTATCTCTATTTTACAGATGCAGAAACTGAGGCACAGAGCAAGGGTAAGTAAATTGTTCAAGCCATATAAGTGGTAAGTGGCAGGTGGCCTTGGCTCCTAAATCTAGACTCTTAAATGGTGAACTTCTCTGCCTCATTGAGAGAAAAATCTACAATGTCTCGTATAGTAACCATCATGTGAGCAAGATGTTTTACAAATATTTTAAGGAAATGTTGATAAAATAATGTGTAATTATAAGTGATTTTATTTCTGTCACTCTGTGGTTTTTTAAACTATATTATCCCTTTATGTTAAAACAACCCAAGTTATCTTGAGTTATGTGGAGAATTCAGGAAAGTTAACATATAATGGTTGTCATCTTAAAAAAATCTGGTGTATTTGCTATATGAACCCTTGAGTTATTACTTTTATTTTAAATCTCTCTGTATTTTCTGTTGACTCTTATTGATACTTTTATTTAGGTGAGAAGGCATATACACCCACTGAGGCTGTCTCTGGAAAGTGTTGAAAGAGGGTCAGGTAGAAGTCTCAGTTTTTGCCTGTGCTTAAAATGTGTAACTAAGAGAAATGTATTCCAGGGATGGCCTTCATAGTTAAGTGTTTACAAAGAAAGATATTAAATATATAAGGACCCATGGTCACCCTAACTTTCTGAGCATTGTTAACTTTGGGTCTGATTCTCTTAGCTCACTGCCTCAGAGTTGCCATGGATGTGCTTGGTAGTCCTGTGTACACACAATGAATGTATTGGATGTCTTGGAATTTTGAAAGTTCAGGGAATATTGGATTTTATGTATTATATATTACCTATTACTTGCTGGAGTAGTTTGCTTCTGTTTCTTATAGAGTTAAGAATAGAATTACTATTCTGGTAGTCTTGCACAAGTATGACCCTTTAGATTATGTGAATAAGCATCAAATTGGTGGCAAGGATTTACAAATTAGTACAAGTTAACATAAGTATCATAAAGCTTTGTGGGACCCAAAAAGAGTTATTTATGTTCAGCTCTGGCTCTAACCAAGTCATCACCATTGGATCAATGCATCAGATCAAGAATAAGTAGAGCCCCAAAGTCACACCATCCTATCAAAATAATTATCTATAATTAATATAATTATTGATCATGTAGTAGAAGTCACTGCCTGATGATACAGGGCTTTTAGGATTTCATGGGAATGCTTCACAACCTAATTATGTTTCCCTGGGAGATTATAATATAATTCAATTAATTTTTCCCATGTGTTTCATCAATCATTATGTGGATAGAAGGAATATCAGAATCTCATTTCTATGTCAATTCCTGCAGAATGTAGACAAGTCATTTCAGTAGAACAGAGCTGATTAGAAGATAGGGTTCCTCCCACAGGAAAATTATACCCTATGCCACTTGTAATGCTGGTGCCACATTCTGTTGGTTTTGTAGTATGTGATGAGGATAGCTACAAAAATCTGTGATATCCCTGTTCCAGCTTATACACCAAAAAAACTGAGACCTGTATAAAATAATGTTCTTAGATATGTGAGGAGTTGTATTCCCCTCAGGACCTTGGTTTCTCTATCAAAGGAGTCAGGTGGTGGCTAAGTCTCCTTCTACTTGTAAAGCTCCATACTCTAGTTTTGTTTATGCTTTAGCTCTTTAGTGTTTACACTGGTTCGTCTCAAGGTTTAACATACTTATGAATTACTAGAATCTTGTTAAAATGTAGATTATGATGCAGTTGGTCTAGGGTGGGTTCTGGGCTCCTGGTTTTCTAACATCTCCCAGGTGATGCTGAAGCAGCTGCTCTGTGAACCACATTTTTACTAGCAAAGATCTAAATGATGTACAGAGGTAAGGGGGGAAAGACTAGTTCTTTGTCTTCCTGTGGTAATACATTCACCTGCTTCTGTCTCAGGGCTAGGATTCTTGACTTTCTTCTGCAGAACACTGAAACATGCCTCCTCTTTCCTGGCCCCACCAAGCAGAGTTTAGGCTTCAAGAAGACTGAATGCATCTGTACAGAGCACAATCCCTTCTCCAAGAAGGAAACCATGGGGCTTATCAAGAAAGGTCTGTACTTTTACTGTCAGGCATCCTCAGCCCTGCTGAAATATGAAATAAATGAGGTGGAGTTTAATTTTAGGGTCTACAAATCTGTAATGTGTTCATCATTCCTGATGCCATTTTACATGGCAGGCTGGTGTTGTCAGACATGTTTTGTGAGGAGAGCTGCATTTGAGTTCTGGTTTAATGAAGCCTTCGCATACACCCTCCCAGGTCCCTCCTCTAATCTCCACTTACCGGAGAAAGAGATGCCACTTGTATGAGGGGTTTTCACTATTGGAAATGCACATCTCTTTTGCTTTCCTAGGGGCAGGCTCTTTGGGGGGATTTTCCTAAGCTGGACTGCAGGCTGGCTTCCCAGCAGAGGGCGCACTGCCCCAGTGCCATGGCCCAGAGCAGTTTCCTCCTCTTTTGGGTGGACTTCCCTCCCCACTAGGCTGGTTAGGGCTGAGAAGGAATCCAGGAGAAATGAGCTTTCAGCAAAGGAGGACATGAAGATGAGATTAAGGGAGAAAATCAAATCTAATCATTTCAGATCTGAATCAGTGACTTTTAAAATGAAAGGTCTACTTGGCTACCGTTAATGACAGCTTTTCATAATTCTCAGCTATTGCAAAACTAACTTTTCTTTCTTAAAGCTTCTCTGAACCCTACATTGTCCAGCATTTGTATCTTTCACTTTAATGAGCTCTAAATAAGAATTACATAAAGAATTTTAATAATTCTCACTGGAAAGTTAATTAAGCAGCGAGAAGTCTTTGGAACTGTTACTCTTTCTGCCTTTTACAGACAAGTGCTTCCGTGGCTTCCAAGGAAAGAGGTCACATTTATATATATATATAAAATGATGTGTGGGTTAGTAACTTTTTCCAGTAACAAATGACCTCCTTAACGAGCTGAAATCGTGAAATAAAAATCCACCTTTTTGTGGCCCACTTTCCCTGAACTCTACTCTCCACTTTCCTCAAACTTCTTTGCACAGGAAATGAATCCCCTGTAACTTTGGGGGGGCTCGAATATGTTGATCTCAAGTTCTCCAAATTTTTTGTTTCTCTATAAATCATACGGGCATGACCCAGCCCAGTCATTCATTTCAAATTTCTTTTTTCCTTTCTTGCTTTTTTAAAAAACAGCTTCTGTTTTTTCTCATTTTTGATAGATCCTACCACAAACTTCAGCTAGAGTAAGTGCAGACGACCATAACACTATTCTCACATAGAGGGTATTTTATTAAGTCCAGCAGTTAAAAATGTACAAAGTTCCTTGTAATAATCCATTCATTCTGTTCTTGCCTGATTCTTGGAGTAAGCCTGCACAATTATTCAAATCCCAGCTTTTAGCTACAGCATACACCTCGCCATGGGGCTATGCCTCTGTAATCTTGCTTTGGTCTTGCATGTCAAATGGAATTAACTCCCATAAGAAATGTGTGCGAAGACAACCCAAAGTGTCTAATCCTGCTGTTGTCTTAAATTTCTGAAACTCTGAGCTGTCATCTTTTTCTATTGCTTTGTTGAAGTTCTCACTTATGCTTCAGTCCATCCAAAGCTGAAGTTTAGGAAAATTTGCATTTTTATATATTTTTTTCAGTTATGCTCTCCCTTGGCCTTTTCACATGTTCTCTTTGTAGGAGGATTTTTTTCTTCCTTCAGATTTCAAGACCATTTTATACACAGTGGAATTTCAACAAAAGGTGAATTCACTTTTTTTTTTTTTTGCCCCTGGGAGTATACAAGTTGATACACAGACACCACCAGTTGAAGATTCGCAAACCAAATCCAAACATATGTGAGGGTGTGTGTGTGTGTGTGTGTGTGTGTGTGTGTGTGTGTGTGTGTGAGAGAGAGAGAGAGAGAATGTGTCTCTGAATGTTGAATGAGAAAGGGGAGAGAAGAAATAATGATATCATTATTACCATACCTTAACCACTCAACCTAGCTAATCAGAAAAACTAATTCTGTCTCAATTGAATCTCAAACTGCATCATCTCCCTCATGAGTAAAATGCTTGGTGAAATGAGCTTGGTTAGGTTAGTCTACTTGCATGTTGTATTAAGAGTAGATTAGTTTGATGAGTAATTTTGTACTTTCTTCCTTCTCTAGGGGGCATACTATTTAAAGATCTTGAATGCTGGGACAGTCCTCTTCTTCTTCACCAGATCCTGTATTCCACTTAATCACCTTCCTAGACATGAGGAATCTAGACGAAGACTTAGTATCCAGAATGCAATGCAAGCACTTAAATATATGTTGAATTCCTATGAATAAGGACAGTGCGTTAGCTAGAGCATACACTTCATCTCTTTCTTTCTGGGTGACCTATCTTGTTGCCTCAGTTTACAAATTGTATCATTCCATCTAGAAATGAAATCTGGCCAGGTTTTAGTGAACTCCCCTCACAGCCTGTGTGTTCAGTCCGATCTTCACACATGGTACATATTTTTAAATCACCAGTTATTCAGCATTGAGGGTTCCTTGAGGTGTCTCAACTAAGTGAGGTGTGGAAGGGCAAAATTGTAACTTGGTGTGGTGGATGTTTAATAAGTGGTAAACCGCAGCATTCTCCATTTGAAAGCTAATTAAGGCCACTAGCTGACCGTGCTTGTGCAGAAAACATATTCATGGTTTAGCCATGGAAACAGTCATAACAGCGCTCAGCTAAAAATAATGGGCTTAAGAGACATTTTCACTGATCACTCCTCAATGCTTATTTATTTATTTATTTTAAATATAAGAGTTGTCACATTTTTTAGGAAATACTCAGCAGCACTAGCTCATTTTGAGACTTCAAAGTTTTACTTGTGCCACCATAGATACTAATATGAGGAGGGATGTTAGGGCACAACCGTGAGACCAAATTATATTTTTTAATGCTATATGCAGGAAGGTCTCAAAATATAATCATCCTTTTTGCTCTCTTGACTCTCTTTCCTTTTTAATACTGGCCTTTAATATATTAGTGATGTGATGACTTTTTGTCACAAGAGAAGTTAGCCCTCTAGCACCTATTAACTTATTTTATCTAAATTGAGTTGGTGTTTGTTGAAGAGACCTCCTTTACTGACAGATGATATAATATGAATTACGTTTCTGTGTGCTCATTGTTTCTTCACAATAAGAGTACTGTAATACAACAATATATTTTATTGTACAATATATTACTTTGGCTAATAGGATTGAAAAAACATCAAATGTAAATATTTTTTCAGCATCTGTATGGTGAAGTTAGATTGTCTTATCAAATATCTTAATGCTCTTCTAGGATCCAGCAATATTTAGTGTCACTGAAATAGGGGATAGCAGAGTATCAGGCAGATGTGATGAAAGCATAACCAAGGTAAAGGGATCTCAAGGAGGCTGAAATGATCTGAGGGCATTGTTAGGCTGGTTGATTGCAAGTTGTTTTTAACTGAACAATAAGAATTATGTTTGAAATCACTTTTGGGAGTGGACACACAGTAATCTTGGTCCATGCTCATTTCAATTAATTTTAAATTAATTTCATTTAATTTGTCTTGCTGACATTGAATCGTATCGAGACCACGTATTGCAAGAATTTACTTCCTACTCTCCCATTCATCCACACAGCAATGGGTCTCTAAGCATATCTCTGGGATAACTTTGAGCTCAAATGACACTTCAACGTTAGCAGGATTTGGTAGAGAAAACAAATTGGTGCAATGAGACATGTATTTTCCACACCTTCCAAGAGCTAAACCTTATATCCTGCATATGCCATCATTTAACCAAATAGAGATAGAAACATGGTCCAAGAGCCATAGGACTTCAGATCTAGATTTAGAACATTTTCCTGCTTAACCTGGCCATATCTGCAGCAGAATATGTTAAACAGAACTGACCTAGAACTGTCATCCCTACAAATTCTCACTTATGGCTCTTTTTAGCTTAAGACTAGATGACAAACATTGATCTCTGCCAGTATCGGTTGAGTTTCTCAGGCTCCATTTTTCTCACTGGCTACTTTAAATGAATACCATTTTTGCTGGTTTGTTCCTCTTCCTTCCCACTCTCCTTTCATTTTCGTTATTTGTTCTAATTTAATTTGAAATGCCCAGCATCTGACTGTAATCAGGTAAGGGGACTCAGGAGACTTCCAGCAAGAGCAGGTCTTCTGAAAAGGGTCTTTTGGACACAACAGAATGAGCCTTTATTTATTATCTCAGGGATAACAAAATGGGGAGTGAGCAAGACTGTGCGGCAGCTGTCCTTTCAAGCAGCAGCTAACTTCGTGGAACACTCCCGTCCCCAGGGTGTGAACAGACCGCCCCTTGGCTCAAAGTCATCCCGCTGTCCCTGGCTGCTGGTTCTCTAGGCCAACACAAACAAGCATAACAAAACATGCAGGGAAAGTGTCAACAGAAACCCGTTTTCTAGGAACCTGGCTTTTGGAAATGAACTGGATTTGCAGTCCATACAAAGGCTTGGCAAGGTTTCATTGGCCATGGCCACACACCTCACACTGTGACTTCTATCCATCAGGTGGGACATTTCGCTTATTAGGCACATGTGCTCTGTTTCC
Source organism: Homo sapiens (assembly GCF_000001405.40). Lineage (NCBI taxonomy): Eukaryota > Metazoa > Chordata > Mammalia > Primates > Hominidae > Homo > Homo sapiens. The sequence continues at coordinate 59,029,524 of NC_000002.12, forward strand.
TCTGAGATCCTCCAGAGAAAGGCCTTGGTTTCCCCATGTACCAAATGAAGATTACTGGGGAGGAACAAACACTGGAATTTGCAAAGGATCTCCTGGGTTTAAATTCTTGTTTTATAACCTGAGAAAATCACTCTCTCTAACCCTCAGTTTCTTCATTAATAAACTGGGGATAACAATATTTTCCTTTATAATCATGGTGATCAAATAAAAGAGAGAGACGTGTTATCATTGAGAAAAATATCACAATATTTAGACCAAGGTTAAGTTTGGTGTGGAGAGCCAATGAAACCACAGATGTGAAAATGCTTGAGAAATGGAAAAGTACTATAGACATGAAATATATGGTCATGATTATTGTTATTATCTTCAAGGAATTTAGTCATTTTCTCCATAACAGAAAAAACATGGTGATCCTATCCCCACATTTATGCCTGGATCTATCACATCTAGAGGGTCTTCTGCTGCTTTGCACAGGGAGACAGCCCAGGCACATCTGTCCCTTCATTTCACAGAAGTGTAGCAGATAGCTCAGTTACAGACCAGGTAAGACGGCATTGTCCAGAGACTTTCATGCTGCAGAACTTACAGATATGCAATGATCTTGGGTATTTAATGTTCATGTGTTGTGAGTTCCCAGGGAGGGTTGAGAAAAGGTAAAAAATTCATGCTAGTCCATGGTTCAGTTCCTGCAAGAGGAAAGCATGATGAAATGGGATACTGAGAGCTCTGACCTATCAGTCCATATCCAGTGTCCAGCTGTATGATTTCTTTCAGGATGTGGAGACATTGGCTTTTCTATAGTTAGTTGCCGAATTATTTTTTGGTCAATGCAGATGCTTTATCCTGTCACATACATCTGCCTAAGAATGTGTGTGTATGAAAAGGAGACAACGAGACTCTTTAGGAAGTAGGAAACAGAGGTAATTCAGAGAAAGAAAATCATGAAAAGAAATGATAAAACCTATGGCTCAGGCATGTTCGTCTCTTTATTTCTAGCACTTAAGCGGGGACCTGATTCTTTATGGAATGTTGCACGATTGAAAATAACTGGAAGACTGTGACTGTGTTGTCTGTTTTTAAAGTAACACTCCACTCCCTTGAACCTATACAGAAACTATCGCAGTACCTTATACAGGTTGAACACACAACGCTTTGTGGTACCAGAAGGAACTTACAGCTGGGCGTGGTGGTGTGCCTGTAGTCCCGGCTCCTCAGGAGGCTGAGAAGGGAGGATGGCTTGAGCCCAGGACTTAGAGGCTGCCGTGAGCTATGATTGCACTGCTGCACTCCAGCCTGGGTGTCAGAGTAGGACCCAGTCTCTAAACAAAACAAAAGGAACTTGCCAGAATATGTGACACCCACCCTTAAAGTAAAATGAAAGGCCCTGGAAGTGTTGACAACATCTAGATGATGGGCAGAATATAACGAGGCATGCTTCTGGCAGCCTGTGGAGTAACCAGCACAGCGAGCCTCTTTTCAATGCAAGAGAAGGAATGTCAGGGACCTAAGCTAAGGCCCAGAAGTCAATTGACTTGCCTGGCATCCGGGAACATTTTCCAATTGCTTTCATAACACACGTCCACAAGCATCTGTATGTATAAGGGTCAGTTGAGGGGGTGTGCCAGAGAATGGGGAGGCAGAAAGTAGGAGTTACATAAGCTCTGTGAGCCTCTGTGTCCTCATCTGTCAAATGGGCTAGAGCTTCATGAATCCCACAGCTGTGAGGAATGAGTGGGATAATGTAGATTAAACCTCATCCCAGTGTCTGGCTCAGAGGAAGCACTCAACTAAAAGGTAGCAATTTTTATTAGAAGGAAACATAACTCTTCGTCTTTGGAGAAGCCCTTTCTCTCTCCTTGCCTCCTCCTTCAAACCTTTGAGGCACCTCAGTAGTAATTGGCTGCTAGGACTTGGAATCTATCTGTGGAGAAACAGTGTTTGTGAAAGGGCTCTAAGGTGATGGTGTGAGGCATTTATTTGTGATCTAAGGGAACATAAGTTGCCTCTGGTGCTTATTGACTATTTCTAGCTGGAGGCACAGAAATACACAGGCACTAAAGGGTGAGTTACTGTTGGACGCTCCTCTCTGGACCAGCAGGGACTTGGAAAGCTCTTGGAGGATGTAGTGTCTTGCATCAATCACCAGTGACCCCTCTGGCTGAATATGTACAGGCAGAAAGAGGCTCCTAAGCCTCTGTTCTCCTTAGCTAGATGGATGGAAGATGAAATGCAGCCCCTGGAGGAGGAGGAAGTGTGTGCGGTGGAGGATTGACCTGTACCCTGGAAATCCAAGCTGATTCCTCCTTTCCAAAACAAATCGGAAATGTCTTTATTTTCTATGAGCCTATTAAAGCATATACATTTAATAAATTGACATCGTGGGAGACGAGAAACAGAAAGGAGGAGATGGGGAGAGGAGAGAATGGTCAAGAAAAATAATGCCCGGAACTACTTGTTTGACGAATGAATTAAAATAGAGCAAAAGTGGCTTAGGACTAATTCCAGCATTTTTTAAAAGTGTACGTTGAGATGGATTCATGCTAGGAGCAGAGGTGTGAGGTGTGGTATCAAGCCGGCTGATCCATTTTAAATAACTTCCAGAAAAATTTCACGTGCTTATGAAAAATTTCATTGAATATTAATTCACCTAAGAATGCTGAAGATTTGGCTAAACCGCATAAAAGCTAGGAGTCATAGAAAAGGTGCTCTTCCAGGATATGCTAATGACACTCTAGAAATAATGCTTCTGTTTTTGAGAATTGTTAGCATATATCCAGGGATTCTTCTACTTCCTCCTCCCTAGCTGTAATTTCTCCTTTGGTCAAAAAAAAGGAAGGCAAGCAAAGGACTCCGTAGGTAAAAGCACACCTTTGTGCCTCACATTTTCTAGGTTTTCTTTATGGTCCAATGGCAATCATTTTAATGCCTGTTTGAGAGCCGTCCGTACTCAAAAAGCCTGGCAGGAAAATAGTAAATCTGTGAACTCAACATTATTTCCCATGGTAAGAATTTTTCTTTGCTTCCTTTCTGTAAGGCCTAAGACCAGTACATTGAATCCCACTCCAGATGGATGTGTTACATAACCACAACCAGGCACGTGCAGTCATCCCAGAGCTGACTGAGCCACAAAGGTGGATCACTCAATACAAGCCTGACCCTGTTGCTGCCAAAGTAAATCCAGAAGGCTCGGTAAACATCTGTTCATGCACAAATAGGTCATCACCATACACGCTTGAGCTGTGAAGAGCAAGGAGAAGGATTTCTTTCTCAGAGTTACCAGGCCTTCTCAGTATTAGCTCACTTTGTGGGGACAGCATGTGAGCCTCAGGGGCTTGTGGTGTTTTGGATACACTTGAGGATTCCCTTCCTAATAATAATAATTAGCATTTATGGGAGGCACTTGGTAAGTGCCAGATGCTGTTGAATGCACTTCACTTATATTAACACGTTGAAATCTGTCAGGAACTCTATGAAAGAGAATCTTTTATAATCCTCGTTTTATAATAAGGAATTTAAGGCAAAGAGAGGTCAAGTATTCTCTCCAAGATCACAGAACTACCAAGTAGTAGAGGTGGGATTTGAATCTATTCTGTCTGACTCCAGAGTATATGCTTTTAACCATTATAGCATATTTTTTCTGGCCTAGGCGTACACTGAAGAGACTGGAAAGTGAAGATGCACTATTTGTCAAGGTATTATATCCCTTTAACCTGGTGGGGGCAGGGAGGGTTTCTAAGGAGATCTGAACTTATAGAGTAGTCTTAGACTTTCTCTGTCTTCTGGGATCTCAATATCCTATCTGTCAAACAAATACACAAAGGACCAAAAAACCCAAATAAACTCTAGAGACAGTTTGCAGATTTAAATAAGTTTTCCTAATTAGGAACCACTTCTAGCACAGCTCTTAACAATATAGGTAGAAGAGGTGGCCGTAGGGTTCACACCGGGAAGACCAGTAGCTCTGAGGTAATTTTGGCAATTGTGAAGGAGGTCCATTGCACTCAGCAGCAGTAAATGACAGAGAAAAATGTCAACCTGAAGGGGTGTACCATGTTGCCTAGGGTGTGGGATTGAATTTATAAAATTGCGAGCATTCAAGAATGTCGCATAAGGACTCCATTTGCTTCTGTTTGCAAATTCATTCAGGAAAGGCTTCAAAATTTATGTTATGAGAAAATACAACATAGTTCCTCCTCTTATGGTTTCCTCCCCCTCTTCTCCCACCCCTTTTTCTTCCCACCACCAATACCACCATGCATTTTTAAAGTCCTTTAAAGTTTTCAAAGTGCTTTCATATACATACTTCATTCTTTATGTCAGGTCAGGGCAAAATTTTATTGCATTTGGCCAAAGGCCATTTTGAAATTTTGAGAGAAAAAAGGAGATACGATGTGATCTTTGAAATAAAGGGATTAAAACAGAGCAAAGTTAAAAAGGATTTATGAGTAAAAAAAAAAAAAAGTTAAAAAAATATAAATCAAATTTTAGAGTTGAACTGGAAAAGGACTGACTGACCAAATGCTTCTCATATTTTGCAAAAGAGTTGGGATTTAGACAAAAACAACTGGAAGAGATACACAAATTATTTTAAAATAACATTTATCCAGCTTTGATTTTAAAATGCTAATACATGCTCATCACAGAAAAATTGAAGGATGTGAAAGTCAAAAGTTGAAAATATAAACATCCATAATACCAGTATGCATTCAAAAACATGATTATGTTTAGAGTTACAATCCTCTAGTCTTATCTTAAACACACACACATACCACACACACGCATGCACGACAGAGTTGTAAATTGCTTTATGCTGTACTCAGATATGCAGAAAATAAATGCTGCCCTATAATTTATAAAAACTGTGACCTGGCCCATGCACTACCACTTTACTGAACTGCAAAAACAACTTACTCTCCTTTGGCAACATTTTAGTCTCTTCTGCTTTGTAAGTCTTCTTTCACTTTAACGTTCAGTCCATTCAAAGTTATGATGGTTTACAGAGGCATCTTTCAAAGATTTAGTCTCTTTAGGAAAATGCATAGTGGTTCAGATTGCTCTCCTAGCCCACTTTTCCCTTTCTCAAGATGGTGCCCTGCTGTCTGAGAGACAGGGCTGTAGCTACCAGAGACTTAAACTTACAGTGGATTACAAAAAGACTAAAAAAGTCCACACTTCTGTGTTGACTAATGCCAAAAAATCTCCCTTCCTCCAGTGTGCACCTTGTGGGGCACATTTTTGTGAGCACAACCTGCCCAGCCCTAAGCCACATCCCTTGTTCTGTCTCCACGAGGGGAGAAGAGGATGCTTAGGTCCATGCCCTGCCTCTGACCCTGGGGTTTCTCTGTAGCAAGGTCTCTCCTCTGCCTGGCTGTTCTTTGCTCCACAGGCATTAACAGTAGGTTTGACTGGGGACCTGCTGGCCCATTGTGTGGTCAGTACTCTCAGATAATACCCAGATGCCTCTGACTCATCTCAGTTTTTGCTGATGTGTTTTGTGTCTCTGCCATGTAGTGGCAAACAATCTTTAACAGTCCTCCCAGAGTGTTTGCTGAGGAGGCCCTTTGCCGTTTATCATAGGGGGCTGGTCCCCTGCCAAACTCATGACACTTAACTCAGCCTCTCCTAAGTCCTCTCTTTGAGGGGTATAAAGAAATTTCCTAATCTTGCCCATGCCACTTGGGAAGTGAGGTCAATCTACAGAATATAAATTCTGCACCTTCCTCTTCCTAGCTGGGTGGCATCACTGAGTTCTTTTTATGTGACCATCCCACATTGTGTATCTGTTAAGATCATTTCAACTCCTGCCAGAACGAGAGCTGTTAAATTAATGGAGGATCAAAGGAACAATGGAAGAGATTTTAAGAAACTTTTCTAAAATGCGTAATGTGTATTTTGTATCTTGTCCCAAGTTCACACTTTTTCTTTATGAAGAACTCGAGCCTCTGTAGAAGTGTTTTAGTGCTGCTGCACCTCCTGAGTCCAGAAAAATTTTCAAGAGAATTATATGGCTCAGTGATTTTGGTGCTTATTAACTTTATATTTGCTATCTACAACAACCTTTAGTGAAAATTAACAGGTGGATATATGGAACCAATTTTAGAGATGATTTCTATAGCTAATGGAAAGTTTATGTTTCCACTAAAATTCACATTTATTTATTTAAAATAATAAGTTCTCCTCACAGTTTTACAAAGGAGACGGAACAATACCATTCAAAGTGAAACAGCAGAATCTTCAACATTGAGAAGATAAGAGGTTTTCCTCCAGTTAATTAAAGGAGCAAGAGTTATGGAACTTTATAGTCATTTAATTATGTCATTAAGGTAAGGTAAGAGTTGGCTAGCAAGGATGAGGATAGGGTGGGAGAGACCACTACAGGCCACTGTGTAGAGTTCGACCTTTCAAGGCTTTGCCAATGCTTAGACTGTGACTCTATATTTTTGAAATATTGCAACTGGATTGACACATTTGTTATAAAGATACTTAACCATTTCATTAAAATGGCATCAATATATGTTTTTCTAAGGGAATTTTAATTTTTTTCTCAGAAGTGGTAAATACAACTTGTCTCTGAAGGTTAAAAGCTTAAAAAAATGTCTTCTCGGAGTGGTTGGCAGCATGGTTAGGCATGCTTCTGGGACACGCATGTCTGTTAACTTCTTTCTATCTCAGTTTCTCAGGTGGCAAGCAGAAAAACCTAGTAACACCTTTGTAATACTAATCCTAGCTGCTATGTATAGACTTATTTATTTGGTCCTGTGTACCAAGGCTTTTATTTTCTTTCACTTAATCCCCACAGCAAACCTATGAAGTAGGCATTATTATGCCTGTTTTACAGGGAGTGATGCAAACTGAGCCATACAGTGGAATGGGATTCTAATCCATCTTTCCATCTTTTTTTTTTTTTTTTTTTTGGAGACCTAATCCATCTTTCCATCTTTTTTTTTTTTTTTTTTTTTTGGAGACGGAGTCTTGCTTTGTCACCCAGGCTGGAGTGCAGTGGTGCAATCTCGGCTCACTGCAATCTCTACCTCCTAGTTTCAAGTGATTCTCCTGCCTTAGCCTCCTGAGTAGCTGGGATTACAGGCGCATGCCACCACGCCCAGCTAATTTTTGTATTTTTAAAGACAGGGTTTCACCATGTTGGTCAGGCTGGTCTCGAATACTTGACCTCGTGATCTGCCCACCTCGGCCTCCGAAAGTGCTGGGATTACAGGCGTAAGCCACTGCGCCCAGCCCTCTAGTCCATCATTTATCACTAAAAGACCATCATCTTGTCTGCTCTGGTGAGCTACCTCTCTTCCCTATCCTACCAAATTTGCTTTAAAGATCGAATACAACCATGTATGTAACAATACAAGTTACTTTCAACTAGGCAATTTCTATTTAAGGTATTTTTCTCCTCCCTATTTATTTTCACTTACATTTTGTTTTCTTGCACACAAAAAAACCAAAGATGACTAAAAAGACCCAAAGGAAGAGAGTAGAAAATAACAATTATGAAGTGTGGTGATGATTTAAAATACTAAAAATAAAGAAGAGGATATCATCATGCCATCTATCTATGTGTACCTTTCTGTGATTTGTCTTTGGCTTCAGTCAGAAGAATCATAAAATTATTTATAGTTTGTCTGTTAGAATTTGTGGTTGGGAGGGAATTATCTATGACTTTTTATAATTTATATCTCAATTAATTTAAAAAATGGTAGAGTCCCTATTAATGTGTCCCTTGAAAGAAAAGTTGTCTAGATCATATGCTCTCCTACTAAAATTATCTTTTTCACAAAGGACATATACGTACATGAGAAATAAGATCCTTTTAGGAAATATTAGAATAAGATTTTCAATTAGAAAGTTGCATCTGCATAGGCCTCCTGGACAGTAGGAGGAATAACTGGACTGGAATAATAAAGAGAGAATGAAAATTTTAACAAAAGAAGTGAAAGATCTCTGCAAAGAAAGCTATAAAACATTGAGAAAAAAATTAAAGAGGACATAAAAATGAAAAAATATCCTATATTCATGGATTGGAAGAACTAATATTGTTAAAATGCCCAAACTACCTAAAGCAGTCTACAGATTCAATGCAGTCTCTATCAAAATACCAATGACATTCTTCACGGAAATGGAAAAGAATCATAAAATTAATATAGAACCATAAAACACCTTGATTAGACAAGGTAATCTTGAACAAAAAGAATAAAGCTAGAGACTTTACAGTACCTGACTTATAAACATACCACAAAGTGATAGTAATCAAAACAGCATGATACTGGCATAAAAGCAGTCACATGGACCAATGGAAAAGAACAGAGAACCCAGAAATGAATCCATGCATTTACAGCCAACTCATTTTTGACAAAGGCGCCAAGAACATACATTGGGTAAAGGAGAGACTCTTCAATAAATGGTGCCCCCAAAAAACTGGATAACTATATGCAGAAGAATGAAACTAGATCATCTTACCATATAAAAAATAAAATCAAAATGGATTAAAGACTTAAAGGTAAGACCTGAAACAATAAAACTACTAGAAGAAAATATTGGAGAATCTGGACAAAGATTTTTTGAGTAAAACCTCAAAAGCACAGGCAACAAAAGCAAAATCAGAGAAAAGGGATCACATCAAGCTAAAAAACTTCTGCACAGTAAAGGAAACAATCAACAAAATGAAGAGATAACCTACAGAATGGCAGAAAATATTTGCAAACTATCTATCCAATAACCAAAATACATAAGGAAATGAAACAACTCAGTGCTAAATAAACCAAATAATTCAATAAGCAAATGATCTGAATAGACATTTCTCAAAAGAAGACATACAAATGGCAAACAGCTATAGGAAAAAAAATGCTCAACATCACTAATCATCATGAACATGCAAGTCAAAACCACAATGAGGTCTCATCTTATCATAGTTAAAATGGCTATTGTCAAAAAGACAGAAAGTAACATGCTGGTCAGGATGCAGAGAAAAGTCAACTCGTGCACACTGTGGATGGTAATGTAAATTACTACAACCATTAAGGATAACATTATGGAGGTTCCTTAGGAAACTAAAACTAGAATTACTACATGATCCAGAAATCCCACTTCTGGGTATATATCTAAAAGAAAGAAAATCAGTGTATTGAAGAGATATCTGAATTCCTATGTTTAACGCAGCACCTTCATAATAGCCAAGATAAAGAATCAACCTAAATGTCTATCAATAGATGAATGGATTTAAAAATTTGGCCTGTATACATGATGAAACACTATTTACTAATTTTTTAAAAAATGAAATCCTGTCATGTGCAGCAACGTGAATGGAACTGGAGGACATTATGTTAAGTGAAATAAGCCAGACAGAGAAAGATAAATATCGCATGTTCTCGCTCATATGTGGGAGTTAAAAAATTGATCTCATGTCAGTAGAGAGTAGAATGGTGATTACCAGAGGCTAGGAAGGGTAGAGGGCAGAGCAGGATGAAGAGAATTTGGTAAATGGGTACAAAAATACAGTTAGATGGAAAGAATAAGTTCTAGTGTTCAATAGCACAGTACAGTGACTATAGTTAACAATAATTTATTGTATATTTCAAATGGATAGAAGAGAAGTTTTGGAACATTCTTGACAGAAAGGAAAGATTATAGTTTGAAGTGATGGATATCCCAGTTACCCAGATTTAATCATTACACATTGTATGGATTTGTCAAAATATCACATGTACTACATCAACATATACAACGATTATGTATCAATAAAAAGAAATAAGGGAAAACAAATGTCATTAAAAGACTAACTTGATATGTTATTGGTACAATTCAATTTCAATATATATGAAAAGTTAAGAAGTATCAGGCAGCTGGGTGTGGTGGGTCACGCCTGAAATCCCAGCACTTTGGGAAGCCAAGGCGGGTGGATCACTTGAGGTCAGGAGTTGGAGACCAGCCTGGCCAACATGGTGAAACACTGTCTCCACTGAAAACACAAAAATTAGCTGAGTGTGGTAGTGGATGTCAGTAATCCCAGATACTCGGGAGGCTGAGGCAGGAGAATTGCTTGAACCTGGGAGGTAGAGGTTGCAGTGAGCCAAGATTGTGCCACTTCTCTCCAGCCTGGGCCACAGGAGCGAAACTGTCTCAAACGAACAAACAAACAAACACACAACAACAACAAAAGTATCAGGCATAAAATAAATACATTTTTGGAATTTACACCTTGTTCACAAATTTAAATATTTTTCACCTATCTTAAAAAATGCCCTATACTAAGTCAGAAAACTTTTAAATGGACCGCATAAACTCTTGAACCATTGGCCTCAGAGCACCTTATCTTGTCTCGTCAGTCAATCCACAAGAATTTTTTTTTGAATGTTTGAAGTGCTCCAGAATCTAATGATCTTTTCTCCCTTCACACCCTCACTATGTCAGACCAAATTCCACCCTGTTTTTTTTTTTTTTATTATACAGTTTGGTCTAGTTTTTACATTTCAGACTTTCTTCATTTGCTTTTGCTTTTAAATCTCTCTTTACTGACTTTGAGTGCCTTTCAAAAAAAAAAAAAGTCACTACCAACAACAGGCACTTGCTTTCAACAAGTGTACAAACTGCTTCAATCAGATTTTGCTTTTCGCTTCTTCCCAGAATAATTGCTGGTTAGTGTTTCCTTCTCATTTCATCAGTTTTCTTGAAACTATGGTAAGGTATGCATACCATACTCCAGAAAAGAGTCTTTGGGGACTCAACAAACACCTCTTTTTCCTTTTCCATTAGTAGTGGAGTGTATATCTGGTCAGCTATGTAACTTATTTTTCAGGGATACACTGGTACAGGTATTTATTTTCATATGATGGAGACACCTTTCCTATAAACATCAACAAAAACATGTTAGGGTAATTTCTCTCACCTCATTATCCCTCCTCCATATACTTCAAATTCAATTTTTGTTGTCCCCTTGGTATCATTTGGATATTCTAGTTTTGTGTTCTTATGATGAAGTTTTAATTGTAGCACTTACTTTGAAACCACACAATCAGATTATTTGTCTTTATTTCTTCAATAGTCACCTTGGCAGAAGAACTGTCTTTTTCAAACATTATGTTCCCAGGATTTAGCATAATATGTAGTCCATAATAGAGGTTGGGTAATGTTAGATGGTAAATAAACTGTTCAGTTCAATTGCTGCATTAAATGAAGGATACAACATTTGGGTTAAAGGAAAGAATTGCTAATGAAGAATAGGAAACTAAAATGGGTTGACTTAGAGAATACAAAAGGCTAAAACATGAGTTCTGTTAAGAGTATCTGTAGAATTCCTGCCTTTTCATCTGCGGAAAGATAACAGATTTCTCCATGTTCTCCAAGGTTGACCCCAAAGGCATAACTAAGCTCCTCCCAAGTCAGATAGTCTTCTGCTGAACGAAGCCTTAGGCAAAAGCCTGCATTATTTTCTGGTATAATTTAATATCGTCCATATCCAATAGCCAAGAAGGGTATACAAGCATCTTTAAGGGGGTTTTCTCTCTCTGCTTGGAGTCCCCCTCCCTCTGTTTTTGTACGGGGAGCTTTTTCTGTCTTTCTTGCCTATTAAACTTTCTGCTCTTTCAAACCACAAAAAAAAAAAAAAGAAAGAAAAGAAAAGAAAAGAAAAAAAGCATCTATGGGCTCTGAAAGTCAATTTATTTCGACATACATGTATTGAGAGCCTACTCTGTGCTGGAACTGCAGATACAGAGACGACAGGATCACTATCCCAACAGTAATGCACTTTACTCAACCCGGTGCACTCACTATGCCAGTCAGTCCAGTGGTTTCTACACCAGATTATCTGTGACGTCACCCCAGCATATCTTTAATGCTTTCTTGTAAATAACTTCAAATGGCTTATTTTCTTATAGGTATGTCATTCTTCTTTTTTTGTTTTTTGTTGTTTTTCCATTCTTCTTTACCCACTATAAATTTAACTGTGTTTTCAGTAAATTATATGCCCAGAGTTCTAATATATAGTTAATGTTTAATTGGTAGTTTCTTACTATATATTACATTTTTCCTTTTTAAAATACTTATTCAATGACTGTACACCAAGAATGTTTCTACCCACTGGAATACATAGATGAACAAAGTTTAAAAAGTTTCTTATTTATTTTTATTTATTTATTTATTTTTGAGACAGGATATCACTCTTCCACCCAGACTGGAGTGCAATGATGCGATCACGGCTCATTGCTCCCTTGATCTCCCGGGCTCAAGTGATCCTCCTACCTCAGCCTCCCGAGTAGCTGGGGCTACAGGTGTGTGCCACTGCACCTAGCTAATTTTTTTTTTTAATTTAGTTTTTGTAAATATGGGGTCTCATGGTGTTGCCCAGGCTAGTCTTGAACTCTTCCTTTTTAAAATAGAGCTTACAATTACATTCTCATGAGGGAGCAAGCAACAAACAAACAAATGGTTTCAATTAGCATTTATACTACAATAATGCTACGAAACAAACAACTCTAAATCTCTGAATTGCAACATCAAACATTCATCTCAATAACAGTTCTGTGGGTTAGCTAGAAGGGGACTGACCCTAGCAGAGTTTTGCTTATCTTGGCTCTAAACCGTCAGTTGGGATCAGATCTGCTCCTCTTGTTTCTTCAGTCTCCCTAGACCAGCTATCTGGAGCATGTTCTTCTTGTGGGGAAGTGTAGGAGTGCAAGAAAACAAGCCAGATGGCCGGGCGCGGTGGCTCACAACTGTAATCCCAGCACTTTGGGAGGCCGAGGCGGGTGGATCATGAGGTCAGGAGATCGAGACCATCCTGGCTAACAAGGTGAAACCCCGTCTCTACTAAAAATACAAAAAATTAGCCGAGCGCGGTGGCCGGCGCCTGTAGTCCCAGCTACTCGGGAGGCTGAGGCAGGAGAATGGCGTGAACCCGGGAAGCGGAGCTTGCAGTGAGCCGAGATTGCGCCACTGCAGTCCGCAGTCCGGCCTGGGCGACAGAGCGAGACTCCGTCTCAAAAAAAAAAAAAAAAAAAAAAGAAAACAAGCCAGATCATGACAACAAGTCTAAATCTCTGCTTCTGTCGCATTTACTAACATTTCTTTAACTCAGACAATTCACATGCCAAGCCCAATATGAGTGGATCAAGGGAGTATTTTTCACACATATTGGAAAAAACTGCAAGTTACATAGGAAAAAAGGTAATGTATAATTTTATAATAGAAAGAGAATGAAGATTAAAAGTATTAATAATAACTCAATCTTTCAATCACAGTTGTCTCTCTTGTTCACAATTCATGTTCCTTCTGCACCTGAGACATATTAATGGCCATTCCAAGAAACCCACAAAGTTTCACCCAATTATGGCATTGAGTTCAAAGTCCAGGATCTCATGATCCATGTCAGGTCTGGATGGAACTTCTCTTGATCTGGACCTCTATGAACTGAAAAGATATGTTATCTGCCCCCACACATCTAATGTCCCATGCTGGAATATAAACAGAACAAACAAACAGCTGCATTCAACAAGGGGACAATTGGGAGAAACACAGAATAACTGGTATATAGAAATTTTGAAACTCTGCTGAACAAATTTTGCCAGGGTCTCCTACAAGGATGTTGGCAGATATTTTGGTTAAGCCCTGTTTCTGTACCTGGGAGTTTATCCCCAGTCTACTGTTGTACATGAGTCTTTGTTCTTGTCTTGGAACTCCTTCCTTTTTCATTTTTGGCTTTCTGATGAGTAGAGGAGAATATGTCCTCTTGGTAGCTGAGCAGATTTCTCAGCCTGCTTCCTGTCTGAAAAATCTTGGGGTCTCAGAGATTCTTATATATTTCCAACAGACATAATTTTTAAAATCCAGGCTGGTGGTAATCTTGCCAATACAGCTCTCTCAAAAACTCTGTGAACTTTCTGTTTGCTTCCAGTCAACTACAATGGGCCAAATGCCTCAACCATAATTCTTTTAGAGACAGGTTCTTTTCTAGCTATAAGTAGGTAATTTGCATGTATTAGGCATCTGTGAGATGCACCCTCAGTCTCCTTAATCTTTTCAGGAGTCTTTTTCTATCTTTTTTTTTTTGAGATGGAGTCTCACTCTGTTGGCCAGGCTAGAGTGCAGTGGCATGATCTTGGCTCACTGCAACTTCCACCTCCCAGGTTCAAGCAATTCTCCTGCCTCGGCCTCCCGAGTAGCTGGGACTGCAGGCGCACGCCACCACTCCTGGCTAATTTTTTGTATTTTAGTAGACACGGGATTTCACCATGTTGCCCAGGCTGGTCTGGAAATCCTGAGCTCAGTCAATCCACCTGCCTTGGCCTCCCAGAGTGCTGGGATTACAGGTGTGAGCCACCACGCTCCACCCTTTTTTCAGGAATCTTACCAATGGGTGTGACAACTATTTTCTTGATTTTATCTTTATCTTACCTTATGGCGATGTTCTAATGGCAATGTTATCTATAGAGAGAAATGGTTTAATTTTCAAACTGATAATTTCCAGAATTTGGGGGTTCTCTCAGTTTCACTCAATCTTATTTGCAAGTCAGTCAATTCTTTTCTAAGCTTATATTTTTCTTGTAGTAACTTAATAAATGCAGACAACAACAGCCAATTCATACTATAAATATTTTGCCCCCAAAACTTCCCGGCTCAAAGCTACAAGTACATTTAGTACACTTTCTGCCTTCCAGATTATTGTAGTCAACAGTTTTATCAAATGTTTTGGTACTGCATAATATGGGTTTTCATTTTCCTAGCTATTACTTTTTAAATAATAGTTTCTTCTCTTCTTACCAGGTGATCCCAAACTAATGACACGTTTTAATATTTTTTGACAGCAGAAGCCCATTTTTGGTAGAGTTTCAATGTTAACTAGCAATTGCCACAAGTAGAATATATAACAAACCTCACACCCAAACCCAAAACTCAGTGGCATAAGCAAGTATTTATTTCCTTGCTAATGGTCTCATGGGTTGGCTGAAACAGTGCTACTTTAGGTCATAGGGAGACTTGGTTCCAAGACTCAGATTAGGTTCAGATTTGTCCTAAAAGTCTCTTCACTCTTCTTCAAAAACTGACTACCTAGGGTCTATTTCTCTAATAGGGAAAGGCAGAAGCACCAGGATCCAAGCAAGACACATGGCATATCTGAAGACTATTCTCATGATGACTGCCAACATTTAATTAACCAATGCAAGTCACATGACTAAGCCTAATTGCAATCAGGTAGGAATATTTTCTACTCACAGTGACATGTCAAATGATATGTATATTATAGCATGAAGGAGTCAAGAATTAAGGAGTTCAATCTAGCATATATACAAACAAGAAAACATCAGCTAGTATAAATTGTGAGGAAAGTAAAGCGGGTCTAGAGAATGCTTGGAAAACCACTAAGAATAGTTTGTTGAGATGACATTTTAACTGAGGTTGAATGCATTCTATGCAGAGGAAACAGACAATGAAAAGACCTAGATGCAGAGATAAGCTCAGGGTGATGGAAGAACTGAAATAAAACCACAGAGAGGATGGTAGGAGATGAAACCAATGAGGAAGTAGAGGCCAAATTATTTAGAACTTTTATTATCATTATTATTTGCAATATTACATAAGTGCACATTTCAGAGGATTATTTACCAAATGCTGAAGAAATAAAAAAGATTTTTGTGAGTCCTAATGGTTGTCATGATAGCCCATGAATAGGGTAGCTGAATTCAACCACTCTGGAAAGTTTCATAATGGTCGAGTTGTGTAATCGATTCAATAATTTACCTTTTCGCTGGTTCTTTTTGGAGTTTTGGCCTGCTAAGTTGTTTCAATGGAAAACCTGAAAATACTAAGAATTCTTGACTAGAGAGTTGCCAGCTGAAATACTGAAGAGATAAATTGGTAGCCGCTGAAACTGCTCAGCTTCTTAGCAGTTCCAGGTATTTCTTTTTCCCTGGGCTTCTCGGAGCTAAATGGAAATATAAAGGTGTTGGAGCCCCGCTTCTCCCTCTTAGTTTCACTCAGGAGAATTCTCTTATTCTCTACTCCCAAGAAGGTTCTCTAGGTATGAAACAGTAACAGTTCTGGTTGTTGGTGGTATCATTTCCTAGGGAAGTTTTTGTACTGGTCCTTTGGATATGGTATCAACTCTGGGTGTAAAACCCAGAGGTCCATCCCATGCCCTTGGGAACTTCAGGATTAATAGGAGATGCAGAATATATTTAAATGGGACATACTCATCACCATAAATAGTGTGGTCACACAGAAAGAGAGTTGTACAAACCTCAAAATTTTACTGAATTAGAAACACAAATGCTCTAAACACTAAAATGCCTTAAAATAAGAGGTCATGAGCACTTTCTAGAAATGACCTTTGATCTTTGTTCAATGTGAAAAATTTTGTTTAAAATTGGCATTTAATTAGCCAGATTTTCTTTTGTCCTCATCTTCCTGTAGACTTATGGAAAAGGGAACTACTCTATTTTCAAAAACATGAAAAAAAGAAAACCTAAACCAGCAATATAGAGAAACTGTGGTTCTCCCTGGGTCGCCATAACACCTCTACAGGTGTGCCCTTGACTTCTATTAAGAATCACCAGCTAAATAGGTGAAATACACAGCTGTATATTTCCACTGCAGCATCTTTTAGCAAGCAAGGGGCTGTGTCTAGGTGAATCAGAATATGCTGGCTGGTGGAGCTCAGACACAATAATGTGTTTTTTTCAGGAAAAATAAGTGTGACAGTGTTTATTTCACACACAATTGTTTGTCAGAGGACTTCAAAGGGGTGGGCAGAGATCAGTTAAGCATTGCCACCTGTCCCATAGGTTGTGCTTCTTCTTTTCAGGTGGGACTCTGAGGTCATTAGCACTGGGGTGGCTTATCCTCTGTTCAGCTCCTGTGCCACAACGTAAGACAGGAATCCTGCCAGGAGGAGGACTTGGGTCCTGGCTCCTAACCACCCCCGTTGGACTCCAGCTGCCAGTGCCGCCCAAAGAAGAGAGCATGCCGCCTGGCTTTAAGAAAGCTTGCAGCCCCTGAGAGTGGCAGGTTAAAAACCTATAGGGTGGTTCAATAAAAGGCAATGCCTTGCTCCGTCCTGTGCTGCTATTGTACATTGGAACACATGCTGCTAGGAGACAAAGAGGACACGCGTTTATTTTCAAGCGTAGGACTTTGGAACCACTTGGGAAGAATATTCTTGATTGAGAACCAAAACATTCCATGATGCTTAACAAACCTGCAAATTGAAAAATCAGCTTCGGCCTGTGCAGTCAGGAGGCAGGAAAAGGACCTATACCCTGAAAAAAAAAATCAAAATATTCCTTAAATGATATTTGTGTGCATTTACAAAGTTACCGCTTTCTGAATCAAAGTCTCAAGCTGTTTTCATCTGAGAACATATGTTGTGCTGTTAGACAATATCTCAGCCTGCCGCCATCCATGACATACCCTGCCGCATTGCATAATGGACAGTCCCTTGAAAAAGGAGCCGCAGCTCAGTCAATGCCCCTGTAATAATATTTTAAAATAAATGATATGCATCATTAAATCACTGAGGATGACTAACTCAATTTTAGAAAACCCACAACTCCAGCAATCATAGTTACAGCTCTGATTTGAATATTTTCACTTTCACCTGAGCAGCCAGTGGGAGCCAGTCAAGCAGATTGGGCATCCAGGCAGAGGAAGGCTGTGTCTCCGAGGAGCAGGAGGGAACCTGTGATTATGTAGTTACAGTAACGTCGGCTCATGCCTCGTGTCCGCCTGGGCTTTTTAGGCTTTTCCTTCCTCCCTTCTTGGCTTCTTATTTACATATCACAGGCATCCTCTTTGTAAAGTTATTTTAAATAATGTATTAGATTGATCTTTTTAAAATTCTACCATGGCTAAATGTCATAAGGAAAAAAAAATAAGTCTTCGAAACTTATTTAAAGGTTTCTACTGGAGTAGGCCAGTTACCTGCTTCACTGCTGATATTCTAAAAATACCTCCATGTCCATACTATTATCCATTCTTCACGTCCAATTGCTCTGTTATGGTAATAGTCAGAAGCACACCATGCAGTAATTACTTACAGCTGACTGAAGAAAAGAATATTCAACTCCCCCACTGTTCCACTAGAAGGTCTTTATGCACTATTAACTCATTCCTGTTTATTAATACTCTACTGGTAATTCAGACTGCTGCCTCTTAGGTTTGTAATAGGAGGACTATTAAACAGCAATTACTGACCATATGGGTTGGTGAATATTTGTTGTTTTTTGGTGGGCTTTTCCCCCCCTCCTTCCAACTTGTTTTTTAAGAAGCCATATTACAACATAGTAAAAGTATCATCACATCTGCATGAGATTAACAAGCTTGGCAGGATTTCTCCCTTAGAAAATGTGTATTTATTCCCAGATTATCATCGCTAGCTTAAGAAAAGGAGAACGTGGGAGAAACAGGAAAATGTGGGAGATTGTTCTCTTGTGAGAAGACCCCTACTTTGGAAGATATTTTGGATCTTATGTTTCCTAAGTCACTCTGTGGGATGTTTTCTTTTACTGACTTTGAAAGGACACTGACCCACTCTCAAACACCATCAGCTTCTCAAAGCAAGCATAGTTATTGAGGAATCCAGTCAAATACCACTCTCCATTTCAAGTTCCCCAAGTGTTTGAAAGGGATCACTGTAAAATTGATAATTTAGTAAATTTATCTCCCAAAAAGCAGGTATATGAACCCTGAGAGGTGACGAAGGGTTCCCCCTGGGAGAGGGATGGCAATGAGTAATGGGTTCAAGTGAGGCAAGCAGGTGGTAAATGATGATTATGGTAATAATAATGTGTGCCTCTCTCACAGGTAGTGAACACTGAGCATGTTGCAAGCATTAAACACATTTAAATGGAGATGCATCTTTAAGATAAATAGGAGCCCGGGAGCTAATTTTCATTGGAAATTGAAGAGTTGAGATCCAGGACAGAGAAGTCACTTGACCAGCAACCTCCACTAACATGATGGCAGTGGCTAGGTGTCTAGGCTGTTTGACATAGTAAGCTTTTGCTCCAAGGCAGCCAGTCTCCTTAGGGTCCCTTGTGCTTATCTTCTGATTTTTCCCCTTTTCCTATAAGGAGCCATTCTCTCTTTATGTCCAAATCTTTCTAGCCCTTCAATAAACAGATCAAATCCCACCCCTGACCCCAAAACTCCAGCTCGCTTTGATCTTGCCCTTTTCAAACTACCAAGCAGATTTAGTGTCAGTACCACACCTTTGGCAGGTGGTTGTAGCTAATTTAGCACTCTCCCTTTGTTACCTGATGGTGTTGTGTGTGGAAGTTTTTTTTTCTCCTCGATACACTCTAAATCCTTGAAGACAGGGACCATATCTTTTAAACTTTTCTTCTATTTATCTCCGTACCTAGCTCAGTATTGGACATTCAGTTAGTGCTAAATAGAGGTTGGAAGAATTCAATGGAAATATGTAGAGCAGGGGAAAGGACATTAACCCCTACATTTTCTTACTCTATAAAGTTGTAGGAACTGGAGTTTCTGAATTAGGTATGGAAAAGCAACAATAAATAATAATAACAACAACAACAAATAATAATAACAACAACAACAAAAACAAAATGACAAATATCAGCTCAAACCTAGCAGTACCAAGCTAATGTGTAGCCTATATTTGATGTTCAATGAATATTTGTTGAGTCAGATCCTCACACCATCCCAGAACTTTTTCACAGTGGGTCTCGGCCATAGGGAAAATTGCAAAAAATTTATTTCATCCATATCTTTCTGATTGGATCTAGAATCCTGGATTGCCTATGGCCTAGAAAGCCCTCAAAGTGGGGAGAATGATTCCTCTAAGACTCCGTGTGGTAGGTAGCTTCAATAATGCAGGCTGATCCCAATAACACAGGCTGATCCAGACAAGATCAGAACTGCCTGATAGGATCTGAAAGGCACCAGAATGGCCTCCCTACTCTCTAATATCTCACAGAGAGAAGGAGCCAGCAAGCACCTGAGATTAATTACTCCAGTGGATTTCAAATATTTTGTTTTGTTGCTATTGTTTTAACAGTAGGACTGTTTTTTTCCCAGTTAAGCATTATGCAGAATCCTGGTGTATACAGCGGATTAAAACAGAACAGCTCCGGTTGAAGTTGGGTTGGGAGGCATGAATTCCTAACCTGATAACCTAGCTGATAAAGCCAAGAGGCACTTCTGGGAGACCCCAGTGTATCTGGGGACACTATAGGGCAAGTATTTTTCCAGTCCAACCTTTTTTGGATATAAATGTGTAGATTGAATGCAGAATCTCAAATCCACACAGCTAACAGCAGAATGGTCCTGGAATCCAATCCTTTTTCCTTAGGTTTATTGAGGTATAATTAACAAATAAAAATTGTATACATTTAAATTACACATCAGAATATATTTGGATATACACATACATTGTGAAATGATCACCACAATCAAGTGAATTAACATATTCATTGCCCCACATAGTTACCTTTTCTTTTGTAGTGAGAATACATAAGATTTTCTCTTAGCAAATTTCAAGTATACAATACATTATTATCAACTGTAGTCGCCATGCTGTGCATTAGATTCTCAGAACTTATTCATCTTAGAACTGAAAGTGTGTACCCTGTGACCAACATCTCACATTTCCCTCCACTCCCTGGCCCCTGACAACAGCCCTTCTACTCTGTTTCCATGAGTTTGACTTTTTGGATTCCACATTTAAGTGAACTCAGGTAGTATTTGTCTTTCTGTGTCTGGTTTATTTCATTTATCATAATATCCTCCAGTTTTATCCATGTTGAAACAAATGGCAAGATTGCCTTCTTTTTAAGGCTGTATATATATATATATATATACACACACACACACACATATATATACACATATACATATATACACATATGTATATATACATATATACATCTGCATGAGATTAACAAGCTTGGCAGGATTTCTCCCTTAGAAATTTTACTCTTGGAAATATATACATATACATATATATACATATACATATATATACACACACACACCACACACACACACACACACATATATGGCTGTATATATATATATATGAAACATATATATTCTATTATACATATTTATTTATAAAGTATATATACGTATACACAGATTTTTTAACATTCATTTGTCAATGAACACTCAAGTTCTTTCCATATTTGAACTATTGTGAATAATCAATTTTTTTGTTAATTAGCTAAGCTTTTATCTCTATTGCCTACCTGTGCTAGTAGATTAAGTCATTGTCACCAGAAGGCTACTGTTAATGGGTGCATATGTGACGTCGCAGAACCAGGCTATTAAGCCTCTTACTTTAAATTAAAAATTAATTATTTATATGTTTTTTTGAGACGGGGTCTTTCTCTGTCACCCAGACTGGAGTACAGTGGCACTATTATAGCTCACTGCACCCTCCATATCCCAGTCTCAAGCAATCCTCCTGCCTCAGCCCTCAGAGTAGCTGGGACTGCAGGTGCACACCATCATGCCTGGCTAATTTTTTTGACTTTAGTAGAGAGGAGGTCTTGCTATAATACCCAGGCTGGTCTTGAACTCTTGAGCTCAAGTGATCCTCCCTCCTCGGCCTCCCAATGTGCTTGGTCTCCTGATGTGCTGGGGTTACAGGTGTGAGCCATCACTCCTGGCCTAGCCCTCCTCTTAACACAGAGCTGAGATGAGTTTATAGTCAGGTGAGTCAAGGTGTATTGAATGGGTGTCTTAGTCTCTTAGTTTTCTCAGCCTGCTATAACAAAATACCATAGACTGGATGGCTTAGACAGTGCACATTTATTTTTCACAGTTCTGGAGGCTGCAAAATCCAAGATCAAAGTGCCAGTGGATTCAGTTCTTGGTAAGGGTCCTCTTCCTGATTTGTAGATACAGTGTTCTCATTATGTCTTCATGTGATCTTTCCTTGGTGCATGCATTTGAAGAAAGAGAAAGAGGAGAGAGAGAAAGAGAGACAGAGACAGATTTTGTGTCTCCTTCTTTTTATAAGGGTGTTAATCCAATCATGAAGGCCCCACCTTCATAACCGAATTTAACCCTATTGCCTCCTAAATGCTCCATCTCTAAATGTCATCACACTGGGGATTAGGTTTTCAACACTTCAACATTTTGAGGAATACAAATATTCAGTCCATAATAGTATACCCGTGATCCCCCAAATTAATGTCCTTCCTGCATACAAAATACATTTATTCCATCCAAATTGCCCCAGAACTCTTGATCCAGCATCAACTCTAAAGTCCAAAGTTTTATCTAAATATTATCTAAATAAGACATAGATGAAACTAGAAATACACTTATCCTGAAGCAAAATTCCTTTCTATCTGTGATCCTGTGAAACCAGAAAAAGTCTGTGTTTCTAAAATACAATGATGGGACATGCATAGGATAGACATTTCCCTTCAAAAAGGGAGAAATCTGAACGAAGAAAGAATGATGGATCCCAAGCAAGTCCAAAACTTAGCAAGGCAAATTCCGTGAAATCTTAAGGCTCAGTAATAATCCTCTTTAAAATGATTTCCTGCCTACTGGACCAACTGGAGCAGCAGTCCTGCCTTCCAGACTCATTGGGGTGGGTGGTTCTGCCAGGTGGGGTTTGTGAAGAGTCGTGCTCCAAAATCTCTTGGTGGGCCCCCCTTTACTGCTCTAGGATGCTGCAATCTCGCTGTTGAAGTGAAGGCATTTGCCCTTCCTGCTTCTTTGAAAGCAAGGAAGCAGCTCTGATGATTTCTGAATCACCTTCAGGGTCATGCTTCTATTTCCCTGAAGAATAATGTTGACAGCCAAATAGCTCTCTGGTCTAGTCCTGTAGAATGTAAAAAGTGTGAAAGCTTTCCTTCATTTAGTCTCATCTCTGTCCCCTTACATTCAAATTAGCATCGTTCCTGCTGGGGTGGCTGATTAGGTCCATGATTCCTACCCATATTAATCCTCTTATCAAGTCGTTGCTCCACCACATGCTTAGCGTTCTCTACAATATAGATGGGCTGAGAATTTTCTAATCTTTAAGTTCTGGTTTATCTTTGCTTAACAATTCCTTCTTCAATTTATTTCTGTCTTCTTGCATTTTACTATAAGTAGTCAGGAGGAACTGGGCCACTCCTTCGACACTTCTCTTGGAAATATTCTCAGCTAAATATCTCATTTCATTGCTTGGAAGTTCTACCTTCCTCAAAACTTTAGAACACAAATGCAATTCAGCCAAGTATTATTTTTTTAAAAACAAAAGTTGCCTTCCCTCCAGTTTCCAATAACGTTTCTCATTTCTACCTAAGTTTTTCCAAACAACTTGAATGCCCTTTACCAAAATGGCCATTATTGTCCATATTTATGCCAACATTCCATTCATAATTATTTAGATATCCCCCAAGAAGATAGACGCGGTCTCTGCAGCTCTCCTCTTTTCTTTCTAAGTCTCATTAGAATCATCCCTAAGTGCCCTTTATGGGAATCTTAGCTTTTTCTAGCTTGCATCTTAAAAACTCTTTCAGTCTCTACCCATTACCCAGTTCCAAAGCCATTTCCACAGTTCTAGGCATTTGTTATAGCAGCACCCCACTTTCTTGGTACCAGTTACTATCTTAGTCTTTCTGTACTGTTATAACAAAATACCATAAATTGAGTGAGTTAAACAACAGACACGTATTTCTCACAGTTCTGGAGGCTTGAAAGCCCAAGATCAAGGTGCCAGTGCATTTGGTTCTTAGTGAGAGTCTATTCCTGACTTGCAGATGCCATCTCTTCTTACGTCCTCATGTGGCCTTTCTTTGGAGCCTTCCTGTGGAGGGAGAGAGAAAAAGAGAAATAGAAAGAGATTGTGTATATCTTCTTCTTTTTATAGGGTATTAAGCTCATTATAAGAGCCCCACCCTCTTGACCTTGTCTAAACTTAATTATCTCCCAAAGCCCCTGCTTTCAAATACCATCACATTGAGGATTAGGGCTTCAACATATGAATTTTAGGGTTCTACAAATATTTAGTTAATAGCACATTGTATGAACAAAAGCTTCATATGGAGGCTTTCCACTTAAAGGAGGGATTTCCACTTAAAGGAGGGATATCCACTTAAAGGAGGGATATCCACTTAAGGATCTTAAATTTCAAAGCAAATATGGGGTGATTGTGGTTCATTTTCAGCTTGGCCACTTCTGCATTTGTGTGGTTGTTTTCCCTTCCCTAGTTTTAGCTCAACTTGGGTGTCCTGTGCTTGCCTGGTCCTGGATCACACATTTATACCAATTTCTATCTTGTCTTAGTTGAGGGAAACCACTACAAAGACTCCCTTATGGTGCTGGAAATTAAACTTCTTCTATACACAGCATAATATAGATTATGCTATAATCTACAGCATGTGAATAGTCGATGTGCAGAGAATAGCATTAAAATATTATTTTGAAGAAAATGGTCATATTGCAGATTGTCTTTTAATTATTTCACCAATAGTAGTAGCAGGAGGTAGTGAAGAATATGGTATAGGGACTGACGGAATCTCTATTCTAGACTAGAGCTTTTTGCCAATTAGCTGTGCATCTTAGGGCATATTATTTAACCTTTCTATACTCTCACTGTTTTATGTCCAAAATAAGGCCCTGTGGCCCAGATTTGCTTCTGAAATATGTTTGACTTCACTGAACCATCAAAAACTTGAATGCCCTCTATTCAGTACTTCTGAGTTAAATTGTATTAAAGCAAAACAAATGACTATAAATAGCTATATTATGAATAGAATGCTCATATATGCCCAGAAATATAAATTAGGCTGCATGACAAAACATTTGTTTCTTATATCAGTGAAAACTTGAGATAATTCAGTAAAGATGGTATTAAGCCGTGTAAATATCATCCAACTGTGATTTGGAACTGTGGAACTTTCCCCACGGGTGAGAACATCTGGGCAGTCTGTAGGCTTGATTTCAGAGATTCACTTATTCAATACGTACTCACTTTGTTTCTTCCATATTTCATTATTCAATTAATAAACATATATTGAGTTGATGCCATTGATTCATTCAATAAATCTTATTCAATGTATTTTTAAAGAGCAATCTGCTGCATACGTAACACTGTTTTCATTGTTAATGATATCAGTGAAAAGATGAGTTCTTGATTGTGAAGAACTAATAATATCACTTGGGAGAGAAAATGTATTTGTTAAAAAGATAAATAACTTTATGTTATAATGCATGATACAGACCGAGAGAGATAAAGGCTATAACGGTTGGAAGTAGGGGGTGGAGAGTGAGCATGTCAGCTGGGTGAACAGGAAGGGTTTAGAAGCCTCTTAGGCTGTGCCTTGACACAGAATAATATTAGCACAGGTGGAGAGGATGAGAGAGGTCACTTTACATAGGGAAACAATATGTATTAAAGCAGTGAATTGTATAACATTAAGAGGTGCATGAATTTAGCAAAAATCCAGGCCCATGTGCAGAGAAGGGCTTATATGAGAGACTAGTGTTGATGAGGGAAGTGACATGAAAGAATCTTCCATTTTGGAGAGATTTTCAAAGTCAGGTGAAGAATTTTGATTCCTTCCTTCCTTCTTCCTTCTTCCTTCATTTCTTTCTCTCTTTCTTTTTTCTTTGTTTCTTTTTCTTTCTTTCTCTTTCTTCTCTTTCTCTCTCTCCTCTCTTTTCTTTCTTTTTCTTTCTCTTTCTCACTTTCTTTCTTTGTGTAATATGTTTTGCTTAATGGAAATGTTTTTTTTAATGAAGTCACAGAGGAGTCCTAGAGACCATAGAAAGGAAAAAAAAAAACTGCAGGAAAAGCTACTAGGGTAACAAGTGATAATGGGAGTGGTTATAAAATATCAGAAAACATGATTGAGGTGGCAGAGCTTGGAAGACCCATGATGAAGGCAGGGTTCCTGACCAACTTGATAAGTCAGGTTGGCCAAAGATGAACTGCGCACATGGAAACTTCTCCAAGTCATCCATTCCAAGTCAGGCACAGTACTTACAACAGACTTTATTTGTCTGAAGGCATTTTCTAGTATTACTTGAAAGTTTTCTCTTTACCATTTGAGGGTTCCACCATACAGGAACATTCTCATACACATTTGCCTAGTTACATGCTGATTAATTGACAAATAAATTCCTTTTCAATTTAGACAACTTACTTTAATGGTATGTCTGTTGCTGTTTTATTGATGACAAAAGTGGTAGGTCCAGAATGATCCCTCAGAGCCAGAATGCAATGCCCTACAGTTCCTGAAATGTAAATGGCATCATAAGAGAGATATGCTCAGCCACTGCTCACTGAAAAGTGCTACCCCGTGCTCAGGCCTAAATTTCGAGGCATGTAGTATTAGGTTGCTAAAACACACAGATATTAACTTGTGGAGAAGAGTGAATTCTAGGGCCCTTGAAATAATTGCTAACCCAAGATTGAAATTGAAAGGTAGCAGACAAAGTGGGTTTTATTTCCCTGTACTGGTAGAAAACTTGTACATCACTTACTTTTATGGACCGAATTTCATCTCCTCAAAGTCCATGTGTTGAAGTCCTAACCTGCTGTACCTCAAAATATGACTGTATTTGGAGATAGAGTCTTTAACGAGATAAAATGAAGTCACTAGGGTGGGCCCTAATCCAGTATGACCAGTGTCCTTAAAAGAAGAGAAAATCAGGACACAGATAAATGCAGGGAGGGAGGACCTTTTGAAGGCACAGAGAGAAGATAACTATCTGTAAGTCAAGGAGAGTTTCCTGGGATAGATCTTTACCACATGGACCTCAGAACAAACCAACCCTTCCAATACTTTGATCTTGGCCTTCTAGACTGCACAATTGTGAGAAAATAAATTTATATTGCTTAAGCCCTTCAGTGGATGATACTTTGTTATGGCAGCTCTAGAAAATTAATACACTTACCCTTTAGGGTTTTGGATGCCTCACACATTAATGGCAAATAATAGTTTATATTTACATATCTATCAGCCATTGCCACAAAAATGGTGTGCATGAGGTGGCTGGGACAGCCATATGCATTCTGAGGCCTAAGCTGAAGGGAGAGTGACTATCTGGTGAATATCTTCTCATGGCAATGGTAGAAGTGCAAGATAGCAGGCCAATTCCACAAGCATATTTCAGCTCTGCTCTCCAACATTCCTGTAATGTCCCATTGACCAAAGAAAGTCATATGGCCAAGCCAGGATAGACATGTAAATGTATAAGATAAGAGAAGGAAGAGTTGGAGAAAGTAATTCACTGTATGATACTTACCACACAGAGGCAGGAGGCTGGATGTGATGGCCTTTTAAAGCCATTTTTCTCTAAGATAGTTCCATGACAATTACCCAGAGTCTAATTTTATTGAGAGCTTACTATGCAACAAACCCTGACCTAAGTGCTTTACAAGGTAATCCAATTAAACCACACAGATCTGTAGCTTATTATAAACAATATCCTGTGTGACTTAATCAAGTGTAAGATGATAAACCGTGGTGTTACACATCAGATGGTAATTTACCATTTGCAGACGCTTCAAGTACAGCTCCTGAGACTAAGAATGAATGTACATAGACATTCCATGCCGGGCAAAGCATCCACAAACCAGCTAACTCATTTGCAAATGCCATTGTGTTTGTTCTGACATTTTTCCTAACTCAAACTACAAGACACAAAATAAACACACAACTAAGGTCTTGCCTCCAAATAGACACTTGACTCACCTCTCAAGATATAGCCGAAAGAAGTTTCAGAAGATACTGTCACAGCTAAGGCTGTATAAGAACTCAGTGTCTTGTGACTCCAAGGCCTTGACACTGTTGTGAGAAGGCCTGGCAAATCAGAATGACCCATTCAATACCATTCCACAGTGTCAACCCCTACACTACTAGTTTCTCCCTCTGATTCTGGTCAGTGTCTAATTTTTGCTTAGTAAATGTAGGCCAAATTATGCTAAGTGGTTTTTGAACAGGAATTGAGATTACAGATTATCATTGACTACTCTTTACAACTGATTTCCATTGCCTTAAATTTGAGCCTATTCCCTTAAAAAGAATGTGTAATCATTGCTACGTCTTAACTTTGAAGACAGAAAAGTAGAAATGGGTGTTCTTCTATTCCCCCTCCTCTAGAAATCCCATTGAATCTCATTCAGAAACAGAAGTTCAGGCACTATAATAGAGAACTCTGTGAAATGGCCTTTTCCAGAATAGCAAATGTCAGTGCTTCAAGGATGAATGGCATCAAGATGACAATATACATTCGATTATGGCATATAGATTAGATAACAAGTATAAGAAATGCATTTACAACCCCCAAACCTGCTCTTATATACTTATTAGTACTGATGTTTTACCAAATAATACCCAAAATTGTTTTTAATATTAATCACTGTTCCTTTATACATTTCCAACTCTGTTTATATCTCTTGCCTATATTTAATCTCTATGATAAAGACAGTGGATTTGTTTTCATGTGATAGAAATAAATGGTAATCCAGAAACTGATGACATTTGGCATAGGTCAAATGACAATTCAGAGCTGCAGGAATTACTGGAACCTTCATCTTTGTAACAATCGTTGAGATCCAGGGAGAGAGAGGAGCTGCCTCACAGTTCTTTACACATGTTGATTCATTCCAGTCTGGGCTGTTTACACTGTAAAATTTAGGAAGGCAATCTGTAAAATGGCCCTTGGGACCTTGGTAAAGATTTCTCAAAGACAGTCTGAGCTCCCCATTCAGTAGTGTTTCACAACACGTGCTCACTCCAACACCCAGGCATCATATTCAGAATTTTATTTGATCTTCCAATTTGGGGCAGTTTGACACCCTAGCAGAAGGTAGTTTAGTCACCTTTGTAAACGACTTCATGACGACTGTTCTCACAGTAAGTAGTTCTGCTGAGCAAAGAAAACAAATCGGTACAAAAACAATGCCAGAACAGGTGTGCTAGCTGTTGGGGAAAAATCATTAGAGTGCCATTACTCAATCACTCTGTTTCTCTTATAATAATATATTATTTATTAAGAGCATTGTTTTTCTCCGTGTCATTTTTTATAAACTTCACATCTAACATTTATTTTTTCCTTCAGATGTGCCACAGCAGAAGCAAGTTGTGTTGGCAGTAGGTGAGACAGAGAAATTTTAATCCTGTTTTCAATAAACCATCCTAAACTTATTTACAAACCAATATAATTTGAAGCAAGACACTTCTGATATTTTTGTCTTTTGTTTGGGTTTCTCACATGCAAAATGATACATTTTAGAGATCAGAGAAAATTAAAACAAAACAAAAATAAAACTATTTCTCATGTCTGCCAACTGAAAAACCTGAAGAGTATGTTCTTTATATGATTCTATGAATACTTTACTAAGCAGACCAAACATGCACATTCATGATACAGCATCTCCTTCCAGAGTAGAAAGAGCATTGTTGTAGGAGAGTTTTCCTCATCCTATCAATTGAAAATAAGGGGGATTCCATTTTCTGGTATCTTATTTAGTAAAATTAAGCAAAGCTTCCTGATTTAAAGTCTTTAAGTGAAGGTAATAGAGAGTGTTAAGTAACCAACTAATATTCTGCTGAAAACCTGACGACCCTCAGGGAGGCCTCATAGAATATGTATTATTGAATAGTGAGCCTCCTACCACATGTTTTTTATTTGGATGACTCCAATTCTACCCCATTCCCTTGTCATTTCAAGCAGCACTCTCACAGTTCAGGCAATCAACAGGGACCTGGAGGAAGAGAACGTTCGATCTGTTCTCTGAAACACAGGAGAGAGAGAATGTGAAAACTGGGGTAATTGCCTCAAAAGTGGGGCATGTGGCTCTCTAACAAAATCCCCACCTCTGAGAAGACTTTCCACAGAAACATCCTGTCATCCCCTTGAGACTGTATCAAGTCAGTTTGGATGTAACACTGTGAAAATGCTATAGATGCAGCAGGAGAAATTATTCCTTTTCCTGAGATGATTATGACAAAGAACTCATGTCAAAAATAAGGAAACTTGCCCTAGGAGTTTTATAAGCACTGATTGGCAAAAGCGGAGCAAGGGTGGACCTTGGACATTTTGCATTTCACATGAGCTCATCTTTGGTAGCCTGGGTTGGGTTAGTTGGGTCAGTTAGAAAGGAAAGTAGGCTGAAGATGAGAGGGAAGCAATAAAAGGAAACTTTGTAATCAGGCAGTTTCCTATACTATTGGTATTATAGTTAGTGTCATTCTTAGTGTCTAGTGTCTCCCACTAGGAACATCAAATAGGCAGATAAATAAGGTAGTCATGAACATAGTCACTTCACCATTAGCCACATTAATGGAAGACAAAAATGTAATGGAGATAATGGAGGTAGGAGGAGAACACATACACTTAAATGGATAATTTATCATTAATTTAATTTCCCATTGACATTGATTAGAATTTAGGAAATAGACTGAATAAATAAATGAGGAAAATATAGTGGTGAGTGTAAATCAAGGCCATCCAAGGCTCATGTGCTTCCAGTACAACTAGCAAGCATTTCTTGTGATTTTACCATGTGCCAGGCAATGCTCTATGTGTCCTCTGGGAATAACTTACATAAACCCTTACAAAAAATGGGAACTGTTTATTATTCCAATTTTGCAGTCAGTGAAACTAAAGCACAGGAAGGTTTGACAACTGGCTCAAAGGACCACGGGACTGAGTAGAAGAACTAGGATCGAAATCACATAATTAGAATTCTTCACCATGATGACCCTATCCTGAATCTAGATTGGAAGAACAAAGTGGAACTTGGGCTTGAAACAGAAAGTAGGGTATACATGTTTAGTCAGCTTACCTGCAGGGTGTTACCTTTTAAGTATTCCCTAATTGATGGTTAAAATTCATTTAGTTGTAGAAATAACTAATACTTCTACAAATGGTGGTATCATACCACTATTTTAGTTCTACAGGATGTCACTGACAAATGATGGGTACTTTTTATTCCTTCTTTTGATATGAAGAAATGAACTTGTGAACCACTGGACATGCTAAGGTACTTTAGTCAGTGTACATTGATTGAAAACAAGTCATTGAAGTATTGACTTGAATTAGATTTCATGGAAACGTATAGAGTATTAAATGATAGTCATGAATATTAGTAACAAATAGTGACTTTGTTTTTTTTAAGACCATAAGCAATTCTTGTAACCCATGTTATTTCTGAATATCTGTCTTTTGTTCTGATGATTTTTAAAAAGAAATTGTTTGGAATTCATTCATTTAAAAATCTGTCTTACTGGGGACATTACTTCATAGCTATGTCTAAATGTCATTTTTCTTTTAGGAAACAAGATAAAGAGAAGAACTCAAAGAATTGAGAGAAGGCTTTGAACATGATGATGGAGAAATAACACTCTTGGGAGAAATGAAGATACTTTCTCCTCCCTGGTTTACCTGAGTTTCCAGCACCCAGTGATAAGAAAGGATGGCATTAGTGATGTGTACACCTGCAGTGATAGCTTCACCTTTCTAAAGCAGATGCCGTGGTAGACATTTTGCCAGCCCTCCTTTCACTATACACACAGCTTGGTGTACGCTGGCAGACTTTTGACCTAATTTCTTAACCCTCAAATATTCCAAGACAGAACAAAGCACACAACAAAACCAGAATGAGGCCGGGCAAAGTGGCTCATGCCCGTAATCCCAGCACTTTGGGAGGCTAAGGGGTGGGCAGATCACTTGAGGTCAGGAGTTTGAGACCAGCCTAGGCAACATGGTGAAACCCAGTCTCTACTGAAAATACAAAAATCAGCCGGGTGTGGTGGCAAATGCCTGTAATCCCAGCTACTGGGGAGGCTGAGACACAAGAATCACTTGAACCCAGGAGGGGGAGTTTGCAGTGAGCCGAGATTGTGCCACTGCATGCCAGTCTGAACAACAGAGCAAGACTCTGTCACAAAAACAAACAAAAAACTGAATGAATGGAAGCAGATAAGTGCAGAGAGAAACACTGATTTACCTTCAGAAAGATAAAAAAGTAGTATATTGATATACTTGTATATTGCTATCTACTAGTATAGCTTCAGTTGGTGTATGAGTATAGAACTATTGGGTTGTTCTTTATGTGATTACTCCTTCCCAGTTTTAGTAAAGTATTCCAATTTGAGGGAAATTCTTTCATTTGTCAATAAAATAAAAAGAGGTAAGTTTTAAAATCTGTATAGTTCTTCCTTCATGCTAGTTGCCTCTCTTTTTGATATTTCTTCTATAAAAATCTTTTCTTACATTCAGTTTTCATTGTATAGATCATGAAGGAACCATAGTGATTATCAAAGATCAGCCGATAAGTTCAAGGCAGAGTTCCACCTTTCCCCATGAAGCCCTTCCAGACTTGTTTACATGTAACACCCTTGAAGGCAAGACTCATGTCTATGCTATCTTTGCTGCTATTTGGCACGTATTAGGTGTAAGGGCAATTAGACCATATCAATTAATGATCAGTAAGAATGGATAAAGTAGATGTTTTTGTGAGCCTCTCAAAGAAGATGTATAGAATATTTTGGAAATGGGCCCAATTTGTTTCTAAAGGAAAATTTACTTTCAAATTAAAAAAAAAAAATCACTCAAATGAGATTTTGGGGGATTTCATATGATTAACTCTTTACATTATCTTGTGGTAATTATACAGAAATCTGTATTTATGTAAACACAGTAAATGCATCATAACACTAGAATAAGTATACAAATACTGCATGTCAAATTAGGTTATAATCACTTTCAAGGGACGTGATTTCCTAGCTAAACAGATTCGTTTACATTTTGCAAAATAAAAAATAAGTGAAAATAACTATATAAAATCAGGCTTACAGCTGGACAGATCTTCTTGGCAATGGTCCAGACACTGAGTAGGGAAAAGCCCCTCCAGCTGAGGAACGTTCAGGACGCTCAGGACGACTTTGCAGGCGCGGCCGGGAGAGAGGCCATTTTTGGGGTTGCCTTGACTGTGCACCCTGTTCCTGGCTACCTATGGGGAGATAAGCTGCATTCACATATCAGATGAGACTCTTTTTGTGAGAGGTCTGGGGTGGGATGTGGGAAGTGGAGTGAAAACCTGCTTAGTAGGGGAGGAAAAAAACAAGCAATCCAACACTTCACCTTTAGGTAATAAACATAATAGAAAAAGTCAGGAATTCTCTAACTAAAAAGCAGACAGTGGAAGCTAGCATCGGACTCACTGAATTTTAGAATCAGGGTCTGTGTACCATGGATTATCTGGCCCTGCCCTTGTCACTGGATGAGAAGATTCTGGCTATAGGGCAAGAAGCAGTGCTTGGACCGAGATCCAGAATGTTACCCTCAAATCTGAAGCTTATTTATGAGATAAATAAAGCTCATATTTTCAAGAGAGATAATTATTTTAAAACTTCTCATTTCAATGTGTACCTTAAAAAAATAAATACATTTTGGGCCAGGTGCGATGGTTCATGCCTGTAATCCCAGCACTTTGGGAGGCCGAGGTGGGCAGATCATGAGGTCAGTTTGAGACCAGCCTGGCCAACATAGTGAAACTCCGTCTCTACTAAAAATAAAAATAAAAAAATTAGCTGGGCATAGTGGCACGTACCTGTAGTCCCAGCTACTTAGGAGGCTGAAGCAGGAGAATCGCTTGAACCCATGAGGCAGAGGTTGTGGTGAGCCCAAATTGCGCCACTGCACTCCAGCCTGGGCAACAGAGCAAGACTCCATCTCAAAAAACCAATCAACCAACCAACCAACAAAAAACATTTCACATCTCCCTGACGTAGCCAACATTTTCTCCAACATTCTCTTATTTTGATGGCAGAAGGGCATAACTGTAAATCTCAGTTTTTATATGGTATTGTATAATATAGTGGCATCCTTTGCGGCCAGTTGATTGTGAAGAGCAGTTTGCCTTTACTTAGCTTCCATGAACATTAGCTTTAAATGCTCATTGACATTAATGAGAGCCAGTTTGCTAAATCTGTGTCTCCTTCATGTTCATTTGCTACTTAGTTTTGTTGATTCCAAGAAGTCACTAATTTTTTTAAATCATAGATTCTGATTTCGAGGTAGCTTCATTTTTCTAGTGTTGAGTAAAATGTGTGTGTGTGTGTGCTTTAGTTTAATTAATACTAATTTTTATTCAAAATATATTTGTTGAGCACTTACTCTCTGCTGTGGCTGGGCATACATTACTTTCTTTCCACAGTCCGTTGGTTGAATTGTCCTGAGCAGGGGTTGACAAATGATGGCCTGTGAGCCAAATCTACCCCACTGCCTGTTTTTGTAAATAAAGCTTTATCAGAACATAGTCACACTCATTTGTTTGCACATCATCTGTAGCTGTTTTTGCACACATGGCAGGGTTGAGTAGCTGTGATGGAAATTATATGGACCAAAAGACAAAAGTATTTGCTATCTGGCCTGCAACAAAAATATTTGCCAATTTGTGGCCCTGAGTATGAACCTTTAATTACCTAGCTGGTTTGATAAAAGAGCTAAATAAAATAGATGACACCAAACTGCAGCTACCTGTTCACTACTCACATTCAAGTGTCTGTGGTCACAAGAAATAATCATGTCACTGGATGATACAGAGAGAACTAGGAAAATTCTAGTCTTCAGAAAAATAGAAAGCTGTTCACATTTGTTTAAACAATTTCCAAATCCTGTTCCTAGAACCATCCCTAACCTGTCCTAATATGTAAACTTGCAGCTTTTGCATTACAAATTTATTGTTATTACTTTTAACTCCTTTTTTTTTCAGGAAAAAGGTAATTAGGCTATAAACAGAAGTCTGACAACTAATTTCAGACAAGGCAAAATTAATGCAAAGCCAGCTGATAATTTTAGTCATGTGAAATTAAAATAGATATATTTTAATGGCATTCTACAAAATCCAAGTCTAATATCTTCCCGTTGTTTTCCCACCTTCCCCTGTTCTCATGTGAACTGCCGCTCTGTGTAGGTAGTGACATGTGCTGATAAAGGTCATTGCTTTAGCTATACTCACTGTCCCCTTCTCCTGTCCCCAGTATTGATCTTTGAGTGGAGAGCTGCTTCTTCCCTTTCCTTCTCAGGAGTTTCTCGACGCTGAAAAGACAGGACCATCCAAGGGAAAAGTATTCAGTCCCAATTCTTCTTACATTTTCAAATGTTCATTGACATTAATAAGAGGCAATTTGCTAAATCTGTACTGGGGCTTCAAGAATTTAAAGGTTAGTGGCTGTGTGTGTGTGTGTGTGTGTGTGTGTGTGTATGTGTGTGTGCATGTGTATTTCTAGGGGGAGATTCCAACACTGCTGTATTCTGTCATCCCAGGAACATGTTAAATATGCATCTCAATGTCAGCAGCAGCTTGGGATGTTATCATCTCCAAAACTATCACCTGCCTTCTGAAAACCATAACCCTAAAAATATTGATTGGTTAAAAGGCAGTATCTGAAGGCATGAGTCAGTGTCTCGCTGGATTATCCTAATCAAATAAGGATAGTATTAGCCCAGATACTCACTGATCTGCCAGTATTTGGTTTGAAATGTAGGCATCTCAACTAAAGTTATGTGTTTCATTTTTTTGAATATTTCTTCCAGACATTTAAATACATTACCACTAAGCAAGAACCAAGAAAAGCATAAAAAGCATTTTAGGGAATAAATTCAGCAAGTTTCCATTTGTACCAGATAGTAAAATTGTTGACATGCATTAGGAGGCATGTGTATTGTTCAGCCTGTCGGGTCTCAGTCACGTGCTCAAGGTTTAATATTTTGGCTGCCAGGGGTTATGCAGAAAGGTCCCAGACCTTTAAGGGAGCAGTGCTTCTTTGTAAATAGAAAGATACTTTCCAAGTCACCTGGCATAACTATTTAAGCAAGTCAGAAGAGAAGCTTATTTCATTAATTATGCCACAAATTAACTTCAGTGAAGGGTAACCAGCTAAATACAGGATGAAAGGACTGGTAGGAATTCTCTCCATCAAAGTGTTAAGCTTTACGCAATTTTATTTAGAAGCACTTCCATTACTAAGGAGGCTATGAATTGACAACTGTGTCTCAGAATTAACTACAGTGGTAAAAACACAAATTGCGGCAGGGCGCGGTGGCTCACGCCTGTAATCCCAGCACTTTGGGAGGCCGAGGCGGGCGGATCACGAGGTCAGGAGATCGAGACCATCCCGGCTAAAACGGTGAAACCCCGTCTCTACTAAAAAAAAAATACAAAAAATTAGCCGGGCGTAGTGGCGGGTGCCTGTAGTCCCAGCTACTTGGGAGGCTGAGGCAGGAGAATGGCGTGAACCCGGGAGGCGGAGCTTGCAGTGAGCCGAGATCCCGCCACTGCACTCCAGCCTGGGCGACAGAGCGAGACTCCGTCTCAAAAAAAAAAAACAAACAAACAAACAAAAAAAACAAAACAACAACAACAAAAAAACCACAAATTGCAAACCAGCACCAAGTCACAAAGGGGAAGGAGAAAAGAGAAGTAGTAAAAGTCAGGCACTCATATGTACTCTTCATTTTCCTTTCTGCAAATAAGTCTTAGACCAGCTGCCCCGAGTCCTACATTAGTATGAGCAAGCCAGGTTACTGTTACGCAGAGAGTCTAATGAGAAATGCTAACACAAGGGTCTTTATTTCTGTTCTCATTTGCTTCTGTTTCCAGAGGAGTCTAGATTTTGTTGGAGGTAAATGACTGTTTCCTTTGCTTGATGTGCTAGGATGAAATATGATTGGGAAAAAAAAAGGAGAATCTCTACTGGGAAGTGTTGGGACTATGAACTGTTTGAGTGGGCCATTGAGCAATGTTCCAGCGGAATATTGTTTGTAGTGAGGGGTGGATGTGATAAGTGCTTGGAGCTCACTTAATGTCATCACCATCTTTGAATTCTTTTGTGGGCACTACTCATTCTTCCCAGGGAGTATTAATTATGGCAATTCTGCTCTTTTTGTTCTTTTCATGAGAAATTAGCACATATTAAAATTAAACTTTAATCCATATCAGAGTGATAACCCTTTTTCCTCATTTCCTAATTTCCTGACTGATTTTTTTCAAGATTAAGGACACAGAAAAATACTTATGTTTCCCACAAATGGCCAAGGTGGAATTTTTTCAGAAAATCACTAATTATAATCTATTGAAAAATAACTCACGTATTGTGATATATACATCTTTGTATCTCCTATAGTGACATTTTGTTGACTAAACCAATAATTGTTGAATAAACCAGGAAGACATTTTGCTTTTATTTGCACATCCTTTCAATGTACCAAGTGCTCACCTACAAGCTCTTTTGCTATTGAGAAGTGGCAATATGCTAGCAGCCCTCGCTCGCTCTCGGTCCCTCCTCGGCCTCGAGGCCACTCTGTGCCACTCTGGCCGGTGAGGAGCCCTTCAGCCCGCCCCTGCACTGTGGGAGCCCCTCTCTGGGAGACAGAGAGGCCGGAGCCGGCTCCCTCTGCTTGCGAGGAGGTGTGGAGGGAGAGGCGCGGGTAGGAACCGCGGCTGCGCGCGGCGCTCGCGGGCTAGCGCAAGTTCCGGGTGAGCGCGGGCTCGGCGGGCCCCGCCCTCGGAGCGGCTGGCCGGCGCCGCTGGCCCCGGGGAGTGAGGGGCTTAGCACCCGGGCCAGCAGTTGCGAAGGGTGCGCGGGGTTCCCCAGCAGTGCCGGCCCTCGCGCGCGGCGCTCGAATTCTCGCTGGGCGTCAGCTGCCTCCCCGCAGGGCAGGGCTCGGGACCTGCAGCCCGCCATGCCCGAGCCTCCTCCCCGCCGTGGGCTACGCGCCGCCCGAGCCTCTTGAAGTCAGTGAGACCAAGAACCCGCCAATTCCGGACACACTATTAGAAGATAAGCTCACAGCAGAGCAAACTTTATTACTATTTTAAACATAAGGAAGCCGACTCTATGATGAAGAATTAGCACAGGTTATGTGGCTGGCAATTGCTGGATTCTTCAGTAGAACTCCTGATTCTAGATGTGTAAGTATTATGCTAAACTTCCTTTGTCAGTCTATAAAATCTTAAATTTTTACTCAATATGGGAAATTTGTATTCTATTGGCTTTTTATCTCTGGTTACCCCAAATCAGAGTAAAGTTAGTTGAAATCCTCAAAGCATGTCTGAATTTCTGGGAGTAGAGTTGTGCTAGATCTGGCTCCACAGGGGCTCAGCTCGCCAGCTGATTCAGCACATCTTTTTCACTTTCGCATTGAATGATACAGCCTTGGCAGCTTGAACTCAGCCATGGCATGAGTGTTTACACCATGGAAATCGGCAAACATCATATACAAATTATGCCCCCTGCATCTCCACACCGAGGGTCAGTTGTCGAGTGTCTACCAGCATACTGCTGCTAGAAATCTGGGCACTTTGGCAAAAAAACAAAACAAAAACAAATAAACAAAAAACCAGACCTTGCAACTGGGTTTCTTGATGCTTAGACTCTGTTCCAATGTGCTGAATTTGTAAGACATGACACCAAGTTCCTTGTGAAATCTTTTGAGTATATCCCCTTGTGGTCTTTTGAAATTGTATGTGGAAGAACATCAAAGTATCTTCTCCAAAAGGGAGAATGAGATCTGGGAACAAAATTAGCTACTTGTTTAAGGCTATGGGTGTTTGTGAACATGTGAGTGTGCTTTAAATTACACATAATTTTAAACAACTGTGTAAAAAGAGTTTTAAAAGTTTAATGGTGCTGAACCAAGCATAGGATTAAAAATTGAAAAGAAAATACGAAATTATACCTTGTTGTTCTGCTTTAAAAAAAAAGTTTCCTTCTCATTTGCAATTAAGATGCTGATAATTTGCATAAAATGTGTAAAATTAGAGATAATTGAACTACAGTAGCTATAAAAGTGGCTTTTCCATTTAAAAAATAAATCAGATGTCCACTAAAAGGGTGTAAGGACCATTCCCCTGTCTCTTCCCTCTTCCATTTGGGTCTCTGGTATTTTTCACACTTTTATAGCTGATTTTTATTGCCAAACAATCCGTGGAGTTTGTGCAGCTCCAAGACAGCAGCTGGCCCAGGCAGGCCTGTTAACTCTGGCATGTTAAGAACCCTTCAGAAGATTTCAAATCCAGCCTCAGCAGCCAGGTCAGTAGATCAAATCCAGGGAGACCTCAGGGAGGCTGCAGTCAGGGCGGGAGGAAAGAGGTACATGGGGAAAAAAAGACAAGGAAAGCCAAAATACAGAAATCCCTTTAAACTAAACATCAATAGCTATTTTTGTTTCCCTGTACCAGGGCTTCCCCTGGGAACCTCAAGTTTAAAGGGGCCAATCTGGAAAAGAGTACACCAATGATCAAAGTGGCCACAAATAATGGCCCCAGACTGGTGTTTGTTTCTATTGAAGGAGGCTTTCTTCCCAGGATGAGGTACAGTCTCCATTCTGAAGATAAAGTCAGGACCAGCCCTAAGCTACTTTGCAAAACATGTCTCAGGCCTGTTCCTGTCTGCCCATAGCTGAGGTGGGCTTTAGCTCTTTCTCTTTGGAGCTCTGGCATATGATGATATGTGCGATTTATTTTGCTACTGTACTGAGATGTTTATGATTTTGAATATTGGCAGGTGTTCTCTTCATTTTGTCTCATCTTGCTTCTTCCATGAAAGCATAAGAACTTCAAGGGCAGAGACTATGCTTATAAGCAGAGTATTGGTAGTGGAGGTGAAAGTGGGTGGGCAGATTTCAGTGTTAAAACATGACATCGAAAGTGCTCACATGAGAAAAAATGTTGAATTCTGAAAATGTGATGAAGCTCTTAAAGCTATATAAATAGAAAAATGCTAGCTGTAGTTCTATATCTTCTGATACAGAGTAAAAATCATCGTTTTTGTTAAAATATTATGAGTAATAACAAAGACAAGTGGTCTTTTAAAGTGAGATCTCTCATACTAAGCCATTTTATCTGTGACCCTCAAACATCTGCTCATGCTGTGTCTATGTGTTATGCAATAGATCCCAGAGCATCTAGGAGGTATGTAAAAAATGTTTGTTGATTTGATTTGACATCGCTTATTCTCAGGATTTTAGAGCCCTGACAGCCAGCTCTATCTGGAGGGGTCTTTCTCAGCATAATCCTTTGTCGCTAATATTACTACTCAATCTATGTCACATCTCTTTAAAATGATATATTTTAAGAAATCCTACAATTGCCTTAGGTTTCTACTCTCTCTTTAGAAGTTAGTAGCTGATTTGATAATAGGCAATAAGGTTATTGATCTAGTATGTGAGCCCTGCCTAGTAGTTTGTTTGTGTTCAAGTTGGGGCATCCTGGAAATGATGTGTCAACCCATAATAGTGATTTTGCTAGCACCCGAGACACCACAGAAGGCCAGTGGGAATTAACAGTAGCAGAATGCAAATATTCAGAATCCCAGCAAACCGCACTACCAGAAAGCTGTCCTCCATTTTTCTATTAGGCCAACCTATTAGGTTGTGCTCTTTATTAGCTATAGGTATCTCTGTTTTACTTACACTATGGCATGCCCATTTCCCATAAAGAATCAACATCAACATGAAAGTATTTCTACATATTCTAATTTCCATGTAAAGGCGCATGACTAAAAATGTATTCATATTTAGTAATATGTATGAAATCTACCTCCTATACAACGTACATAATACATAACAATTCTTTATATATCCTCACCAAAAGTTCTT
Organism: Homo sapiens; assembly: GCF_000001405.40. Taxonomy (NCBI): domain Eukaryota; kingdom Metazoa; phylum Chordata; class Mammalia; order Primates; family Hominidae; genus Homo; species Homo sapiens. Next base: position 59,070,111 of record NC_000002.12, read on the forward strand.
AGTACATAAGGATGACGAAGGTCTGAAAGTGTTCTGTGGAGAGGTATCTTGAAAAATGAGGCATGGGGTGTCTCAGGCAAGAGAGGGCAGGCATGCTGTCAGCGACATCTGGAACATGGAGATTGGCACATGTGGCTGAGAGAACTGAAATACATGTTGCCATTTTCCTCTTTTCATTCACATTGAGACCTCAGAATCATTCTCAACACAGTGTTCCAGGAAGCAGATAATTGCGGTTGGCTAGAGCAACAATGTCTCTTTGGCATTCAGGATATGTATCATAGGAAAATATGGTAAATAATGCTGGAAGTAGAATGTGCAAGTTTCTGGGTTGTTTTTTCTAGTTGGTGAGTAGAGGGTCTTCCAAACCTTGGGAAAGTTATGTGCTTAATGAATATTTAATTCAGCTATTCTTTTCTTTATAATCCATTACCAGATTTCCAGCCTGTCTACGTGGGTATGCAAAAATGCAAAACTAGCTTTCATTAAAAGTTGGTGTAAGAAACAGAAAAGAAATAGGTATAAAACGTGCCTCATATGATCTCAAAGTTTCTGCCAGTGTGCCTCAAACTCGAATGTTAGCTCTCTAGCTCTCTAATGTCAGATAAGCCCCTTCACAAGCCCATGTGATTTCTGTGATAATGAGGACAAGGCTATAAGACGATTGAGGGCTTTGGAGGATACCATGGGGCATTTGGGACCACCCTACCTTCATCTTTTCGCTCAGACTTTTCTTGTGTGATTTTTGGATGTCCCCTCTCAGAGGGAAATGATGCCTCAGTGCCTTCCCTCTAATGTGGAAACTGCCTTTACCCAATGTAAATTCCATAATTTTTAAAAAACTCAATAAACTAGATATTGATGGAATGTATCTCAAAATAATAGGAGCTATTTATGACAAACCCACAGCCAATATCACACTGAATGGGCAAAAGCAGGAAGCATTCCCTTTGAAAACCGACAGAAGACAAGGATGCCATCTCTCGCCACTCCTATTCAACATAGTATATTAGAAGCTCTGGGCGGGGCAATCAGGCAAGAGAAGGAAATAAAGGGTATTCAGATAGGAAGAGAGGAAGGCAAATTGTCCCTGTTTGCAGACGACGTGATTCTATATTTAGAAAAGCCCAGCATCTCAGCCCAAAATCTCCTTAAGCTGATAAGCAGTCAACAAAGTCTCAGGATACAAAATCAATATGCAAAAATCACGAGCATTCCTATACACCAATAATAGAGAGACAGCCAAATCATGAGTAAACTCCCATTCACAACTGTTACAAAAAGAATGAAATACCTAGAAATACAACTGTACAAGGGATGTGAAGGACCTCTTCAAGGAGAACCACAAACCACTGCTTGAGGAAATAAGAGAGGACACAAACAAATGGAAAAACATTCCATGCTCATGGATAGGAAGAATCAATATCGTGAAAATGGCCATACTGCCCAAAGTAATTTATAGATTCAGTGCTATCCCCATCAAGCTATCATTGACTTTCTTCACAGAATTGGAAAAAACTACTTTAAATTTCATATGGAACCAAAAAAGAGCCTGTATAGCCAAGACAATTTTAAGCAAAAAGAACAAAGCTGGAGGCATCATGCTACCTGACTTCAAACTATACTACAAGGCTACAGTAATCAAAACAGCATGGTAGTGGCACCAAAACAGATATATAGACCAATGGAACAGAATAGAGGCCTCAGAAATAACACCACACATCTACAACCATCTGATCTTTGACAGACCTGACCAAAACAAGCAATGGGGAAAGGATTCCCTATTTAATAAATGGTGTTGGGAAAACTGGATAGCCATATGCAGAAAACTGAAACTGGCTTCCTTACACCTTATACAAAAATTAACTCAAGATGTATTAAAGATATAAATGTAAGACCTAAAATCTTAAAAATCCTAGAAGAAAACCTAGGCAATACCATCCAGGACGCAGGCACAGGCAAAGACTTCGTGACTAAAACCCCAAAAGCAATTGCAACAAAAGCCAAAATTGACAAATGGAATCTAATTAAATTAAAGAGCTTCTGCACAGCAAAAGAAACTATTATCAGGGTGAACAGGCAACCTCTAGAATGGGAGAACATTTTTGCAATCTATCCATCTGACAAAGGGCTAATATCCATAATCTACAAGGAATTTAAACAAATTTACAAGAAAAAAACAACCCCATCAAAAAAATGGGCAAAAGATATGAGCAGACACTTTTCAAAAGAAGACATTTATGTGGCCAACAAACATGAGGAAAAGCTCATCATCACTGGTCATTGGAGAAATGCAAATCAAAACCACAATGAGATACCATCTCACACCAGTTAGAATGGTGATCATTAAAAGGAGGTCAGGAAACAACAGATGCTGGAGAGGATGTGGAGAAATAGGAATGCTTTTACACTGTTGGTGGGAGTGTAAATTAGTTCAACCATTGTGGAAAGCAGTGTGGCAATTCCTCAAAGATCTGGAACTAGAAAAACCATTTGAAACAGCAATCCCATTACTGGGTATGTACCCAAAGGATTATAAATCATTCTACTATAAAGACACATGCACATGTATGTTTATTGCAGCACTGTTCACAGTGGCAAAGACTTGGAACCAACCCAAATGCCCATCAATGATAAAGAAAATGTGGCACATATACACCATGGAATACTATGCAGCCACACAAAAGGATGAGTTCATATCCTTTGCAGGGACATGGATGAGCTCAAAACCACCATTCTCAGCAAACTAACACAGGAACAGAAAACCAAACACTGCTTGTTCTCACTCCTAAGTGGGAGCTGAACAATGAGAACACATGGACACAGGGAGGGGAACATCTCACACCAGGGCCTGTCGAGGGGTGGGGGGCTAGGGGAGGGATAGCATTAGGAGAAATACCTAATGCAGATGACGGGTTGATGGGTGCAGCAAACCATCATGGCACGTGTATACCTATGTAACAAACCTGCACGTTCTGCACATGTATCCCAGAACTTAAAGTATAATAAAAGAAAAAAGAAAAAATACAGAAACAGACAAGACAGAAAAAAGAGTCTTTCTGTAATATGGAAACTTCAAGCAGAGGACTCAAGGTATTTTATTTTATCAAACTGGATCTAATTTCACCAAAGCATTAGAAAGAAATCTGTTTGGCATTTTTGTTGTCCAGTATTCCACCCACTCTGAAGACATTAAAAAGCCACCTTTCGGCTTTACAGATGCCTCCGTGGAACACGGAATTATGTAATTGGACGAACAGTTACCACTTTTCCACACTCTTGCTACCCCATGTTACTGCTGAGCAGACTACTGTTTTGCAGGCCTTCCTTATTGCGTAAATGGCTACATTATCACTGTGTACACATTAGGACAAGCAAATGGGCCCCTTAAGGCAAATAAGGGTTCAAATAACCCAGACAAGGTAGCACAACTGAATTGAGGATTCACCCTTCTTACAACCTTATTGCTTTATGGCACATGAACTAACGGAAGGGACAGACTGCTTCAAGTGTGTTTCCTCTGATCCTGTTGGCAAATCATAGCTTTATTACAGTAATGAGTCTGACCATATTTCTGTGCTTATGCATATTAGGCACCAAATGTATTTTCTGGCCTGCCAGCCTGTGGTAGTAACTAACACGAGCAATTTGTCCTGGGTTACAGTGTGTGTGCATGCATTAGGTATGAACATGTTAGTTGCTCTGGGTTATAAAACACTACATGTTTCATCACGTGTATTTTTATGTGCACAACTTAACTATATGCAAAATAGCCTGGCAATTAACCAACACAACTTATTAGTAGGCTACAAGATTATTCCATAATCTTGGGGAAAGCCACAATTTCAATTTAGCAATATTAAACATTCCATAGAATTATTAAATACCTAAGGAAAATGCTGAATTTTTTTCCTCTATAAGTGTTAAGATTTTTAAAAAATACCCTTATTCTCCTCTCAATTTCATTTTCATAACTCGGAATGACTCCTTTTTAGGAGAATTTGGGATTTTAGACCGTGTATTCCCCTATACTCATTGTGAGATGATATTTGGCCTTTGACCACAACCATTTTCAGGTAAAGGTAAATGATCATTATTGTAATTGTTGCCTCAGGATCATATTTTATGTATGCCATTTATTGGGTTCATTATTATGAAAAAGTGACATCAGCATAAATTTCAGCTCAACCAGTAAAAACAATGTATTTTTTTCCTTCCCTTTCTATTGATGAAGCATAGGCCTGGTGCTGTTTGCTTGATTGTATAACTGTATAGGAAGCATACTAATAATTCAGGGGCTTACTTTAAAAGAACATACATGTGGAAATACATCCTCTTGCGCTCTTAATTAAAATTAGCTCTTTCTCTCACTCCCCTGCAAAATAAATCAATAAATATATAAACAAAAAGAAATAAGTAGGTGAATAAAGAATTAGAATCAGTCAAAAACCTCTGCTAACAGAATTACCCTTGCTGCTTCCACACAGTTGTTTTAGGTTGTCAGAGATTTACTTTTTTCCTCCATTCGGGTTGGATTTATGCAAATGACCACACAGGACAGGTGCCTTTATTTAGTCACTACTAAAGCTGGAATCATGTTGTACAAGAGCTGATAACATGAAATAACACGAAATAAGTGGGCTTATCCCTTCTGAAGCTTGTTTTACAGTACTGGTATTTCTCTTTAGCAAATCCTGCTGCGTTTTTAAGTATTATGATAAAACAACATAAATGTCTTTGTGGCTAAAACTGATTGTTTCAGAAAGAACACGGCTGTTTTATTCTTGTCTTTTATATCCTCTACATTGAATGTTTGAACACATTTACAGTTCCCTGGTCTATGTGTATATCATGGGTTATTTGCTTATGGACCCCACAATTATTCATGCACTGAAGAAAGCAATAAGGGGAGGAAACTCATATTGGTAATAGCAGCACCCCAAATAAATAGAAAACCAAGACTGCAATGTGCCTTTTGCAGTCCTGTCACAGATTAATATGGCTCATGATAGATACTTAGTTCTCTGACAGTTTCCCATGGACCTTCGCTGGGAAGTTGATAGAAATTACTCCAGCTGAATGCTTAAAGCAGATGTTATCCCATTAATTAGCTTTGGACCTGGGTACACTCGAGACTTTCCCATTTTGAGGCCGAAAGGAATTGGTCCCAGTGAGCGTGCTCTATATCCACATTTAGTATCATCTCATAAACAGCAGTGAAAACACAGCAGGCCCTTGATGAAGATACATTAGCTTATTTCTAATTTAAAGTTATGTTGCTTAACCTTAATGTAATTGGTCACTGGTGGCCAACTGTTTGTATAGTGTGTTGATGACCAAAGAGATGTAATAAATTATAAAACTCTCTGCTTAAATGGAGGGAACGACTGCTTTGTTAAAAGCCTTGCATGTAATAATGGTAAAATAATTACACCTCAAGCCAAATAACTGTGAAGCTGTTAATACTAACAACAGAGTTGTTCTCAGGATAGCTCAGTTCATCCCCATTTAAAACTAGTACATGAACGAGGCTCTTATATTTAGCCAAAGAGTAACTTTGAATGTTCAATCTCACATTGATTAAAATAAATGAGTAAGTTATCCTGTTACATTATTTGGGAATGATGGTGATGAGTAGTGGTGGTGGAGTGAATTAAAATATGTAGCCAATTGCTATGGTTAACTAGGAAACAAAAAGTGCAAATAATTCTATTCAGTACCTCAATTCATAGTCACCGCCAGGCACATTTTTAAAGAAGACTTGATTAGCTGGTAGAATAACTGGGATAATACTCCAATATGAAAGTAATTGACACAACTTTAATGCTTAATAATGAATAGCATGCTAGGGGCGAAATAAAGGCAAACTGTCTTCTTTTCTGAGAACAAGTTCAGACTTAAAATTTCTTAGGCCAAATATAGTGATTCCTTGAGGCTTGTGAGTTGCAACTCCAGCATTATAGGTAAAGTTACAAATATGATTACAATGAAATACCGTGAGCAATAATATTCGTGCTATTAGTTTTCTATATGTTACTGTTGAAAATCTGCTTCTCCCTCTCCATATTAAAGGCTTGCAAATTTAGGTTAAAATGCAAAAGTGAAATAAACATATCCATGCTTCTGCCTGTGTGTTCTTTTTTCCTTCCTCATTCGATTGTGTTAACTAGCTTTGCTGTAACAAGTAGGAAAAGTACAGTATTTGCTTTTCTCAAAAGATAGTCCTTTACTCTAAATATTTGCATTCTGAATTTGGATCACCTCCAAAGGGCATTCATTTTACAATAGAGTAAAAACATCTCTCTTCTCACATTACATTTCCTAGAAAGACCTTCCAATAATTTAAACTATTTACAGTACCTCTAGGTCATTATTTCCCCTGACTCCACCGAAAATACCCTGAGACACTATTTACAGCTGACTCCTGAGTTACCTCACAGGATCAGTTTACAAAACGGAGACTTCACCATGTGAAAGTCATTATTTTGTTTAACACAACTTGCAATGTTAAGTGTTTTTTTTTCTTTCTCTTTCTTTTGTTTTTTTTTTTTTTTAAATTTGCCACTTTTACACAAATACTGCCTTAGCTGATAGGAAAACCCTGGAAGCTCAGATATGAATATATTTATCTCTCCAGGGCCAATCTGTTGATACTAACTGGATCTAATCCATGAAACAAAAAAGGGTGATAGGAAAATAGCAGAAGAATAAAAGAAATTTTTCCTTCTTGAACAAAAGAGAAACTTCTTATGAAATTAAAAATTCTGCATTATGAATAATAACCTATCAGAGGTTTCTAAACAGAGGATAGTGGGCTGTCCCATCAAGACCATGCTAATTGAGGCAATGAAGGGGGAAGTCCCCAACTTTGTACAGAGACTAGTGGTGCTCTGGGAATAACTTCAGAGCTACCCTTCTTAAGAGTAAAAATGACTCCGTTGCTGTTCCAACTAAAAATCAATATGGCTCACAATTTTAATAAGGAACATGAATCTGAAAACGTGTTTAGTATCAGGTTATATAAACACACCCTAATGAGATACCATAAAATCCATCACATTAAAGGCTGGTTTCCTGCAAGGTATATTAGCTAAAAATGCTCCATATATTAGGTCAGTATACAGCAGTACACATAATAAAACAGCTCTGTCAAGATAAGATGCATGTTTTGCCCCTTAAAACTGTTATGTTTTGCACATTTTATAAGGTTCCTTGAATACATGAATAAGATAAGTTATTCCCATCTCTTTCTTAAGCAATCTCAGAAATGGCTATGACCTGAAATTGGAATTCTTGTAAACACCCATCCGAAGAAAATGTGTGCAGCTCTGTCTTAAAGAGATGGTACATGTTTAATTATCCCAACTTCTTCTAGCAGAATACTATTAACATGCACATTAGCATCATCTCATTGGTTCTTCCTGCTGCTCCACCTTAGGGGCAGCAGTAGGAGCTAATCTTATTGCTCCCATGCGCATAATAATGAAATTTGGTCTTGTCTCAAGGCAGCGTTCTTTGGTCTAAAGTACAGCTGGAGACATTACTGTTTTGGAACATTCCTGACCGATTGATTGTAAAACATAAAGAAGTAAAATAAAATATAGTCCCAAACAATGCTTGTGAAACATATTGTTTTACTTTGAGCATCAAATATCGAACAATTGAAGGTACGAATGACTCTATGTTTGAATAAAGACATAAGTGGAGGGAAATTCTTAAGATACCTCTATCTGTGTACATGCCAACAAGCACACCCCATGTATAAACCCCAATCAACGTGTACCTGTGAAAGTTCTGTTTCTGAACACTACCTTTAGCTGTATACAGGCAGGACAAAAATAAGCCAAAACCATAGAAAGAGCCCTTTTCTCATGTCTTTTTCATCCATTTTCCAAAAAACAATGACAAGAGCTCATGGAATGTGTAATGTGCTTGCCTTTTTGCATGCAACGTTGGAAAGCTTAAAAAAAAACTATGCATACACTACATAGCACACACAAAAATACTTGTGAATTCAAGGCTACTGAATTAAGGGAGGTTGTTCCAACATTTCCCTCACTGTACATTATTTGTATTCAAGGTTTTTGAAATGACATTGTAATCTGATGATGCACCAGCCTATTATATTGTCTAGCAGGACAAATATCCTTGCGTTTTCTCTGTAGAACTAACACAATTTTTCCATGTCAGAGGTGCATAATATCCTGGCGGTCATAAGGAATGATGCTATTAATCCTCTTGGGCAATCTCCAGGTCTGATTATTAGGGAAATAAATTTGCATGCTGCATATGAGCTAGGTGAATCACCGAGAGCACAAATTATATTTCCTGACAGCAAGTTAGAGAATGGAGCCGTGTCGCTTTTTTATCTTTCCCCCCTTCTGAAAGCTATAGAATTTCAATTCATTACATGAGATTGGTTAGAATTCAAGTCTCTTTTTAAGTTGATATTAAGTTGAGTCTGTTATCTCTGCAAAGGCTGGTAGGTTCCCCAGAGTATCCACCTAATCACTACTTAAAAAAATCGAAATGTATAGTTAGTGTCATGATTTAGGTACCAGAGCTACTTTATTTATCAGCACAGAGTGAGATAATTTCAATTTGAGCCTCCATAGCCCTCATGAATTTAACTGACGTGAAAGCTTTTCACCCCAACTCTCCTTCTCCCTCCTCCTTTTGTTGCATATTGTAATAATAGTTATTCTGTGCACCTTCGTTGTTGCCATGCCAAGCATTGTACTAGACTCCTTCCTTTCTCGTAGAGACTCGATTCTAGCCAGGCTTGTGCAAAACATCCCCTAGTTTCTTTTTCCACATCTGACTGCCTCCTCTCTGCCAGCAGTACTGCCAGGCGTGTCTGCGTTCAATATCCATGATGAATGTATTTTTATTATTTCTAGGGTTTGGCATCAGAGAAAGCTTCTTGCATTATTAAATTTGAGCAGGGAGAATGATAGCAAATAAGAGCATAATAAATTGCTTTATGTCCTAATGAATTAATTAAGCAGACATTTATTATAATGGTTGTTTTATAGACCCATTGTAAAAATGTATGATTGTGTGGTGATACTCTTAGCTGGAGCCACATATGGCAACTCGGGTGAATGGGTTGTGACGTCTGTCAGATAGGAAAGGGTTCACCAGGTCTAGTCTGCAAATTCACAAGGATGCAATGAACCTTGCTGAGGTGTGAGTTTGGTGAAATATTATTGCTATGGCTAGCATGCAGGCAAGTTGAGAATCCTTTTATTATTATTGTGGTTGTGCATAAAAATAAAAATATGCATACCATGTGCAGTCAAATAGCTTATATTTGTATAGTGTTTTATAGTTTTTAAAGTATATTTACAGATGAATGCACCACAAAAAGAAACAGCAGGTTATGGAGGCTTCCTTCAATTCAAAAATGTATATCATTACCATTGTTTGAAACAGAAATATATGTACACTTCAGAATAATAAGAGTAATGGCAAATCCAAGAGGCGGACAATTTTGGAATATGTAAGCTCTAAGTGTTTTAGATTATATTTATTTACTCAGAGCAAACCAAAGCGGCACAGCTCAAGGGTTATATCTGGGCCTAGTGATTACTTGAGCCATGGGTAATTGTCAGAGAAACAATTCATTCTTTATCTTGCTTCTTCACAGTGGGTCAAGTGACTCATCTGCCATTTTCCCAAAAATAATAATAAAATAATAAAGTAAGATAAAATAAAAGGCTGCAAATTCTTCCTTTGCTTTGCTTTCCCATATGGTTTGGGGCATTCCTTTTCAGAACAGAGGTACCTCTGAATCACAGGTGTGCTTTGCAGGCACATGGCTTGGGATTCTGCATAGTCAGGAAATATACCCTACTTTTAGGAAAAGGAGATAACAGTTTGAAAGAAATCAGAGAATGTCCGTGGGGAGGGACAGTGGGAGCCTGAAGGGTTGGTTTCTGTACCTCACTAGAGGCATGAGGGCTATTTTTGGCTTCAAGTAGCAGTGCTTTTCAGCAGTGTTGAGTTTAATTCCTGTGTAAGTCTGGGCACTGAGACTGATTATAGAGGTGATTTGTAACATATTCAGGAAAGGACATTAGTTTAGAATCTGGGAATGCCTGAAAGCAGTTACTGCAAATAAACCAAACCAAGTTCGTCTCTAGCACTATCCTGGACTCCTCTCCCCAAGAATTCTGTATGCTGGATGGCCTCAAACAAAGTGTCAGAAGGATTAGGAAATGGGAGGGATGGAGAAGGCACAAGGCTGGAGTATGATGATTGTTGAGTGCCCGTGAAAGGCCTTGAGCCTGGCCACTGGCCAGCCCTGGAAAAGAACCGTTCAGGCCATGCAAAGTGCATCCATGAACTGGGAGCCAAACACCATGTGATCCAGAAAAATGCTTCCTCCCTCAGCAGTATGTCAAAACATTCATTCATTTCAGCGAAAATACATCAGTTTGACAAGTTCCTTTATATTTAGAACATGACAGCATCTGAGTGATTTGAGTTTGCTACTTTAGTACCAGTTGTTCAGATATATGTCTGGATTAGAGAAGGAATTTCCATTCCTAAAGGCCAGGCATCCTGCTGGGCACTTTGTTTATGTTCTTTTTTATGATCCACACCATAGCTTTACATGAGAAGGAGTGTAGGTCTACTGCAGATATGAGGTCACTGAAATTTGAGCAATTAAGTCAATGCCCTGGCTCATAGCTGGGAGGCGGTAGAGCTGGTATTCAAATATGATTATGACGCCTAAAGTCTCTTGTTTTTATTCTAGGGTTAATCTTTCTCCTAGACAGACAGAGAGAGAAAGGGAGATGGTGTTGGAGAGGAAGATGGAAAGAGAAGCATAGGGAGAAGAGAAAAAGAGAAAGTGAGGTAAAGGTAGGAGGAAGGAATGAGAAAAGGGAGAGTGAGAGACAGTGAGGAGAGGAGGAAGGGAGGGAGAGAGAGAGAAAAAAAAGGAGAGAGGAGAGAGAATGAGAGAATTTGAATCTTCAAAGGAAAAGGAAGGTAAATGTAATCGAAAATATTTCTCTATCTTTTCATACTGCCACTCCAACTGAGACTGGATACTATCTTAACATTAACAAGAATCACATGTAAACCACTTCTGTTTACTCTTGAGAGTTACAGGAAAAAGTTTGATGTTATATGACTTCTGGTCATTGCCTTTCTCAGAAGGTTTATCAGGGTACACAGGTAATGAAGCCTCGTGCCTCAGGATTATGCTCTTTAGACCCAGACAGAATTATGTATAAATTAAATCTTGATCATTTACTAGCTGTTGTTTCCTAGAGCAAGCCATTTAATTTCTTTGAATGTTCAATTATTAGTATTGTTGTTATTAATATTATTGTACTTAATAGACTCAATCATAAAACTTCATGAAGCACAGTAAATTCTCTCAGGTCTCTGGTCAAAATGCAAATTTGTATAGTTCAGACCATAAACCAGGCAGAATCCAATCCTCCTATGTCATTATCCACCTTGCATAAAAATGTGACACTGATTGCCTGGGCTGTAGACACTGAGGATGAAACCAAAAGCTGTAAGTGGCAGTGATTGTCCTCTCGCATTGTGATTGTGTGGATCGTGGTAAGGTGTTTGATTATAATAAAAGGAATCTACATGCCTTACATTTGTCTTGGCTTTTGCAGTGAATAAGATCTTATTTTTTTTTTTTTTTTTTTTTTTTTTTGAGGCAGGGCCTCACTTTGCCCTGGCTGGAGTGCTGTGTTGCGATCATGGTTCACTGCAGCCTCAAACTCTGGAGCTCAAGCCATGCTCTCACCTCAGTCTCCCAATGTGCTGGGATTACAGGCATAACTCACTGTGCCCAGCCTAAGAATGTTTACTTCAGTGATTCCCTGTGAGTTTCATAATTACCACAAGACATAAACACTTTCATTGACATGTTGCAGATGGGGAAACTGAGTTTCAGTGACATTTGAAATGACCTGCCCGATACCACAAATCTGTAATAGAAGAGGACATGAAACTCAGGTTTTCAGTTTCTTGTGTTCCTTTGGGGTCTGAAATTTCAGATTTGAATCTTAAAGTGAGGTATTTCAAAAAGAGGATGGAATATTTTCTACCAAATTATTCTGCCAGCTAAGGAAACTAGAAGACATCAAGCTTTATATAGAATCTGGATTCATGAGGTGAGTTGACTGATACATCTTTAAAAAATCTCACCGTTATAAGAACACTAATACCACTTACATTTATATAGGGCTTGGATTCCAGTGATTGCATACTTGTCCTAAAAGCAAAGGCTAGCTTTTCAGGATTTTGCCCAGGGCCCTGGAATCCACCAGGGAGATGGCAGTCTACTGCTAACTTCTGTGCAGTGACCTATCATGACAAAAAAGAAATTTCACACAGCCCAAGCAACTGACAAAACAGTTCACCTTTCAGGGAAAATGTAATATTTTCTGATAAGCAGCTTATGCTAGTTTTCTTAGCAAATAGCCTGGAAGCATTTCTGTCTGTGGCATTTCTAGATGTGATAAGTTGAAGGGAACCCTTCTGACCATGCCATAGTTAGGCAGGCCCTTTTCGTTCAGGGGACAGCTATTTGGAAAGATCTAAACACGTAACAATTTGAAAATGATATAAAATAATTGATCACAGAGACAGCCCAGAGCATGCATTGTTAACAGAAACACATGTCCCTGTTTATGGAGTTGTAAACAGAGACGTGTGTATTTATTGTTGGAGTTGGAGGCCAAAGCCTGAGGCAAGATTAGGTCAAAGCCTTGTCTCTTTTGCACATGGCCATGAATAAAAGCAATGCACATTTTTAGTAGCATTACTCTCCAATGTGTGTTCGAAGAACAGGGACAAGGTGGTAGGTGTTTCTATACTAGGCTTCATTTGCTCATCACAGAAACATAATGAAGAGATATTGTTGCCATTTGGTGAATGAAACACTGAGGACCAGGATCGTTTAGAAGCTTTCCTTATGTTAGGCAACTAATTAATAGTAGAGTTATGATTTCAACCACCTGGTTCCAAAGCCCAGGGTCTCCACCACGCCACTCTTCCTCCAGAAGGGAAAGAAGAGAGATGCATTGTGCAGACCTGGCCATGTGTCTGCTTCCTGTAGCGAGAACCTGGACTGCTCCAAAGACAAGAGATCTTGCTATGTTTTGCCCCTTTCTAATTACTCAAAGCAAACTCAAGGAGGTGCCGTATCTCCTCACATAGCTGATTGCCAAGAGCCTGGTCAGGCTCTGGAAAAAGATGAAGACAATTCTTTGGGGAAATTTCCAAGTGACTTACAGCCTTTGCATTGCAAAGAACACTACTGTGCCTACCCTTTGCTTTCATAAATTTGGTTGCAGGCTATTTTAAGGGAAAATGCATCCCATCTTCCCTTTACCTTGCAGGTATTCAGTAACTATTAGACCACATTTTAAAATGAATTGTGTGCACTGATGTTAGAGAAGGTTAGACTCTCTGAGCTGCCACCAGTGACATATGACTACAGTGACAGTCAGTCAGCAGTATTCAAACTGAATTAATCAGGAAACACAGCCTACTTCAATATGACGTTTAGAGGGAGGAGTGATAGCTACTTATTTACCAAAGGGATGTCACTGAACCATCTTTCTATCTAGAGATAGCCTATGGCTACATAATCCTTTCAAACCAGCAGTAGAGCAATAAACTACACTCAGAGCCAGCCAGGTCTTTCAGGCCGGTTCCCTCTTGTTCTCTTCTCTCATTCCTCAAGCTGGCTCTGGTTATTTTATTTTTGGCAAGGCCACAAGATAAAGTAGGGGTTCGAATCCCTTCTATGGGGACTGCAGGGACACAGCCTTTGGAGATGGAGGTGCTTTCTCTGATCATTCTCAAAAGTGAACATGCACATGTATCAGCACCCAGGAAGGAAGGAAATATGGTAATAACGGTGGTAGTGGTACCTTAATCTCACAAATATGTAATGCTAATTATGTAAACAGTGGAGAACTCTGAAATCTCTTCATCGTGTGTGTCATACAATGGAAATATTATGCAGCCTAACTCGACATTATACAGTAATAATGTTATTTCACATTGGCTAGTTGACAAGCATAGGCCAATGCTGTCTATCAAACAAAACTGTTGTGCCAGATTGTATCTTGGCGATAAGTAGAAGAAGAGCCACCCAGAGTCTGTTTGTGTATTAATCATGGCATCAGACTCAGGCCATTTCTGCAGGCATATCCTTTACTAAATAATTTGTAAATCTGCTGGTTACCAGGTATCTTAGTCACCTCCGGCCACCACAGGCAAATATTATAGTCAGAGTGGCTTCGACAACAGCAATGTAACAATTTATTTTCTCACAGTTCTGTAGGCTACAAATTTGAGATCAGGGTTTCAGCAGGGTGGGGTCCTGGTGAGGGCACCCGTCCTGGCTGGCAGATGGCCACCTTCTTGCTGCGTTTTCACATGGCAGAGAAGAAGATAGAGACACATTCTCTGGTGTCTTTTCTGATAAGGGCACTAATCCCTCATAAGGGCTCTACCCTTGTGACGTCTAAACCAAATTATCTATCAAAAGCCACGTCTCTAAATACCATTACACTGGGGCTTGGGGCTTCAACATATGAATGTAAGGGGGCTGGGGTGGCCATTCAGTCCGTAACAACACATTGTAGCTGAATATTTGTTGCTGAACCCCGAATCCGCCTTTTCTCATGAAACTTTTCTTTAAGCTTCAACTTAAGTGTGTTTTAATGATTTTTTGTCTTTGATTCCCTTTTTTTCCTAAGAATTTAGAAAATCATCTTCTTGTATCTCCCTAAACCGTCATGCCACTCACACTTACACAGGTGAGGCATATGCCACACAAATTTGCCGTGAAGGGAAGCAAATCGCTTTGCATGCAGGTACAGTCAAACTTGGTGAAGACTTACGGAATGATTATGACACTTGTCCTAAGAACAAGTACTTTACTTCTAGAACAGACCCAAAATAACTTGTACATTTTTGTAAGTCACCATTCCTCCTTTCTACCTAATGCTTAACTCACGCACTTTTTTTTTAACTTTCCATAATAGTCGCGGTAGGATAAGAATATTCAGATCTCAGTGCCAGAGTAAGTCTGAAGCCAAACTTAGAGTAAGCATATCTGTTGAATATCTCCTGAAAGCAACACTGATGATTTTCTTCATACAGCAGCCAGTGTTGGACTATTTCAGATGAGTTGTTGGATAAAAATGCCCTCATTCTTTAGGTGATATGTATCTAGATGGAAATCAAAGGTGAAATTCTTTTTCTTCTTCTTTCCTTTTTTTTTAAAGAATTGCAAAAAGCCTGAGAGGCTTATACCATTGAAGGAAGAGATTATTGAGTAATTACCAGTCAGGACTGACTTGTTAAGAGCTTGGTGAAACTTGAAGGCTGAGTCTACATAGCATAAAGTGAAGAGGGTATTTGGTAATTATTATTTAATTTGAGCAATCTTTGCCAAGAGGTCCTTTTACAATTAATTAGTCTTCATTTAAATACAATTTCATAAGTGGACCCCAAAGTATCACCTCAGGAGAAAAATGCAGTACCAATAATGATACTATATCAAGAAATATCATAATGGAACCTATGACGTGGCACAAATAATTATCCAAGGCCAAACAAAGCAATCCTTAATGCTGAGACTATTAGTCTCATATTCCTATTAGAGATATGTTCCTCTAGCTCTCTCTGCAAGAAAGAAAAATATTCAAGACCCATATAGAAAGAGTAATTAGTAAAATGCTTCAATTAGTGCAGATTAATTTTGCTGTTTGATTTGAACCTAGAAAATGTCATTAAGTAAACTTTTCAAGATTTATCAAGGAATTTTTTTCTACAAGTTTGTAGTGCAAATAGAGAAGACCTTTTAATCTGACTTGGAGGAAATCCAGGATTGGAGGATAATGCACACTTATTGCAACAGTTCTTATATATATATAATATATATTTTATATAATATATATATAATATATATTTTATATAATATATATTTTATATAATATATATATATAAAACTCAGCTCAATTCATTTCAACTACCTATAAAGTACATATGTATGTGACACCTACTCCGTCCCAGGCACTGTGTTTTCTAGGTAATGAGCTGCTGCTAGATGGCAAATGCTTTATAGGCAGGAACCACATCTTAATAGGCATTGCATCTCTGATGCCTAGCAACAATATTCAAGTGCGAATGTGGCAGTGTGTTTGAGGAATGCAGTCCTGGATAGGATTTAATAATGAATGCTAGGGTAGTAGGACATGGGACCTGAGCATGAAGGGCCTTGAATACAGTCAAGAGAGTCTCAGAAAATAATGATATAGAGACCAGAGAATGTTTCTGTAGTATAGACTGCAATCCACCTAGTAGTCATGCCATTATCCAGTACAACAGTCAGCAATTTTTTTTTGTAAAGAGTGAGATAGTAAATATTTTGTGCTTTGTGGGTCACAGGATCTCTGTTACAGCTACGCAGTTCTGCAGACACTGTAGCAAGGAAATCAGCCATGGACAATATGTAAACAAACGGATTAGATGGATTTAACCTATGGGCCACAGTTGGGCAACTTCTGATCTAATTTGATGTTAGCCATTCTCTTTTCTAACAAAAGACTATTTGACTGTAATATGAATGGCAACAGCAATTCTTTTTTTTTTTTATTATTTAAGTTTTAGGGTACATGTGCACAACGTGCAGGTTTGTTACATATGTATACATGTGCCATATTGGTGTGCCGCACCCATTAACTCATTATTTAGCATTAGGTATATCTCCTAATGCTATCCCTCCCCGCTCCCCCCACCCCACAACAGTCCCCGGTGTGTGATGTTCCCCTTCCTGTGTCCAACTGTTCTCATTGTTCAATTCCCACCTACGAGTGAGAACACGTGATGTTTGGTTTTTTGTCCTTGCCATAGTTTGCTGACAATGATGGTTTCCAGCTTCATCCATGTCCCTACAAAGGACATGAACACATCCTTTTTTATGGCTGCATAGTATTCCATGGTGTATATGTGCCACATTTTCTTAATCCAGTCTATCACTGTTGGACATTTGGGTTGGTTCCAAGTCTTTGCTATTGTGAATAGTGCCACAATAAACATACGTGTGCATGTGTCTTTATAGCAGCATGATTTATAATCCTTTGGGTATATACCCAGTAATGGGATGGCTGGGTCAAATGGTATTTCTAGTTCTAGATCCCTGAGGAATGGCCACACCGACTTCCACAATGGTTGAACTAGTTTACAGTCCCACCAACAGTGTAAAAGTGTTCCTATTTCTCCACATCCTCTCCGGGATCTGTTGTTTCCTGACTTTTTAATGATAGCCATTCTAACTGGTGTGAGATGGTATCTCATTGTGGTTTTGATTTGCATTTCTCTGATGGCCAGTGATGATGAGCATTTTTTCATGTGTTTTTTGGCTGCATAAATGTCTTCTTTTGAGAAGTGTCTGTTCATATCCTTTGCCCACTTTTTGATGGGGTTGTTTGTTTTTTTCTTGTAAATTTGTTTGAGTTCATTGTAGATTCTGGATACTAGCCATTTGTCAGATGAGTAGGTTGCAAAAATTTTCTCCCATTCTGCAGGTTGCCTGTTCACTCTGATGGTAGTTTCTTTTGCTGTGCAGAAGCTCTTTAGTTTAGATCCCATTTGTCAATTTTGGCTTTTGTTGCCATTGCTTTTGGTGTTTTAGACATGAAGTCCTTGCCCATGCCTATCTCCTGAATGGTATTGCCTAGGTTTTCTTCTAAGGTTTTTATGGTTTTAGGTCTAACATGTAAGTCTTTAATCCATCTTGAATTAATTTTTGTATAAGGTGTAAGGAAGGGATCCAGTTTCAGCTTTCTACATATGGCTAGCCAGTTTTCCCAGCACAATTTATTAAATAGGGACTCCTTTCCCCATTTCTTGTTTTTGTCAGGTTTGTCAAAGATCAGATAGTTGTAGATATGTGGCATTGTTTCTGAGGGCTCTGTTCTGTACCATTGGTCTATATCTCTGTTTTGGTACCAGTACCATGCTGTTTTGGGTACTGTAGCCTTGTAGTGTAGTTTGAAGTCAGGTAGCGTGATGCCTCCAGCTTTGTTCTTTTGGCTTAGGATTGACTTGGCAGTGTGGGCTCTTTTTTGGTTGCATATGAACTTTAAAGTAGTTTTTTCCAATTCTGTGAAGAAAGTCATTGGTAGCTTGATGGGGATGGCATTGAATCTATAAATTACCTTGGACAGTATGGCCATTTTCACAATATTGATTCTTCCTGCCCAAGAGCATGGAATATTCTTCCATTTGTTTGTATCCTCTTTTATTCCATTGAGCAGTGGTTTGTAGTTCTCCTTGAAGAGTTCCTTCACATCCCTTGTAAGTTGGATTCCTAGGTATTTTATTCTCTTTGAAGCAACTGTGAATGGGAGTTCCCTCATGATTTGGCTCTCTGTTTGTCTGTTATTGGTGTATAAGAATGCTTGTGATTTTTGCACATTGATTTTGTATCCTGAGACTTTGCTGAAGTTGCTTATCAGCTTAAGGAGATTTTGGGTTGAGACGATGGCATTTTCTAGATATATAATCATGTCATCTGCAAACGGGGACAATTTGACCTCTTCTTTTCCTAATTGAATACCCTTTATTTGCTTCTCCTGCCCGATTGCCCTGGCCAGAACTTCCAACACTATGTTGAATAGGAGTGGTGAGAGAGGGCATCCCTGTCTTGTGCCAGTTTTCAAAGGGAATGCTTCCAGTTTTTGCCCATTCAGTATGATATTGGCTGTGGGTTTGTCATGGATAGCTCTTATTATTTTGAGATACGTCTCATCAATACCTAATTTATTGAGTTTTTAGCATGAAAGTTGTTGAATTTTGTCAAAGGCCTTTTCTGCATCTATTGAGATAATCATGTGGTTTTTGTCTTTGGCTCTGTTTATATGCTGGATTACATTTATTGATTTTCGTATGTTGAACCAGCTTTGCATCCCAGGAATGTAGCCCACTTGATCATGGTGGATAAGCTTTTTGATGTGCTGCTGGATTTGGTTTGCCAGTATTTTATTGAGGATTTTTGCATCAATGTTCATCAAAGATATTTGTCTAAAATTCTCTTTTTTGGTTGTGTCTCTGCCAGGCTTTGGTATCAGGATGATGCTGGCCTCATAAAATGAGTTAGGGAGGATTCCCTCTTTTTCTATTGATTGGAATAGTTTCAGAAGGAATGGTACCAGCTCCTCTTTGTACCTCTGGTAGAATTCGGCTGTGAATCCATCTGGTCCTGGTCTTTTTTTGGTTGGTAAGCTATTAATTATTGCCTCAATTTCAGAGCCTGTTATTGGTCTTTTCAGAGATTCAACTTCTTCCTGGTTTAGTCTTGGGAAAGTGTATGTGTCCAGGAATTTATCCATTTCTTCTAGATTTTCTAGTTTATTTGCACAGAGGTGCTTATAGTATTCTCTGATGGTAGTTTATATTTCTGTGGGATCAGTGGTGATATCCGCTTTGTCATTTTTTATTGCATCCATTTGATTCTTCTCTGTTTTCTTCTTTATTAGTCTTGCTAGCGGTCTATCAATTTTGTTGATCTTTTCAAAAAACCAGCTCTTGGATTCATTGATTTTTTGAAGGGTTTTTTGTGTCTGTATTTCCTTCAGTTCTGCTCTGATCTTAGTTATTTCTTGCCTTCTGCTAGCTTTTGAATGTGTTTGCTCTTGCTTTTCTAGTTCTTTTAATTGTGATGTTAGGGTGTCAATTTTAGATCTTTCCTGCTTTCTCTTGTGGGCATTTAGTGCTATAAATTTCTCTCTACACACTGCTTCGAATGTGTCCCAGAGATTCTGGTATGTTGTGTCTTTGTTCTCGTTGGATTCAAAGAACATCTTTATTTCTGCCTTCATTTCATTATGTACCCAGTCATTGTTCAGGAGCAAGTTGTTCAGTTTCCATGTAGTTGAGCGGTTTTGAGTGAGTTTCTTAATCCTGAGTTCTAGTTTGTTTGCACTGTGGTCTAAGAGACAGTTTGTTATAATTTCTGTTCTTTTACATTTGCTGAGGAGTGCTTTACTTCCAACTATGTGGTCAATTTTGGAATAGATGTGGTGTGGTGCTGAAAAGAATATATATTCTGTTGTTTTGGGGTGGAGAGTTCTGTAGATGTCTATTAGGCCTGCTTGGTGCAGAGCTGAGTTCAATTCCTGGATATCCTTGTTAACTTTCTGTCTCATTGATCTGTCTAATGTTGACAGTGGGGTGTTAAAGTCTCCCATTATTATTGTGTGTGAGTCTAAGTCTCTTTGTAGGTCACGAAGGACTTGCTTTATGAACCTGGGTGCTCCTGTATTGGGTGCATATATATTTAGGATAGTTAGTTCTTCTTGTTGAATTGATCCCTTTACCATTATGTAATGGCCTTCTTTTTCTCTTTTGATCTTTGTTGGTTTAAAGTCTGTTTTATCCAAGCCTAGGACTGCAACCCCTGCCTTTTTTGTTTTCCATTTGCTTGGTAGATCTCCCTCCATCCCTTTATTTTGAGCCTATGTGCGTCTCTGCACGTGAGATGGGTTTCCTGAATACAGCACACTGATGGGTCTTGACTCTTTATCCAATTTGCCAGTCTGTGCCTTTTAATTGGAGCGTTTAGCCCATTTACATTTAAGGTTAGTATTGTTATGTGTGAATTTGATCCTGTCATTATGATGTTAGCTGGTTATTTTGCTTGATAGTTGATGCAGTTTCTTCCTAGCCTAGATGGTCTTTACAATGTGGCATGTTTTTTCAGTGTCTGGTACTGGTTGTTCCTTTCCATGTTTAGTGCTTCCTTCAGGAGCTCTTTTAGGGCAGGCCTGTTGAGAAAATCTCTCAGCATTTGCTTGTCTATAAAGTATTTTATTTCTCCTTAACTTATGAAGCTTAGTTTGGCTGGATATGAAATACTGGGTTGAAAATTCTTTTTTTAAGAATGTTGAATATTGGCCCCCACTCTCTTCTGGCTCGTAGAGTTTCTGCTGAGAGATCAGCTGTTAGTCTGATGGGCTTCCCTTTGTGGGTAACCCGATGTTTCTGTCTGGCTGCCCTTAACATTTTTTCCTTCATTTCAACTTTGGTGAATCTGACCATTGTGTGTCTTGGAGTTGCTCTTCTTGAGGAGTATCTTTGTGGCGTTCTCTGTATTTCCTAAATTTGAATGTTGGCCTGCCTTGCTAGATTGGGGAATTTCTCCTGGATAATATCCTGCAGAGTGCTTTCCAACTTGGTTCCATTCTCCCCATCACTTTCAGGTACACCAATGAGACGTAGATTTGGTCTTTTCTCATAGTCCCATATTTCTTGGAGGCTTTGTTCGTTTCTTTTTATTCTTTTTTCTCTAAACTTCTCTTCACGCTTCATTTCATTCATTTCATCTTCCATCGCTGATACACTTTCTTCCAGTTGATTGCTTCGGTTACTGAGGCTTGTGCATTCGTTACATAGTTCTTGTGCCGTAGTTTTCAGCTCCATCAGGTCCTTTAAGGACTTCTCTGCACTGGTTATTCTAGTTATCCATTCGTCTATTTTTTTTTTAAAGTTTTTAACTTCTTTGCCATTGGTTCGAACTTCCTCCTTTAGCTCAGAGTAGTTTGATCTTCTGAAGCCTTCTTCTCTCAATTTGTCAAAGTCATTCTCCGTCTAGCTTTGTTCCGTTGCTGGTGAGGAGCTACATTCCTTTGGAGGAGGAGAGGCGCCCTGATTTTTAGAGTTTCTGGTTTTTCTGCTCTGTTTTTTTCCCCATCTTTGTGGTTTTATCTACCTTTGGTCTTTGATGATGATGATGTACAGATGGGTTTTTGGTGTGGATGTCCTTTCTGTTTGTTAGTTTTCCTTCTAACAGTCAGGACCTTCAGCTGCAGGTCTGTTGGAGTTTACTGGAGGTCCGCTCCAGACCCTGTTCACCTGGGTATCAGCAGCGTTGGCTGCAGAACAGCAGATATTGGTGAATCACAAATGCTGCTGCCTGATGGTTCCTCTGGAAGTTTTGTGTTAGAGGAGTACCTGGCCGTGTGATGTGTCAGTCTGCCCCTGCTTGGGGGTGCCTCCCAGTTAGACTACTCGGGGGTCAGGGACCCACTTGAGGAGGCAGTCTGCCTGTTCTCATATCTCAAGCTGCATGCTGGGAGAACCACTGCTCTCTTCAAAGCTGTCAGACAGGGGCATTTCAGTCTGCATAGGTTATTGCTGTCTTTTGTTTGACTGTGCCCTGCCCGCAGAGGTGGAGCCTGCAGAGGCAGGCAGGCCTCCTTGAGCTGTGGTGGGCTCCACCCTATTCAAGCTTCCCGGCCACTTTGTTTACCTACTCAAACCTGGGCAATGGCGGGCGACCCTCCCCAAGCCTTACTGCCGCCTTGCAGTTTGATCTCAGACTGCTGTGCTAGCAATGAGCGAGGCTCCATGGGCGTAAGACCCTCTGAGCCAGGTGCGGGATATAATCTCCTGGTGTGCCGCTTGTTAAGCCTATTGGAAAAGCCCAGTATTTGGGTGAGAGTGACTCCATTTTCCAGGTGCCGTCTGTCACCCCTTTCTTTGACTAGGAAAGGGAATTCCCTGACTCCTTGCACTTCCTGGATGAGGCGATTCCTCACCCTGCTTCGGCTCACGCACAGTGTGCTGCCCCCACTGTACTGCACCCACTCTCCGGCACTCCCCAGTGAGAGGAACCCAGTACCTCAGTTGGAAATGCAGAAATCACCCGTCTTCTGCGTCGCTCATGCTGGGAGCTGTAGACTGGAGCTGTTCCTATTCGGCCGTCTTGGCTCCACCGCGGCAACAGCAATTCTTAATGAATAGTGTTATTACTGTTTTTGATCACATGCACTGTATGTGGATCACCCTCCCCCAAAATAAATGACAATATAACTTAAAAGTCACTGTACCTTTAAAACCTGTATTTGTAATATTCAACTTGAATTATAGGTGTATGAATTGAGTGGTGAGTGAATACTGCAAAGATCCTACCAACAATAATGGTCAAACAAAAAAATTGAATCTCAGTGACTCATTTAGACTAATTTAAAGACAAAATATCAAGAAACCATTCAATTTTTCTGAGAGCTCTGCATCCCCTGTCAGATGACCCTCAGCGTGGAGGCAAAGACAAGCCAAGTTCTTTGATCCTTGCCATATTTCCTCAAAATAAGGATTTGAACCACATGAGGTGCCTGGTCAGATTCTAGCCCCCTTGCCGTACTTTCTCAGGCTGTTAAGGAATCTGAGTCCTTCACTGTATGTGGCTTAACAAGTAATCTAACCATTGGCA
Organism: Homo sapiens; assembly: GCF_000001405.40. Classification (NCBI taxonomy): domain Eukaryota; kingdom Metazoa; phylum Chordata; class Mammalia; order Primates; family Hominidae; genus Homo; species Homo sapiens. Next base: position 59,093,383 of record NC_000002.12, read on the forward strand.
AGTACTTTTTAGAGCACAGTTTGACCCTCGAAGTCTGCTATAAACAAACATTCAGAACTTTTACCTCTTTCCGAATGCATTACAAGATTTTTGCACATTTGAAAATGTGGTAGTAGTGATGATAATGGCTCATCAGAGAACTGGTTGTTGCCCTTTAGGTGAGTGAAGACTGAGTGACATTTCCTGTGCTTCGTCTTCTACGCTGTCTCCCCCCAGCTTCTTTTCTGCCCGGTTGGGATGTTTCTCTCTGTCATAGTTTTTGAGTATTTGAATGGTAGATCACACACCTTTAAAGCTGTTATTTTCAAGTTTTAATAATGTTTTGCAACTCACTTCCTGTTTCTCAGCTGCCAACCTTGCCAAAAGCATTCCTTGTCAGGTACTAATTTGGGTGACGTGAGGACCACTTGATCTAAATTTTTGGTGGGTAATTACTGAGTCAGAAGTGAGTAATTTTTTGATATCCAGTGGCAGTCAGAAAGGTGGGTATTTTACTAACCACTCATTAGAGATTCTCCAGTATTGAAATGTCTTGAATTTTGCTCTGTTTACAGACAGAAGAAAAATCTGACTGCTCTGATGAAGAGTAAGTTCCTGCTTATTTTGGCAGTACTTACAAGTATATTGAATCTTTTTTTATTGTGAACCAACTCCAGAGTTTCATTGTACCTGCAATATTAATTTTGTATTGATCAAAGTCTTATGCAATGACTTTTTGTTTTTTAAAAAAATTACAGAGACCTTATATTTAATTTAAAAAGTAGGTGAAGATATTTCAGTTATTAAGGGTTTAAGAAATACCAGAAGCATTTAGTAGTAAATTTTGGTACTTAAGAATAAAGAGTATCAGCCTTTCTCTGTAAGTGCTAGTTTGTTTTTCTTTATTTCATGTAATAGTTCTGGGTGAATACTTTTGGGATTTCTAAAACTGTTCACTTTATTTTTCTACTAGAAGAAATGAATAATAGTGATATTTCTGGTGAGAAATAAAAATCACTTAAACTTGAAGCAAACCTGTGTACCCATTTATTAGAAGCAGTGAAAGCAAAGATGAATTTTTTGTTTTGGGAAATTTCTACTTCAATAACAAACATTGACATATCAGATCATGTTTATTTACCTGCAGACAAAAAGTTTAACTGAAATTATATGCACTCATAGATTCTTTTCTTTCATGTTGTTCTATGATTAAATCACAACTTTTTGTTATGATTAGCCACATTGTATAATATAAAGTTACATATTTGTAATAGTTACATTATTCAAGATAATACACCTAAAGAACCAGTTTAAAAGTAAAAAAAATTTATTTGAATAAATTATTTTTAAAAATATTGTATAGAATAAATGCTGTGTTAGTTTTCTATGATGATTATAATAATTTACCACAAATTATGTGGTTCAAAAATCACATAAATTTATTCATTCATGGTTCTGGAGGCCAGAAGTAGTAATTTATATAACTGGATATAACTGGGCCTGAATTAACATGTCAGCAAGGCTGTGCTCCTTCTGCAGCCTCTAGGGAAAAATATGTTCTTGCCTCTTACAGCTTCTGGGGATTGCCAGCATTCTTTGGCTTGTGTCTGCATCACCACAGTCTCTGCCTCTGTGTTCTTCTCCTTCTCAATCTCTCTCTTTCTCTTCATCTCTCTCTCTCTCTTTCACTCTCTCTCTCTCTCTCTCTCTGTGTGTGTGTGTGTGTGAAATCTCTCTGCATCTCTAAGGATGCACATGATGGCATTTAAGTCACATCTAAATAATCTAGGGTAATCTCCCCACGTCATCAAGGTCCTTAATTTAATCATGTCTAAAAAGTCCCTTTTTTGCCATATAAGGTAATTCGCAAGATCCAGGGATTAGAATAAATATGTTTGGGGTCTTTTTCAGCTGACCACAGGCACTTATTAAACATTGGTACTGTGCAAGACAGATTATGATCTATACCCTAATTAGAGGATAATCTTTTACAGGGGTTTGGAGAAAATAAAATTCACACCTACTTGAGTGTAACAAGGATTGCTAAAGAAAAGGAAGTGTGAGCTGTGCTCTGAAAATAGGTATGGATTTAAAAGCAAAAATAGGGTGGAGAGACATTTCTAATGAATGGAAGATTTTGACAGAAGTCCTAAAGGGGATAAATCTGACAGACTGTAGTGTTGGGTTCAAACCTTGAGTTATTTTATTTTTTATTTTTTTGAGACAAAGTCTCACTCCATCACCCAGGCAGAAATGCAGTGGCATGATGTTGGCTCACTGCAACCTCCACCTCCTGGGTTCAGGCAGTTCTCCTGCCTCAGCCTTCCAAGTAGCTGGGATTATAGGTGCATGCCACCATGCCTTGCTAATTTTTGTTATGTGTAGTAGAGACAGGATTTTGCCATGTTGGCCAGGATGGTCCCAAACTCCTGACCGCAGGTGATCCACTCACCTTGGCCTCCAAAAGTGCTGGGATTATAGGCATGAGTCACCACACCCAGCTAGAACCTTGAGTTCTAAAAGCAGATTCCTGGGTTTGGTTCCTCACTTTGTCTTTTTCAAGCTATGTGTCTTTGTTTGATCTCTTTGTACTTCAAATATTTCATATTTATAATGGAGATAATGGTATCCAACTCATAGGTTTTATTGGTTACAGTCTTTACGGCACTTATAATAGCATTTGCATATGGTAAAATATAAGTTGCTAAGTTGCTATTGTCATCCCTACATGTCTAATGTTTTTATTTTAATGTTTATTAAGTAATTGCCCCAATCCCCTTCAGAAGTAGGTAGAGGTACATGCCTTCCATGAGGTACTGAGAGGAACTAAAGTTTCTCAAATGAATAATTCTCTTTATTAATCACAGCCCAGTTCTCTAAATTGTAATGATGAGACTCCACTGTGATAGTTTCACCTACAATACCTTCAAGTCGGAACGGGTAGGTATCACTATAGTTCAGCAATTCTGAGATGCACATCTTTTCACTGTTAGGTTGTGTTTTACAATTACTGTATATCCTAGCTTAATTGGGAGCAATTTTTCTTTCTTAGTGGTACATTAGATAATGGCAAATTTTACAATCCATGGCACCTTAGATTTGATGAAATATGGGTTTAGTCTCATGTAGACGGGGAGACTGAGATACTATGTGCTCTGTTTTGAAGATGAGTCAAAGGTCTAGGTTTAGGGATAACCTTCAAATTCTGACTCAGTCACATATTTTCTTCTCCAGACCTAGCCTTTGTAGTAGTCTTTTTAGAAGTCCTTTCAGCTGGGAAGGGGCAGCATGGCTTAGTGAAAAGAACATGTGCTTTAGCATCACACAGAACTGAGTTCATATCCAGACTCTGCCACCAGCGTGACCCTAAGCAAGTTTCCTGTCCTCTCCAAGTTTCAGTTAGCCCATTTGTTAAAATATATTGACAATACAGTTTTCACAAGGTCATAGTAAGAATTTCCTCAGCTTCCTATCACAGATGCAGAGGGCTCACCAAATATTCTATCTACTCATTCACATTCCCTTGCTGCCTTGTATCTAGGCAGGGCCATGTGACTAGCTCTAGTCAAGGATTATGTGTGCCACTCTCGGCCAAGGTGTGCCACCCTGCAAGAGCCTCGACTCCTGAGAATCAGAAGGATCATACTGTATCATGTAGTTCATCCTGTAGTTCTGAATAATTCTTGGGAGTAAACCCCACCTCACCCCTGGACATTCACATGAGACAGACCTGGAGTAAGAAGTAACTTTGTGTTCTGGTTAACTCCTGAGACAGGGAGATTATTTATCACCACAGCATGACATAGCTGTTTTCATTTTACATTGCTGCATAACAATTTACCACAAACACAGCAGTTTAAAACAACATGCATTTATTATCTCACAGTTTCTGTTGGTCAGAAGTCTGTGTTTGGCATGAGAGGATTCTCGGCTTCAGCCCTCTCAGAGCTGAAATCAAGATTTGGATCAAATGGCAGTTCTTGTCTGGAAGGATCTTCTTTCCAAATTACTGGTTTTTGGGAGGATTCATTTCTTTGAGCTTGTAGGACTGGAAAACCACTTTCCTGGCAGGCTTTTCTTAGCTCGTAGAGGCCATCTGCCTTTTTTTTTTTTTTTTTTTTTTTTTTGCCACATGGCTCCTTCCACCATCAGACCAACAGTTGAGCACTAAGATTCTTTACATGTTTCCAATCCCTGATTTCCTCTTCTGCAACCAGCCAGAAGAGAATTTCTGCTTTTAAAGGTCTCCTGTGATCATTTCAGAGCCTTACAGATAATCTCTGTGTCACAATAGCATCTTGGTTTACATAGTACCCAACACATAATAGGTGCTTAATAAATATTAATTATCTCATTACCACACTCTCTGATCAGACATTTATCACCTATTATTTCAGGGTATATTTTATTTTTAATTTTTTAAACAAGGAAGTTGTATTAGTCCAGTTTCACACTGCCATAAAGAACTACTTGAGACTGGGTAATTTATAAAGAAAAGAGGTTTAATTGACTCACAATCCCACATGGCTAGGGAGGCCTCAGGAAACTTATAATCATGGCAAAAGGTAAAGGGAAAGCAAGCATGTCTTACCATGGTGGAGCAAAAGAGAGAGAGAGAGCAAGGGGGCCACTGTCACACACTTTTAAACATCAGAGATTGTGAGAACTCACTCACTATCACAAGGACAGCATGGAGGAAACTATCCCTATGATCCAATCACCTCCCTTCAGGCCCCTTCTTTAACACATGGGAATTACAATTTGATATGAGATTTGGGTGGGGACTTGGAGCCAAATCATATCATTCTCCTCCTGGCCCCTCCCAAATCTCATGTCCTTCTCACATTTCAAAACCAGTCATGCCTTCCCAATAGTCCTCCAAACTCTTAACTCATTCTAACATTAACTAAAAAGTCCAAATCCAAAGTCTCATCTGAGACAAGGTTAGTCCCTTCCACCTATGAGCCTGTACTATAAAAAACAAGTTAGTTACTTCCAAGATACAATGGGGGTACAAGCATTGGGTAAATGCTTCCATTACAAATGGGGGAACTTGGGGAAAATAAAGAGGCCACAGGCCCCATGCAAGCCTGAAAACTAGCAGGACAATAATTAAATCTTAAAGCTTTGAGATAATCTCCTTTGATTCCATGTCTCACATCTGGCACACGCTGATGCAAGGGGTGGGCTCCCAAGGTCTTGAGCAGTTCCACCCCTGTGGCTCTGCAGGGTACAGCCCTCTTGGCTACTTTCACAGGCTGGTGTTGAGTGCCTGTGGTTTTTACAGGTGTATGATGTATGCTCTCAGTGGATCTACATTTCTGGGGTCTGGAGGATGGTGGCCCTCTTCTCACAATTCCACTGGACAGTGCCCCAGTGAGGACTTTGTGTGGGGGCTCCATCCCTACATTTCCCCTCTGCATTGCCCTAGTAATGCTTCTCCATGAGGGCTCCACCTCTGCAGTAGACCTCTGCCTGGTTATCCAGGCATTTCCCCACATCCTCTGAAATCTATGTGGAAACTCCCAAACTCTTGCCTTCTATGCACTCAGAGGCTGAACACTATGTGGAAGCTGCCAAGGTTTGGGGCTCATCTTTACTTTTGTAGCTTTACTTTTTGCAGCCTGCACCTTAAATTTCTTCCCAGAAAATAAGTTGTTCCTTTCTACCACATGGTCAGGCTGCAAATTTTCCAAACTTTTACTTGCTGTTCCCTTTTAAACATAAGTTCCAATTTCAGACCATCTCTTTATGAATGCATATGACTGTGTGCTGTTAGGAACAGCCAGGTCAACTCTTGAATGCTTTGCTGCTTAGAAATTTCTTCTGGTAGATACCCTAAATCATCTCTCTTAAGTTCAAAGTTTCACACATCTCTAGGGCAGGGGCAAAATATTGCCAGTCTCTCATCTGAAGCCTAGCAAGAGAGACCTTTATTCCAGTTCCCAGTAAGTTCCTCATCTCCATCTGGGACCACCTCAGCCTGGACTTCATTGTCCATATCACTATCAGCATTTTGGTCAAAACCACTCAACAAGTCTCTAGGAAGTTCCAAAGTTTGCCACATCTTCCTGTCTTCTTCTGAGCTCTCCAAACTGTGCCAACCACTGCCCATTACCCAGTTCCAAAGTTGCTGGATATCCAAAGATATCCACATTTTCAGATATCTTTATAGAAGCACCCCACTCTCCTGGTACCAATTTTTTGTATTTGTTCACTTTCACACTGTTATGAAGAACTACCTGAGACTGGGTAATTTATAAAGAAAAGAGGTTTAATTGACTGACTATTCCACATGGGTGGGGAGGCCTCAGGAAACTTACAATCATGGCAGAGGGGAAGGGAAAGTAAGCACACCTTACCATGGCAGAGCAGGAGAGAGAGAGAGAAAGGGGAAGAATTGCCATACACTTTTAAACCATCAGATGTTGTGAGAGCTCACTCACTATCATGAGAACAAAATGGGGGAAACCACCCTCGCGATCCAATCACCTCCCACCAGACCCCTTTGTTAACACGTGGGGATTACAATTTGACATGAGATTTGGATGGGGACACTGAACCAAACCATATCAGAAGTGTTAAGAGTCTTAGTTTCTTTATCTCCTGCTCAGAGAAATAAAAACTCATTATCAGTTTATTGAAAATCATGTCAAACCGTTTTCCATTATTTATATAAATATATAAATACCAGAACAAAAGACTGTGACTTGATGTGTGAATGTGCATGTGCATGTGCATGAGTGTGTGTGAGTGTGTGCATGATTTTACATAAGTAACATCATACTAAATGTATGCCTTGCAACATACTTTTTCACTGAAAAACAAATCTAGATGTTTACATATTGAAGTGTATGAAACACATCATTGTCCATAGTTGCACCACATTCTATCAAAGTCTGTTTAGCAGCTTCCATAGTAGACACTTAGGTTGATTCAAATCAGCTATCACAAATATTTCCACAAGGAACACCCATATATATATATATCTCTTTGAAAACATGAACAAAAGTTTCAACTTTGATGGTGAAAACTGGATTTGTTGGGCTGTAGTATATGTATGTTTTAAATTGTGACCAATGCTGCAAAATTGATTCCTTCCAAAATGTCTATAACAATTTTAACTCTCTCTAGTATTAGGTTAGTGCAAAATAATTGCGGGTTTTGCCATTACTTTTGAGGCAAAAAACACAATTACTTTTGCATCAACTTAATAATTTAGAGAAATATCTGTTTCTACACATGTATTAGGGTCCTCCAAAGGGACAGAACTAATAGGAGATATATATATGTATATATATGTATGAAGGGAAGGTTATTAGGAGAATTTACTCACGCAGTCACAAGGTGAAGTCCCACAATAGGCTTTCTGCAAGATGAAGAGCAAGGAAGTCAGTCCAAGTCCCAAAAGCTCAAAAGCAGGGAAGCCAGCAGTTCAGCCTTCAGTCTGTGGCTGAAGGCCTGAGAGCCCCTGGCAGTGGTGTAGTCCAAGAGTCCAAAAGCTGAAGAACTTGGAGTCTGATGTTCAAGAGCAGCAAGCATCCAGCACAGGGGAAAGATGAAGGCAGGAAGACTCACAAGTCTCTCTCTCTTTTTTTTGTTTTTGAGACAGTCTTGCTCTGTCACCCAGGCTGGAGTGTAGTGGCTGTGATCTCGGCTTACTGCAAGCTCTGCCTCCTGGGTTCACGCCATTCTACTGCCTCAGCCTCCCTGGTAGCTGGGACTACAGGCGCCCACCACCAAGCCTGGCTAATTTTTTTGTATTTTTAGTAGAGATGGGGTTTCACCATGTTAGCTAGGATGGTCTCGATCTCCTGACCTTGTGATCCACCCGCCTTGGTCTCCCAAAGTGCTGGGATTACAGGCGTGAGCCACCATGCCCAGCCAATTCTTCTTTCCAACTTCTGCCTGTTTTACTCTAGCCACACTGGCAGCTGATTAGATGGTGCCCACCCAGGTTGAGTGTGGGTCTGCCTCTCCCAGCCCACTGATCAAATGTTAATCTCCTTTGGCAACACCTTAAACAGACACACCCAGGAACAATACTTTGCATCCTTCAACCCAGTCAAGTTGACACTCAATATTAACCATCACAGCATACCCTTACCAACACTTGATATTGATCAAAGTTTTTAATATTTTGAAATTTCATGTATGAATGGGATATTTTACCATGGCTTGAAGATCATTAGTTGATATTGTTGGAGCTTTTTTGTTTTTTGTTTTTTACGTTCAGATTGCAAGGAACTTACAAGGTGTTGAACCGTATATTCTGTGCAGTGTATAGACTTCATCTTAAGTGTCTTCAATTCCTGAATACTTATACTTACCTCTTTACCCTTCCTTTGAGATCTAAGAAGGAGCCATTCCTCTTGATATTCTTTTTTATGTCCTTGGGGTTTATTTGAAGTCATCAATATCTTGGAAGGTCTTAGATGGGAAATAGTAAAAAAGAGGGTAGTAGGAGATAATAAATTAAAAATATGAATAATAAAACACACCTTACTGCCCCTGCCTTAGATGAATCTGATATTATCAACTGTTAACTGTGCACATGTACATGTGCAAGTGGCTTTGTAAAGAGACTAGAATAGCTAGCCCAGGACAATAGGTTAAGACTGAAAGAGTGGGAAAGACACTCTTTTTAACGCACATCAAAGGCACCATTGGCTAGTCCAATGCCAGCATATCTTTGCTATCTTCTGGTACTAAAACTCTTTTAGTAAATATGGAATTAATGGGGAAAATATTGATTTTGGTTGTTAATTTGATTTCAAAAATTGGTTTCCTGCAATCTCAGTAGAATAAGTCCAAGATATATCTGTTTATTCATTTATTCCTATTAAAATAGCAATTCTAGAAAATACTATCTGGTATTAATCTGGTGAATAGTGTTATAAATGCCAGAGTTTATGTTTATTATACTTATTAAACTGGTCCTGATATCTCATAAAAATAAAATAAATGGCAGGGTTAGAAATGTAATACTTCATATAATTCTTCAAATCTTTAATATTCTGTTTATTAAGTTTTTATTGAAATACAATCCGTGGAGGACAGAGTGAGTGAGCTGAGTTTCAGAGCTATACAACAGCTGAGCTCCAGCATTCCTAGGAGAAAAATTGTCAGGCTTCTATTTCTTTTATAAAAATCTCTTAGACTTCCAAAGTTCTCTATATTCATGGGAACTTGCATTTAAGAGGGAAGTCACTTTTTTTTTTAAGGAAGTGTGTTCGTTGAAGAAAAGACTTTCCACTCATCTAGAGCTGATCACATTTACCACTGTCACCTTCACACAGGGACAAAAACAACCTTAGCCGTGAGCAAAAGGAGCGAGGAAGCAAATCATGATGGAGGCTTAGAGAAGCACATAGGTAGAGAGAGCATCCTGGGTAATTCTTGGGGGAAAAATAACACTGGGTTTTGCATCATCCTCCCTTCACCTAATAATAATAGTGTTATGCATGGCATATGCCTCTTGTCATACACCATTTGTGGGCACAAAGTAGCTAAATTGAAATCAGGACTTGGAGGAGAACATTTATGAAAGTCTAGCTTAATTTCAATAGATAATGCTGGGTTGAAACAAGGCCTGAACTTCTCACTTTTCCATGGTGCAATGGACAGAATATTTGTGTTTCCCCAAAATTCATATGTTGAAATTTTAACCCCCAAAGTGATGGTGTTATGAGGTGGTGCCTTTGGGAGGTGATTAGGTCATGAGGGTGAAACCCTCATAAATGGGATTAGTACTTTTATAAAAGAGACTCCCAAGAGCTCTCTCACCCTCTTTCTGCCATGTAAGGATACAATGAGATAACGGCAGTCTGAAACCCGGAAGGGAACCCTCACCAGAGCCCGACCATGCTGGCACTCTGATCTTGGACTTCCAGACTCCAGAACTGTGAGAAATACAATTCTGTTGCCTATAAGCCATGCAGTTCATAGTACTTTGTTATAACAGCTCAAAGTGACTAAGACACATGGGGTATAATGAAGAAGCAGCCCTGTTATTAAAATTTAGAAGTAATGTCCTCTGTCTGGCAATCAAGCCCTTTGGTGAACTGCTTAACTCCTTTGTATCTTTTTTCACAACTGGACAGTGATAATGTCAATGATTGCTTTTATATTTCCCTGGCATATTGGAGCAAAGAAACTAATTATGGTAAAGTGCTTGAAAGCTTCCAAAGTAGAGCAAGATATCATTACAGCAGTACTAAAGTATTCCATATGCACCTCAAATACAAATGGTCGCATTTCTTCTTCCTCTCTAATTTATGTGTCAACTGTAACCTAGACAGTAGACTAGTGTGTAGAATTGGCACAACAGGTAATTGCTTTCATAGGATAAATGGAAAAATTCTAGAAATACCCCCAGTGCCTAAGACTGGGAATAGGGATTACAGAGTCTTTTCTGTAGATGTAATTGAAACCATAAGAAAAATAAAATAAGGCACCCTCTAAGAGAAAGAATACAGGAATGGAACAGTTTAAGGATGGGCCTAGAATCTATCAGCAGTTAGCAAATTTTTTTGTATAGAGGATCAGACAGTAAGTATTTTAGGTTCTGCATGCCGTATGGTCTCTGTAGCAAGTACTCATATCTGTAGTTACAGCACAAAAACACCCATAGACAATACATAAATGGATGAATGTCATTGTGTTCCAATAAAACTTTATTTGCAAAAACAGGTGGTGATCAGGTTTTGGCTATAGTCCTCCAGTAGCCTATGTGATTGATATGTAGTAGAGGTATAATAAAGATTCATTGAATGATTAATAAGTTATTACTTTTCCTTGTTTACTCCTTCAGATTAAATTTTGTGTTCAGATCCTGTTTCAACACACTTTTGTGGGGTGCCCAAAATGTATCAGGCACTGGGCTATTTTATCTGACATTTTTAACTGATTTTCTTTCTCAGCCTTGCTCTTCTTTATTTGTTTACCTTTTGTTTTCCAGTTGCTTCTGTTTAGTTGCTTATTTTGACAGTCAAAATTTCTTCAGAAGGGCTTGAAAGTACAATAAGCATATAGGGGAAAATAAACAATCAGTGTTTTATATGAATATGCATTTTTGATATATTTATTTTACTGAAATTTGTCCTTTAAATGAGAGATTTTTTTCTCTAATATGCATTCTATGTCATAGCAGTTTTGCAAAATGCTTCTTGAACAAAGATTCCTTGATCAAAAAACCTTGGGAAACTATGTATTCTGTCTGTCTGAGAGTCATTCACCAAAGGCACTATGATGTACAGTAAAGAATCTGTCTTAATCTGTTCAGGCTACCATAACAAATACCATAGACTAGGTGACTTAAACAACAAAAATTTATTCTTCATGGTTCTGAAGGCTGGAAGTCCAAGATCAAGGTGCCAGCTGATTTAGTTCCTGGTGAGGATATTCTTCCTGGTTTGCAGATGGGTAGATGCCTTCTTGCTGTACCCTTACTTGGTAGAGAGAGAGAGCACATCTCTTGTGTCTTCTCTTTTAAGGGCACTAATCACATTCATGAGGGCTTCACCCTTACACCTAACTACCTCCCAAAGACCCCACTTTGAAATACTATGATACTGGGGAATAGGGCTTCAACATATGAATTTGAGGTGAGAGGGCACAAACATTCACATTCAGTCCATAGCAGGACTTCTGATAAATTTTGTTTGATACTCTCTTGCAATGGTCCATGTTCAAACAACAGCAAACAGCATTTGGTGCAGGATTGCAGCAGGTACACAGGCCTCTGTTCTCTCAGAGTCCAGCAGAATTGTGACAGAAGTATGCTGGGGCAGGGAATAGCTGGATAAACAGAGGGGCTATATTCCTATAAAGGGTTTCACAACCCTGTTGCTCTCTCTTTGTATGATGTAAGCAGGAGAACAGTCTTCAATGAAGAGAACTGAACTCAGACACCTAGTAGTCTAAGATTAGACACTAACCATTGGGTGAATTGCTAGAAATATCAGTTGCCCAGCACTTGGAGACTTGGAGGAGCCCAGACCTCTGGGTGTAGAGTCTCAGCACACCTCCTGTTGCTGAGAGCAGTGAGAGCTGCTATACCTATGGGGAGTTGTAGCCATTCCTGATGAGAGAGCTGGAGCCACTCTTCCTACTAGCTCATTTTGAGGCATCAAGGGAAGGAGTCCCGTAAATGCAGAGTCTCCTACTGTATTTGAATATGGAAATCCACCCTTCTTTTCTGTATGAATGCATGGGTATTGTTTTTTATCCCATCAATTAATGGCATGTAGAACCAATGTTTTGCAAGACATACTTTGACAATACTCTATTAGTGTTACTTTAGAAAAATGATTTTTAAAATGGCCACAAAAATTCACAAATTCTGGTATCTACACTCTTTGCAGTGTAACTTTGTGACTCCTCCCATGAAGAGGTGTTGCCTCCTTCCTCTACTCTTGATCTGGGCTAAGGCTGTGATTTATTTCAGCTAATAGAATTAGGCAAAGGTAATGGTGTGCCAGATCTCAAGAGACCTTGAACATTTTCACTCAACTCTTGGACCCCTGTCATCACCATGTGAATAATAGCTAGCTGGCTGGATACTGAAATAATGACCCAGTCATTCAAGAATCCCAACCATCAGACAGTAGTGAGGCCATCCTATACAAGCCAGCTCCTAGCTTACCCCTGAATATCTGAGAAATCCCAGCCATGGCCAGCAGAGCCGATTATACAATCCATAGCTGACAAGGCCAGTAGAGACCAGAACCACCCAGCTGACTTGTAAACTTGTGAGCAATAATAAATGCATCACATTTTTAGCCATTGTGTTTTGGGGTTCTGGTAGCTTTGGGCTATTAATATGCAGTAATAGCTGCTGACACAGTTACTAATTGTTGGCCTTTTAATACGTTATTCCTTGTCCATGAAATCAAGGCTAAGAAGTGACTTTATTGAAAGTGAAAATTGAATCATGCACATCAAAATGATAATCAATGAAGAGTGTCATATTAAGAAAATATGCCCTAGCAAAGGATTATTCTAGATGTATTGTTTTGACTCAACATGGACAACATTGTATAGGCATATACAAATAATGTAAAATTAGTGTGTAGGGAATCTCAGTGATACAGACGAGGCATATATAGAGAGAATTTTATTTGTCTGTTTCTCTCCCTTATAGCTTCCCCTACTAACTGTCAAACCTACTAGGTTTCAGGTAAAATATCCATTGAATCAGGCACCATTTCTGGAGATGTCTTTCCATCCTGAGTTGCTTTAATAATATATTTTTTGTTTGGAAATAGCAATGAATAATATTGTGGAAAAATTGCTTTTTTGTTCTTAGGTTTGAAGCTTATAAGGTAGAAGAAGAAACTTCTTAAATAACTAGGAAGCTAAAAACAATAAAATGACAGAGACATTTCCTCCCTTCTCCACTCCAAGTTTCTGTCCAGGGGGAAAATATTGAAGTACAGAGGCCTCTCTCCTCTCACAAAAGCATTCATGGGTAAACAAATCGGTGCCATCTTCCCCGTGCCATGAGAAGCCATGAGAGTGGTGTGGGAAGAAATAATCTATCTTTTAGGGCAACAAAACAACTACTGAGAGGCCCGTGGAAATGAAGGGCTCGCTGGACCAGTGGAATTCCCACATCACACGCTTGAGGCACTTAACTAGTGCCGCTGGCTGGGTTGCAGCCTGCTAATTGAATTTAAATTAATGAGGTATATTTCTTTTAGTTTAAGTTGTTAAATTGTATTTCCATGTTTGATAGCCATTTGCTAATTCTTGAAAAATATCACATATATAATAATATGTTTGAATACCCTGTAGCATTTTTTAAAAACTAACAAGTTATATATGATTTACTTGTGCTCAAGAAACCTTAGTATAAGCAGAAGAAGGATTGGGTTATTGATATGAATTCTAATTCAGATATGATTTACGAAGACTGTATCAGAAACAAAGCGTTGGCACCCTCATTTAAAATTCCTTCTTTCTCAAAATGGAGAGACTTTGACTCACTTTCTTCTTTAAGAAAGAAAAGTAAATAGAGGTAAAGAAATAGCTAATTTTTTCATGACTAATAATTCTGATTTTTCTTCACTTAATCAAACATAATGTTTTTTTTTCTTCCTCAGCTCCCTGTACCCTAAATAATAGAGGTACAAAATAATTTACTCACAGCCAACTAATTTGAAAAACTAAATATGTAATCTTTTCATAGCATAAATGACTTGATTCTTTGCACTTTGCTAATTTGGAAAAAAATGCATAAGGGTGCAAAAAATTAATGAAGAGCGCTTAAAGCGGATTTCATGAAGTTTTCCTCATTATCTTTATCTGTAGTAAATTTATCACAAAACAAACATAGATAAAAATGCTTAATTTTGGTTTGTATTACATATGGGCATGCTCTTTTCTTATACAGTCTATTATAGTGGAAATATCTCTGCGATAAGAAGACATGGATTCTAGCTCCATCTCCAGAACTTAGGAGCCAGGTAAGTCTGAGTTGGTTCCTTAACACTTCTATACATGAGTTGACTCGTGTTAAATTGTTATGCTAATATTAACTATATAAAATTGTCCATATTAAGCCACTTTTGATCAACAAAAATGGCAATTTTATATGATTCAACCTAATACTGCTCTGTCTTATAGGGTTATTACATCAAATAAAATAGTTTAAAACATTTTGGAATACCGTAAAATGTATATAAATGCAAGAGTTTTATTATCCTAATGTATGTGTGTAAGGAAAATCATTTGATGCAACTGTAATAATGATTAATATAGATTGCCACACATTCATTTGCCTGGGAGGCAAAAAAAAATTGAGGGCACTAGATAGCATGAACCAAGTTTTATGAATTTGCTTTTCTTCTCCATTAAGATTCCAAAACTTTGGTATTTCCATAGTAAATTGTGAGTTATGGACTCAATAGCAAGCAAATGACTCGTCTATCTGCAAGCCTTTCTTTATCTACCAGGAAGATGTGTCAGTGAACTGGCATCTCTCTAGCCACCATCTGGGTTCAAAGCATCACAAATCTGGCCTAAATGCATCACTTCTTCAAAGACATTGAAATACTAGATTCTAGTTCAAATGCAATCCATTTTGGGTATCCATAGGTGACCAGATAGAAGCCTTCTGTCTTTAGCTTTCTCTCTGGCCAGGCACTAATACCTGGCTTCCTCTACTTCCTCCTGCCCTGTGTCTGCATCCTTCACCCCACACTCTATCCCTCATACCCCACAGCATGCTCTGATGAACCCAATACTTTCTCTTTCTTGATAGTTTAGGTCTTCTAATCCCAGCTCAGCCTCAGCAAGTTCTTGCAACTGAGCTCTTGTGGAAGTGGCCAGCTGATGTGCAGAGGTAGACTGAGAAGAGGTGCCATGAAATGCACTGATGGGCTCCAGTAGTCTCAGTAAAAGCAAGCAACAGTTGTTTTCTGCAACGATTGAACGTTTGTCCCCTCCAAAACTCATGTTGAAATTTAATTGCCATTGTAACAGTATTAGGAGGTGGGGCCCCTAAGAGGTATTAGGCGATGAGGGCTCCACACTCTGAGTGGGACTGGGGCCATTACAAAAGGGGAAGTTCATTCCTCTTTCACCCTCTTGCCTTGTGCTATGGGATAATGCTGCAAAAAGGCCCTTGTCAGATGCAGATTCCTGGATATTGGATTTATCAGCCTCCAGAACTGTGAAGCAGTAAATTTCTGTTTATTGTAAATTACCTAGTCTGTGGCATTCTGTTACAGCAGCACAAAGTGGACTAAATAAGACATTTTCCTTTCTTACGGCTTTGTAATTCATGATTGTGGTCTCTCACAGGGCTCAATTTATTTTCTGCTTTAAGATTTTATAAACTATTGTGCATTCTTACAATTTTTTTAAGAAAACTGACTGAAATGGGTCAAAGGCCTGTGCCCATTGCAGAGATACTTCTCTTAGTATCATGGACCTTTGGACTGTTTATAATCAGTAGACACAATCCTTCCTATCACTTTAGATTTATGTCTTTATATTTGGGATCAACATATACAGGGTTTCTTTTTTGATACAACTTATTTATCAGATTTATATTCAAGTAATTATAAACTTTACTCAAAAAATTCACTCCAAGTTTAAAATTTAAGTAAAAAGGGTTTATGATAATTAAAGAAATTCAAATAAGTGTGCTCTTAGACTGGAAAGTTCATTTCAAAGAGGATTTTCAAGAACTCTTTGAGAAATTGTAGCATTGTTGGAATATTTGTACTACCTCTCACACTGCCTGTTTTTGAGGTAGCAACTCTAAATGGGCACAACAAAGAGTTATATTTCAGAAGTTGACCTCACACTATACGATGATGTAATTGTAAGTAGTCTTAATCATTTTGTTTTCTTGTGAACCCCAAATCAGTGCTTTTTAATGATCATGAGACTGACAATTGTGGCTTCTGGTAGATTAAAATAAATTAATATAAACAAAAAGCAAAACAAACAATTCAAACATTTTTCTCCAATCTAGTTGCTCCCTAGTGCTATACACAGAGCAGCTGGGCAGAAGTGGCTGTTCTTGAGTCTGCTGGGACGGAGACTCCTACAGACACATTTTATGTAACCATGGCATGGGTGCCCTTTTGCATTTTGCTAGCAAGAGAAGTCCTTATGTTGTAGTCTCATTGAAAGACAGAAGTGACACTGCACTCCAGGAGATATTTCCTGTTTAAACAAGTCACACGAAGATTATTTGAAGGGTAACAGCCAGGTTATGTACCCCATAAAAGTACAAATGATTTACAAATATTTAACAAGGAAAAAACTAATTATGCTGCTCTTGTCACAGAGAGGCCAGCCTCAGAAATGGTATAATCAATATGGGAATGTTAGCTGTAATACAGTCTGTCAGCTTTTTAACCAACCAACAACAACAACAACAAAATCAGAAAGTCTATAAACAAAGTGGAGCCCCCTTGTCTGGCCCCCTGAATGTTATGTATCCAGTCACATGTACCTTGGCACATGTAAGGATTAGAGCATTCAAAGTTATTTTCAAGCCCATTTGGGAAGGTCCATTTAGCCTGAGTTTAAAGAAATTCTAAGAGAACTGACTGGCTTCACAATGGGTCACTGTACTCAAAATGTAGCATTTTGTCCTTTGGGCCCTAGTTAGTATTTCTTAGAATATTTGCCCTTTTGGACCAAACTCACAGAAATTTGGCTCAGAAAAGTCTTTTATAATATGGGTGTGTTTTAAAAGGTGGACAGTGTTTATATTTTGCATGCTTATTATGTATCTACATAAATGTAATGATATAGATGTATTCGTGGGAATCTCAGGGCCCAGGAAAATTGCCTAGCTGGGAAATATCACTCTGGAATGCTATACCAAAAGTGGCTCTCTGCAGAGTGTAAGGAGATCATGTAAAGGCCATGAACACAGCTGGGGGGCAAATTCTATAAGTTTAGTTCCCAGCTCTGGTCACTTAACTCATAATGAACTTGGATAAGACTAATGTGCTGCAAATCTTTCACCTGAGAAATGGGGGAAATAATGGCACTCACTTCATAGGTTGTGGTTTAACTGAGAAATACATGAAAAATGCTAAAGACAATCTGTAGTACATGGTCAATACTCAATAAATATTAGCTGTTAGTATCAAACCAAAGCTTTTGCCATTTGTAACCCATGTATTCCTAACCTTGTCGGCTTCTGGGTACAAAGGGGGTCACATTAATAGGTTGTATAGTTTGCACGATTATTATATATCTATAGTCACTAATTGGCCTAAATTTCACTAGTGTTTGCCAGCATCTGCATAAACCTTTGGGAACTAAGCACCTTCTAAGACCCACATATGTCCCTCTCTCCCCAGCCCTCACCAATATTTCCTGGCATTTCTGGGCTGTTTAACATGAGTTCATGGATCATCTCTTACTATTCATGTTGATGTTGGCTCAACTTAAAGCCCCTCATGGAAGTGATTTGCTGCTGTAGCTGCTACCAGGATTTATGAAAAAGTCGAGGCCAGTGACATGGGTCCTGCCTCTCTCTTGCTGCTTCCAAAGCTACCAACCTGTCAGGAGTTAGCATAGTGTCATGTTCCCTACTGTCCTCAGCACTTGGAAGCCCCTAAAGTAAAAATGTCTCTCTCCTTCACCATGGCACATTTTATTACCAGGGCACTAAAACAGTTATGTGGCAGCTCATTCACTTATGGTTTCTTATTAAAAAAAAAAAAAGTTTAACCTCTGCCTACAGTCCCCTCTGCAAGTTTCAGGTAAATGTCCATAGAGCAAGAAATCAAACCAAAATTAAGAAAAGTCCCATGATTTCTGCTCAATCTCAGGCTTTTGTCTCAGGCATCTGTTAAAAACAAACAAGCAAACAATACACACACCAAAAACTAAAAACCAAATGAACAAAACCAACAAACAACAAAAGCAAAACAGCCGCTTTCTCAGCCAACTTTTTTCAGAAATTGGTTTCTTGAGACCCTGACCAACATACCAGGTCTTCACATATGCCCAGGTATACTTAAACACCAGCTTAGGCTCCACAGGGTCTCCCCTCTATGTGATGTAAATGGAATGGAATATTTCTGTATTCCAACAGGATTTTTACCCCTTATGGCTTAGGGGAACATGATTTAACCCGAGATAAATACCTGAACCCAGATAATACTGATGGCTATGACAGGGTTCCCTGTGTTACATGTTCAGAGATGGACATGCATTGTTGCTTCTGCACATAAAGTTCTCAGAGTTGGTCCATTTCTGATTTGTAGCTTTGTTTCAGTAGTTTGGGTTGGTTACTACATTTTACATTGTAGTAACTTTATTTTATTGCTACTGTCACAACAAAGCAAAGCAGCTATTATCTTATAACAAACTAAAGCTACATTTCTAAAGCATCGCATCTAACCAAACTACAGTGCTATAACACCTAATTTACAGTTTATTCCAATTGCATGGACATGAGAAGCATACAATAAAAATAAAAAAATATATACCAGATTCCATTGGCTGAGCTGGGCCAAGCGCTTTGAAGTTTGGGAGGATGGTTATAAAACAGCTGAGGTTCTATGTTGCTCACAAGACTTCTATTTAGAGCTAGGCAGCTGAATACACATTAGGGCTAACTTAAAATTGTCCATGTGCTAGATTGACATCACACTCAGGTTCTCACATCTCTGTAGCCAAGCCAGAAGCCTGCTCCTCCAGGCTTGTGCAGAGTTGCCTTTTTAAAGCTGTAGACACTGCTGTGTAAGGGATTCCTAAAGGGCCTGCAAGGTGAGAGAGTCTTGAAGATGATCCAACAGGCCAACCAGTTAAAGGTTTGGAGGAATGTAAGCACAAAGGCAGAAATGTAAAGTAAGGTTTTTAAAAATGCCTTTATGAAAGTATACTTGTGTGTTTCCATTGATAGGTTGGCTCAGGTTAAAGTTAGAGATGAGCTACTCTAAAAATAAATAAGATATGAAGGCCTGATTCCCTTTTCTCTCTCACAGGTTCTTGCATAACATTGCACAGGTTCAGATGGCCTTACTATTCCTCTCTTACCCAAGACTAATTCTAGCTTCATGATTCAACCACTTCCACATGAAAGTGTATAAGATTATTACAAGTAACATTATAAATCACATGTGTTAGTCCCACCTTTCCCCCTCACTACATCAGCCTGATAGGATGCGCCCTTTCTCTGAGCTTCCACAATGCTCAGTTACTCCACAAACTGTGGCTCATACATCAGCTGCATAGTATCATCATATGGTTTGTATGTTTGTCCCCTCTGAATCTCATGTTGAAATGTCATGCCCAGATTTGAAGGTGGGGCCTGGTGGGAAGTTATTGGATCATGGGGCAGATCCCTCAGAATTGGTTTAGCTCCATCCTCTGGGTGATGAGTGAGTCCTTGCTCAGTCAGTTCACATGAGATCTGGTTGTTTAAAAGAGCGTGGCACCTCCCACCATCACTATCTTGCTCCAGCTCTGGCCATGTGACATGCTGCCTCCCTTTCACCTTCCACCATGATTGTAAGCTTCCTGAAGCGCACACCAGAAGCAGATGTTGGCACCACACTTCCTGTAAAGTCTGCAGAACCATGAGCCAATTAAACATCTTTTCTTAATAAATTATGCACTCTTAGGTATTCCTTTATAGTAATGAAAAAATGTCCTAACACAGATCACACTCAACAATGTAGGTGAAGAGGCATTTGGGGGTGGAATGATGGATCACCATACAGTGGCAAAGGAGTAGAAGAAGTTTAGAGTGATTCCCAGGTTCTGATGGTCATGGGTCTCCATGGTGGTGCCATTTCTTGAGACAAAGCACCTGGGAGGGGTAGAGATTTGTGAGGTCTGAGAGTCAATTGCCCCACTTTGTGTCTCCCTTGCACTTCTGTTCATATTTTTCATCCTAGCATGATTGGTGTCCACAGCTTAGTGCCCAGAAAACATTTGTTAATGACCATAGTAGCAGTGCACCCCTTTAAACCAGGACAAGAAAGGCCTCAGATATGTTTTAGAAGGCAGCCCTCTGCCCTCCGCCCTGCCTTTGCGGGGCTACAGGAGTGGGTTCAAGCAAATGCCCTCACTTCCAGACCATGTTTCACATAACCTGAACCCGCCTCCAAGGCCAGCATAGACTGTTCCCCTTACTGCTGCTTCCTGTGGGCAGACTATGCTGGTGGTATGTGCACATCTAGACTTCAGGAGTGGTTAAGTTGAGCCAGCAGTGGCTGTTTGCAGGGGTAAGATGCAAAGAAATTTGGATGTGCAGAGAGGAGAATCTTCCTAAGTCTGGTGTGAGATGCAGTCTGTATGGAAAGCGAGGGTGTTGTGTCATGAGGCAGGATTTGGGGACTGAAGTCCAGTCTTCTCTGGATCTCCAAGTGACCAGAGAGGAATTCCAAAGAATCCAAAAATTTTAATTTTGAGCCTAAATTTCCAGGTTATTAGAAATGAATCTTAACAAAAAAGAGATAAAATATTTATTAACATATTTTCTTAACTTGATATAAGTTAAATATTTAAATCTATGCTTCATGTACTTGTGGCTTGAGGCCTATAAAAGAGGCAGGGCTGAACGGGGGATCTGAGAAGCACTGTGATCAGGGTGCCCTAAGCATACTTCCTAGGATGTGGCACAAAGACTCCAAATGCAGAGCCTCATGATATTGGTGTGTCACTAAGTCAGACATGGAAAGAGAAATGCAACAGATTCAGGAAGCAAGAAATGGTCATAAGAAGTTGGACAGTGTATTAGTCTGTTCTCCAGCTATTAATAAAGACATACCGAAGGCTAGATAATTTATAAAGGAAAGAGGTTTCATTGACTCACAGTTCCACAATGCTGGGAGGCCTCACAATGATGGCAGAAGGTGAAGGAGGAGCAAAGCCACATCATACAGGCAAGAGAGCATGCACAAGGGAACTCCCCTTTATGAAACCATCACATCTCGTGAGACTTATTCACTATCATGAGAACAGCATGGGAAAAACCTGCCCCCATGATTTAATTACTTCTCACTGGGTCCCTCCGATGATATGTGGGGATTATTACAATTCAAGGTGTGATTTTGGTGGGGACACAAAGCCAAACCATATCAGACAGCAAGAGGGACTTGGTTCCTTTCTCCTAAATAAAATAGTTCCCAGTAACTCAGTCCCAGTCTGCTGTCTTCAAACTTAATCTATTCTCTCTGATCATATCATGCTATTTTTTTTCTTAGTATTTGAAAGAATAACATTACAGTACAGTATTTGATTTGTCTCTCCCCACCCTACCTCCTGGGTGTTTTACTGAATTTTTTTGTGTTTTCATAAACTGCAACACTCCTCCATATTCTGTCCATCATTTTAAGGGTTAGAATACTTTGTTTTTCTTCAGTTTTTAGTAACGTCTGTATTTCCCAAATCCTAATTATTGTTTTAACTGTTTCTTATCCTCTCACCCTTTTTTCCCCACCATTCTTTTCTTCTTTTCTTTTCTTTTCCTTTCTTTTCTTTTCTTTCTTTTTTTTTTTTTTTTTTTTTTGAGACAGGGTTTCACTCTGACACCCAGGCTGGAGTTCAGCGGTGCGATCTCAGCTCACTGCAGCCTTGGCCTCCCAGGCACAGGTGATCCTCCCACCTCAGCCTCCCAAGTATCTGGGACTACAGGCGCAAACCACCATGTCTGGATAATTTTTTTTTTATTTTTTGTAGAGACAGGGTTTCACCATGTTGCCCATGCTGGTCTTAAATTCCTGACCTCAAGTGATCCGCCAGCCTTGGCCTCCTGAAGTGCTGAGATTACAGGCGTGAGCCACCAGGCCCAACCCCCACCACACTTTTTCTATCTTCCTTCCCTATTTCCTGGTTCATGTATAATGGAGAGCAGTCATATAGCTATATCAGGACCATTTGATTTTCTCAACACTTACTGGACAAAAATACTTAAGCCAGAGTACAGAGAAGTAGCTCCAGGCTTTACAGGGAGCTAGGGGATGAGCTACATATAGGGGAGAGCACACATTCTATCACTCCTTTGCTTAAGGGTAATAAGGTAAAATGTGGAGGAAAAGGGGGATGGTTTGTTAAGAAGAGGATGAAGAAGATGATGTGAAAGTGATTGCAAGAGAAAGATTGGCGGGACCTTTGAAGGAAGGAGACATTCATAACTTATGGCTGAGTTTCTGTGGCAATTCACTGAATTAAAGAATTACCTTCCTTGTACTACACATCTCTTTAGTTGCTAGAGGGGAATGATAGTGAATGGCCATTGCAGGGAGAGCTTCACGGATGCTTATTGAAAGGCATCTATCTGCTCACCTGGTACTTCTACAAGAATTAGAAGATCCTGCTCTCATGATGCTTAAAGTGTTCCCAAGGAACCGATGTTTACACACATGAAGGTAACATAAGTTGGAGCTGTTTTCTCAGAACAGGCATAGGGAAGTAATGGGTATCTCTCTTTTGCACAGCCAGGCCAACACACATACATGTAAGAGCAATTTTCACCCTGCCTGTGGCACACGAAACCAGTTGTAACACTTCGGTTTCCCCATATTATCTGCCTCCTCTGCCTGGGCACAGATCCTTGGCACACACTGGAGCAGTATTTCTACTTCTTTCTGTGTAGTCCAAAACCTTTATGGTTGGGCTCTTTCTGGTGGTTATACTTGTACAAAACAAGGGAGTAGCAACTCTTTTGTTCTTTTTTGTCTATTTTATATAAAGCATTCAGCCAGTACACTCTGCTTCTTGTCCTACTCACTCTGAAAATAGTGACTTTTTTTTTTAACTAGCCATGAACCACAGGTCATATATGACTTGGGCATAATATGCATATATTATATATGTATATATAATATCTGTATACATAATATGTATATTTTATTGGACTTCAGGAAAACAGCCAAAGGCTGTAGCAAAGTTAAGAACTCCCAAGTTAAGAGATCTTGCAGAGTCTATTTTCTTTTTCATATGAAAAGCCATTCTTTTGATGGAACAAACAGTGCTACATACACTACTCTGTACTTGGATGGTATGACTTAGCCTCCATATTGTAATGTCTGGTGGTGCAATGTTTCGTTTTCCGAAAGCTGCGTGCAATACTAGGGAAAATGTAGACTTTCTGCAAATAGTGCAAGTTCAACACCAGTCCTACTGTTTTCAGCTATATGACCTTGAATAAGTTTCTTAATTTCACTGGTCTTTAGTTTCCTTATCTGTAAAATGGGTTAATAGAAATACTTACCTCCCTGGATTTTGAGACTTACATGAAATGATTGTTTAACTAGGACTTGGCACGTAGATACTCAGTGTATGTGAGTTTTTTATTCTTTCCCACCCTTACCATGAGGTCTTCCTGCATTCCTGAGAGGAAGTGAAATAGAGTGGTTGAGGGAATGGGTATTAGAATTATGCTCTCTCATTTTACTGCCCTGGAACCCTGAGCAAGTTTCTTAACCTATCTTTACAATTGGAATTAACAATTGAACTCATTTCACAGGGTTATAATGTGAATGAAAAATAATTATATGAAATGATTAATCCTGAGCCTCTTCCAAATAATGTCTGGAAATACTGTGTGTTTTTTTTTTTTTTTTATCACACTGTGCCTTGGCTACTTATGGCCTTCTCTAGCCCTATCCTAGCAGAGCACTGATGCATTCTATGGAGAGGCTCCATTGTAACCAGTTCCTGAGCCAGTGTGGACCAAAGCATGCCACCAGCTAAGTGATCTGAAATTAGTCTGTAATACAGGAAATATTTTTACAGATATCCTCATGTATTTTAATTTCCACCTTGAAAATGTTTTGCCCTTACAGCCTTTTTTTTTTCCCTCTCAGACTGTGCCCTGTGGTGTAGTGCCCCAAGGCGGGAAGTAGGGATTTCTTGACTTTTTAGCAAGATATGAGATTGAAGCCAGATTAAGAAGATTCTACTACAGTAGTTTAAGCTAAGGGAATGCAGACAGAAGAGGAAGGATTGTGGCTGGGGTCAGGGAGCCAAATCTTTCTACCTCTGGATAATGGTGGAAAGAAGGAGATTGAAATGTGGGGGAAAAGAAAGCTATTAGATGTAAAGGGTCAAGATGGCTCTTCTTTGGACTGCAGTTTGGAGAAGGCAGATGTGCTAGAGTAGTATAGGAATTATTGTTAAGTAAGAGGAAATATTGCCCAGATTCCCAATTGGGACTCTAGAATAGACTGCCTCTTGGCTGCTTTTCTTTTCCACCTACATCCTTCTTTCCTAACCCTACCTTACCAACCTTTATTGCAACCTTATGAAAGTAAATTTGGTTGCCCGGCCTGGTTAGCCAGAGAGAAGTCCTTCAACTCATCTTTCACAAATGGAAGTGAATGTTCATTGCAAGGAAAGCTCCTTCACTGATACTTATTGAAAGGCATCTACCCACTGCACTCACTGTTATATCCTGCATGTCATGGCAGAGACCCACAAGTTCCGGTATCTTCTTTGGAAGAGATTTCAAAGGCAGTTGCGTTGAGATCCAGTTGGATTGTGATAACACCGCCTGTGCCAATAGACAGGTAGCCTTCAGCAGAGCCTGAAGATGGGTCACCTATCTATGGGGGATGGAAGGAGAATCAGATTTAAGGTAAAGGTAGGTTTCCATGGGGAGTTACACAGTCCCTATAAAGCCAAGAGATGTCACGAGTTACATAAGTAACAGACATCACTCAACGCCCACCAAGGGCAAGAGGTATTTCTGTATATCCTCACCTTCCATCTCTGTGTAATTTCTCTTTTTAGGAAAATCATATGACATGGGTGACCTGCATTCAGAGTGGGCTAGAGGCCTGCAGCTAAGATTGTAACTCTTTGCATAATGAAGATGGAATGGTGCAGAGAATTAGTTCTGTCATCCAATTTATGATGGCCACCACCACTCCACTCTTGGCTAGACTTTGGGAATTTGAGCTAGATTCCCATTGCATGCCAGTGGGAAGAGCAGGCCAAAGAGGAGAAGGACAGTACAGTGACCAAGCCCATAGCCTGGATTTGCACACAGCCAACAGCAAAGTAGGCCCTGGAAAATTGGTCAGGGGACATGAGCAGTTGAAGTAACTTAATCTGATTTTAATAAATATGGGGATTTTATTTTCTCAAAAAAATAACATGAACAAAAAAAAGAACCAATGCAAATATCCCCTCATACCAATTAATGCCTTGTGGCTAAACTTCAGCTTTGTGCTGAAATGGGCATTCTCAGTTTCTTTTTAGTTATTTGCTAAAAAAGAAATTGCATATTGCAAAATACTTAACAGGCATAAACTTAAATTCTGATTTTTATACATAAAATGTCCAAATTCATTATGTTAAAAATGAAACTGACAAATATTCACAGTTAGCTATGCACCATGAGAAACAGAAATAAAAGGCCAAGGTATGAGGCTGGCAATCAAGTTACAGTGACAGATGCTAAAGTGTGAGGAGCTAGTGGCGCTGATAACAGGAAAAGATAAACTGAGGCACAGCATACTGGGTAACCAAGAAACAGAGAAAGAAGAGATCATCTCAGCCTTTGGTGATTGGTGGGATGAGGCAGAACTAGATAAAGGGTGGGAATGGGCAGTCATGGGCAGACCAATCTACAAAACATGCTCTAAATCAGAAAGATAGTACCAGTTAGCACGGCAGGAAACTCCTTGCAGACTTTCACACTGTAAATTGGCCCAACTACTACAAAGTAAAGCATCACTATGGTATGGAAAGTAACAAACCCATGTCATTGGTATTACAACCTCACTAGAAGATTTTTGCAAATTGGGAGGTATAACCCAGGTTTGCCTCCAATTCCAAGAGCAGCTTTTGGACATCATAGTCATTGGAAGCTGAAATTATATAATAGAACAATAGGTGGTTATACAATTTACCTGGACAAACACTTTACCAGTATGAGTAGCCAGTGCTAGCTGTTTATTAATACAAATAGCAGAGGAAAGGTGCTGCAACGTAAGATGCAATTCCAAAGAAGTTGAAATGTTTTGTCACATTCAATCCATCTTATGAATGTGCAGAAAAAGGCAAACAAATTTCATTATTTAAAATTTGGTATTTGCACCAAATTATTAGCTGGTTATGGCGTCCATTTTTCTCAGTCTACCCCTGAATAGAGGCACCATTTGAGCTAGGTGTTAAACAGTGGGCAGGATTTGAACATGCAAATAGTAAAGACACCTATAAGGCAGGAGAAGTAAACTTCTGGCAGGGAGGTCTCTTCTCTACCTGGTCCTCCACTCTAATATGTAAAATTTGGGGCGTTCACATAGCAGTACTTGTTGGGCTCATTTGTCAAACAGAAAAGACCTAATTAATGTCCCATTTTCTTTAGTATGTACCCTAAAAGATGTATGGCAACTTGGCTTTCCTGAAATCTCAGCCAGACTCTAGGGTAGCGTGGTGTGGATGAAGAGTATGGGCTGTGGAATCGGGCAGGCTTGGGTTTGAATTCTGGCTCCATCTTGTACTGACTGTGAACCTTCTCTGAATTTACTTATCCTTACTAGAGAGGATTTAGTCTCTTTTAAAAATGGGAACAATATCAATTATCATGTAGAGATGTTGTATTATTTGAGATAACACATGTAAAGCATCTATCACCTGGGAATAACTCAATGAAAAGAAGTTTTGATCATTAGTTTGAAGCTTTGTCTTTCCCATTGCAAAACTGGCAAAGAAGCACCATGTCCTTCCTTCTGCTCCAACCAGTCTGCACTGCCTGTGGTTTTGGGATAGCAAGTCCGCACTTGACACATATTCAAATGGACACTTTCCTGCCATACCTTGACATTGTCTGGTTTGATAATTTGCCGATCTCTTTGCCGTAGAAGATTCACCCAAACCTGAATGGGATTGGGTTTCCATGACCCGTGAGTCAATTGCCATGGTAAGTGACATGGTTTGGATATTTTCTCCTCCAGATCTCATGTTGAAATGTGATCCCCAGTGTTGAAGGTAGAGCCTAGTGGGAGGTGTTTGGGTCATGGGGGTGAATCCCTTATGAATGGCTGGGTGCTCTTCCTGTCGTAATGAGTTCACAAGAGATTTCACTGTTAAATAGAGTTGGGGATCTCCCACTTCTCTCTCTTGCTCCCCCTCTTTCCATGTGGTATGCCGACTCCCCCTTTGCCTTCTGCTCTGATCGTAAGCTTCCTGAGGCCTCTCCAGAAGCAGAGGTTGGTACCATGCTTTTTATATACAGCCTGCAGAAACATGAGCCAAAATAAACCTCTTTTCTGTATAAATTATATTTACAGAAAATATGTATATACAGAAAATACAAACAAAACTCTTAGAACAGTACTTGCACACAGTTAGCATTCATTTTCTCTATAAATTGCCTAGTCTCTGTATAAATTACCTAGTCTTATGTATATACATATTATATATATAATATTATATACATATATATGTGTATAATACACATATTATACATATGTATAATATATAATACATATAATATACGTTATATGTAATATATAATATATATAATATATGTATTATATATAATATGTATATATGTATTATTTATATATATTATACATATATATAAAATATATATATATACACATATTATGCCCATTTCTTACCTAGTCAGTGCAAAATGGACTAACACAGTAGGGAATCTACTTGCACAATATTTTATACCCTGCAGTGAACCATGGTGACTATGTATTTTGTTTGCCATCATACTTCTCCAACTCTCTTTGAGTAAAGTCTCCTCCATTTAGCCATAGGATTGGAGTATGACCCAAGCCTAGCCATTTACAGTACACCACTGTGTACAGTACACCACTGTGTACAGTACACCACTGTGTACAGTACAGGCCACTGTGTTTTGTTCAAGACAGAGTCATATGACTCAAGCTGGACTAGCTGATACACTGGAAGAAAAAAAAGCTGTTGATTCCTCAAGAGTTATTAAGCTACTTCTGTTGAATCTGGTTCTACCAGAAGCTATTTCGTTACCATCTGAAGAGAATCTTTCTTTTGTATTAAGAGCTAACATTAATTGAATGCTAACTGTGTGCAATTACTATTCTAAGAGTTTTGTTTGCATTTTCTCACTTAAATCTCACAATACCCTTATCTTGTATATAATGTTATTATTAGAGAGATGAGGAAATTCAGGCACAAAGAGGTAAGGTAACTTGCTCAATGTTACATTGACAGAAAGTGATAGGATTTGAATTTATGCAAGCTGTGTTACTATTCTCTAGGCCAGTGGTTCTCAACTGGGGGCAACATTTTCCCTGAGGGGACATATAGCAACCTCTGGAGACACCTCTGTTTTTCACAACTTGAGACCAAGATGCTACTGTTATCTAGGGGATAGAGGCCAGGGAAGATGCTAAGCATCCTAAAGTGCACAGGACAGTTACCCTACAACAAATAATTACCTAGCCTCACATTTCAATAGTACTGATTTGAGAAACCCTACTTTAGGCTGTTCAAGTTTCCTAGTGCTGACAAACAGAAATGAGAGAAGAGTGGAAGTGTGGACCAATGGTAGCACTGGTCCTTGAGCTCCCAATACCGTGTGCTGGCCTCAAAACATTCCCAGCTACTTAAGTCAAAAGGAAATACCTCAGTCAAACTTTACTCAACATGAAGGGCATCCTTATGGTTGCAAGCAGGAGCATCTTGACCAATACATATACAAAGGTTGCAAGCAGGAGAATCTTGACCAATACATATCCAAAGCCCATTTTCAGTCTACTCTAGTCACCACCATTGGAAAAGACGTGGATGATTTCTGTGTATGTCGCTTGTCCACTTTAGACTACAAGGACTATAGTGATTTTTTTTTCTCTACCTATGAAGATGCTTAATTGGCACTTTCAGGAAAAAGTGATAGTGATGAGCTATAAGCCATCACATGTATCACACAGGTCAGTATGGAAATGATCCTCAACAATATTTTTCTTTACCTTTAATTTAGAATTTAAAATTCAGTGAGATAATTTATCAAACATTTAGGTTTAGAGGCAAATGCATGCTCATCACTTCTGCTCCAGGAGCCATTTATTTTTATATTTATTTATTTATTTATTTATTTTTTGTTATACTTTAAGTTCTAGGGTACATGTGCACATCGTGCAGGTTTGTTACATATGCATACATGTGCCATGTTGGTGTGCTGCACCCGTTAATTCATCTTTTACATTAGGTATATCTCCTAATGCTATCCTTCCCCCCTCCCCCAACCCCAAAAAAGGCCCTGGTGTGTAATGTTCTGCACCCTGTGTCCAAGTGTTCTCATTGTTCAATTCCCACCTATGAGTGAGAACATGCGGTGTTTGATTTTCTGTCCTTGCAATAGTTTGCTGAGAATGATGGCTTCCAGCTTCATCCATGTCCCTACAAAGGACATGAACTCATCCTTTTTTATGGCTGCATAGTATTCCATGGTCTATATGTGCCACATTTTCTTAATCCAGTCTATCACTGATGGACATTTGGGTTGGTTCCAAGTCTTTGCTATAGTGAATAGTGCCACAATAAACATACGTGTGCATGTGTCTTTATAGTAGCATGATTTATAATCCTTTGGGTATATGCCTAGTAATGGGATGGCTGGGTCAAATGGTATTTCTAGTTGTAGATCCTTGAGGAATCACCACACTGTCTTCCACAATGGTCGAACTAGTTTACAGTCCCACCAACGGTGTAAAAGTGTTCCTATTTCTCCACATCCTCTCCAGCACCTGTTGTTTCCTGACTTTTTAATGATAGCCATTCTAACTGGTGTGAGATGGTATCTCATTGTGGTTTTGATTTGCATTTCTCTGATGGCCAGTGATGATGAGCATTTTCTCATGTGTCTGTTGGCTGCATAAATGTCTTCTTTTGAGAAGTATCTGTTCATATCCTTTGCTCACTTTTTGATGGGGTTGTTTGATTTTTTCTTGTAAATTTGTTTAAGTTCTTTGTAGATTCTGGATATTAGCCCTTTGTCAGATGGGTAGATTGTAAAAATTTTCTCCCATTCTGTAGGTTGCCTGTTCACTTTGATAGTAGTTTCTTTTGCTGTGCAGAAGCTCTTTAGTTTAATTAGATCCCATTTGTCAATTTTGGCTTTTGTTGCCATTGCTTTTGGTGTTTCAGTCATGAAGTCCTTACCCATGCCTATGTCCTGAATGGTATTGCCTAGGTTTTCTTCTAGGGTTTTTATGGTTCTGGTCTAACATTTAAGTCTTTAATCCATCTTGAATTAATTTTTGTATAAGGTGTAAGGGAGGGATCCTGTTTCAGCTTTCTATGTGTGGCTAGCCAGTTTTCCCAGTACTATTTATTAAATAGGGAATCGTTTCCCCATTTCTTGTTTTTGTCAGGTTTGTCGAAGATCAGATGGTTGTAGATGTGTGTTATTATTTCTGAGGTCTCTATTCTGTTCCATTGGTCTATATCTCTGTTTTGGTACCAGTACCATGCTGTTTTGGTTACTGTAGCCTTGTAATATAGTTTGAAGTCAGGTAGCATGATGCCTCCAGCTTTGTTCTTTTTGCTTAGGATTGTCTTGGAAATGCGGGATCTTTTTGGTTCCATATGAACTTTAAATTGGTAGCTTGATGGGGATGGCACTGAATCTATAAATTACCTTGGGCAGTATGGCCATTTTCACAATATTGGTTCTTCCTATCCATGAGCATGGAATGTTCTTCCATTTGTTTGTGTCCTCTTTTATTTCGCTGAGCAGTGGTTTGTAGTTCTCCTTGAAGAGGTCCTTCACATCCCTTGTAAGTTGGATTCCTAGGTATTTTATTCTCTTTGAAGCAATTGTGAATGGGAGTTCACTCATGATTTGGCTCTCTGTTTGTCTGTTATTGATGTATAGGAATGCTTGTGATTTTTTCCCATTGATTTTGTATCCTGAGACTTTGCTGAAGTTGCTTATCAGCTTAAGGAGATTTTGGGCTGAGACAATGGGGTTTTCTAAATATAGAATCATGTCATCTCCAAACAGGGACAATTTGACTTCCTCTTTTCCTAATTGAATACCCTTTATTTTTTTCACCTGCCTAATTGCCCTGGCCAGAACTTCCAACACTATATTGAATAGGAGTGGTGAGAGAGGGCATCCCTGTCTTGTGCCAGTTTTCAAAGGGAGTGCTTCCAGTTTTTGCCCATTCAGTATGATGTTTTATTTGCCATAATAGCTCTTCTTATTTTGAGATACGTCCCATCAATACCTAATTTCTTGAGAGTTTTTAGCATGAAGACTGTTGAATTTTGTCAAAGGCCTTTTCTGCATCTATTGAGATAATCATGTGGTTTTTGTCATTGCTTCTGTTTATATGATGGATTAAGTTTGTTGGTTTGCGTATGTTGAACCAGCCTTGCATCGCAGGGTTGAAGCCAACTTGATCTTGGTGGATAAGCTTTTTGATGTGCTGCTGGATTCAGTTTGCCAGTATTTTATTGAGGATTTTTGCATCGATGTTCATCAGCGATATTGGTCTAAAATTCTCTTTTGTGTGTGTGTCTCTGCCAGGCTTTGGTATCAGGATGATGTTGGCCTCATAAAACGAATTAGGGAGGATTCCCTCTTTTTCTATTGATTGGAATAGTTTCAGAAGGAATGGTACCAGCTCCTCTTTGTACCTCTGGTAGAATTCAGCTGTGAATCTGTCTGGTCCTGGACTGTTTTTGGTTGGTAGGCTATTAATTATTGCCTCAATTTCAGAACCTGCCATTGGTCTCTTCAGGGATTCACCTTCTTCCTGGTTTAGTCTTGGAAGGGTGTATGTGTCCAGGAATTTATCCATTTCTTCTAGATTTTCTAGTTTATTTGTGTAGAGGTGTTTATAGTATTCTCCGATGGTAGTTTGTATTTCTGCGGGATTGGTGGTGATATCCCCTTTATCATTTTTTATTGCATCTATTTGATTCTTCTCTCTTTTCTTCTTTATTAGTCTTGCTAGTGGTCTATCAGTTTTGTTGATCTTTTCAAAAAACCAGCTCCTGGATTCATTGATTTTTTGAAGGATTTTTTTGTGTCTCTGTCTCCTTCAGTTCTGCTCTGATCTTAGTTACGTCTTCTGCTAGCTTTTGAATGTGTTTGCTCTTGCTTTTCTAGTTCTTTTAATTGTGATGTTAGGGTGTCAATTTTAGATCTTTCCTGCTTTCTCTTGTGGGCATTTAGGGCTATAAATTTCCCTCTACACACTGCTTTGAATGTGTCCCAGAGATTCTGGTATGTTGTGTCTTTGTTCTCATTGGTTTCAAAGAATGTCTTTATTTCCACCTTCATTTTGTTACGTACCCAGTAGTCATTCAGGAGCAGGTTGTTCAGTTTCCATGTAGTTGAGCGGTTTTGAGTGAGTTTCTTAATCCTGAGTTCCTTAATCCTGAGTTCTAGTTTGATTGCACTGTGGTCTAAGAGACAGTTTGTAATAATTTCTGTTCTTTTACATTTGCTGAGGAGTGCTTTACTTCCAACTATGTGGTCAATTTTGGAATAAGTGCTATGCGGTGCTGAGAAGAATGTATATTCTGTTGATTTGGGGTGGAGAGTTCTGTAGATGTCTATTAGGTCCACTTGGTGCAGAGCTGAGTTCAATTCCTGGATATCCTTGTTAACTTTCTGTCTCGTTGATCTGTCTTATGTTGACAGTGGGGTGTTAAACTCTCCCGTTATTATTGTGTGTGAGTCTTAGTCTCTTTGAAGGTCTCTAAGGACTTGCTTTATGAATCTGGGTGCTCCTGTATTGAGTGCATATATATTTAGGACAGTTAGCTCCTCTTGTTGAATTGATCCCTTTACCATTATGTCTTTGTCTCTTTTGATCTTTGTTGGTTTAAAGTGTGTTTTATGAGAGACTAGGATTGCAACCCGTGCTTTTTTTTGTTTTCCATTTGCTTGGTAGATCTTCCTCCATCCCTTTATTTTGAGCCTATGTGTGTCTCTGCATGTGAGATGGGTCTTCCAGGAGCCAATTTTATGTACGTTTTACTTTTCCTCTCTTTGCATCCAGTTTGGAATTCTTTCTTGTCTTATATAAATAATAATAGACTGATATGTTCCAAGAACAAATAACAATTCTTTGTGTCTGTGTGCCTGAAGGTCAACAAACCACTTTCATTTTTAGTTAGAATAAAATAACTACCAACACCTAGAAACAAATAGAGAGCTGGAAAAGAAAAGAAAGACAGTCTACATGTAACACCTAGAAAAGCTACAAATTCAGGAAACACAGAATAGACCTGGAAAATAGCCTGAAAGTCTCTTTCTGTGTGTTTCACAGCAACTACCAATATATGGGATGCTAATATTTATTTAAGAATCCCATACTCATGGCATTGTGTTATGTATTGGGCATATCACTTGTTTCTGGCAATGAGGTACACATCTTGACATTTAATAGTAATGAATTTTAGAGGGCAACTCTTCTCTCCCCACTTTTATATTTTGCTCTGTTTTGGGACTTGGCTTTTTGTTTGTTTGTTTGTTTGTTTTGAGAGAGTCTTGCCCTGTTGCCCAGGCTGGAGTACAGTGGCTCAATCTCGGCTCGCTGCAAGCTCCGCCTCCCGGGTTCATGCCATTCTCCTGCCTCAGCCTCCTGAGTAGCTGGGACTACAGGCGCCCACCACCACACCTAGCTAACTTTTTTGTATTTTTAGTGGAGATGGGGTTTCACCATGTTGGCCAGGATGGTCTTGATCTCCTGACCTCGTGATCTGCCCACCTCAGCCTCCCAAAGTGGCTATTTTTATAGGACTGGGTTCTTCATATACCACTATCTCAAATTATGAAATGCATCTTTAAGTAAACCAAATCTTATATAATTGATTGAATTACATTGACATTTTTAGGAGCCCTTAGTTGTTTTCTGTGGGGTCTGTTGATTTAAAACATTTCAAGTTTTTCACTGAAGCTAACATTTGCTTAGTTTTTTACTACTAATTTCTTTAATCTGATTAAAATAAATGACCTTTCAGGATCTCTGTTTTGTGATGGAGTTATTAAATAATTCTTAACAGACTTCTTTAGGGGGTCACAGAGAAGATAAAAAACCCTGGCTTTGCAGGGCTCCAATGAAACCACTATGGTTGCTATCAAGATATATTAGAATCCGAAAGTTCTCATGAATGTCAGCCATTGAATTGGATTATATTTTCTAGGTGTTCTTATATTTTCTCTCTGTGTTTTATTCATACTTCAATTACATGCCATCATTTTCCTCTGTTAAAACAACTGCAAAACGTATTGTCTCCCATCCTCCCTAAACTTTGCTAGCACAGATTATATAATTCACTGCCTTATCTGGTTTCATGTGAATATCTTTTTACTCCAATTAGATAGTGAGCTTGAGGGAATGGATTATAAAACACATTTCTCTCAAGTCTAGCAAAATGCTGTCTAGGTGTCCAGTAAATATCTGTTTAATAAGTTGAAAGGCAGCATGGTAAAGCAGAAAAAGCCTAGCTGGAGGTTTAGTCATACCTATTAGCTATGTACAGTGCAAAAATTAAATCTCTGTCTCAGTTCCCTTCATCTGTAATATCTCTATTTTTTTCTGGCCATTGCATATTAATTGGTGCTAGACGTACCCTTACTTCAAACAAACAACTGGTAAACTGGACAAACTATATGAAATAATTGTTCTTATATGTTGGACAACAGATAACACACAACTGAGATCCCTGACGAAAAGGAAGTAAGTGAGGTAAGACCTGAACTCACATGGCTTTCTGCCAGGAAGCATGTAACAAACCATGAGAAAGGGAGGAGAAATCACAGAGAAGAATCTTATCACTGAGGTGAGAAGACAGATTTTGGAATGTAAGAGGATGAGGTGGCTAGAACTTGTGATGCAGAGCAGTGCAGAGGGGGCAGAAACACAGAGAAAGAGCTCTAGGAATCTATTAGGGTTCTTCATGAGTTTCTGATTGGATATTGCAAAGAGGGAAGCTATAAAAGCCTCGGCAAAGAAAAAACACTGGATCACAGCAAGCTGAGCAATTCCTAGAATCCACACAGGGCTGGAAGACATTCATATTTGTAACAGCCAGATTGAAGGGAAAAATTTCAACATCACAAAAGAAAAGTGATGTCACCATAGACCTTAAATTCATAAATGCATATAAAGACAACATTATAAGAAACGTTAAGTCAGTAAATTTGACAACTTAGATGAAATAGAGAAGTTGCTTGAAAGACAGAAATTACCAAAAACTGACACTAGAATAAATAGAAAATATAAATAGCAATATATGTGTTTAAAAAATGCAATTGGTAATTTAAAAAATGTTTCTAAAATAAGAATTCCAGAGCCAGATAGCTTCACTGGTGAATTCTGTCAATCATTTAAGAAAAATCACACCAATTTTATATGAAACCTTTCAAATATTAGAGGACAGGGCATATTGTAACACAGCTCTGAAACCATCATTATCATGACTCCCAAGACAAAGATGTTATCAAACAAACAAACAAACAAACAAACCCAAAACAAACTATAGATCCCTATTCCTCAAGAATATAGATTAAAAACTCCTAAATAAAATGCTATCAAATCAAATTCTGCAATTATATGAACTGTATGATACAAGATGACCAAGTGAACTTTATCCCAAAAGTGCAAGGTTAGTTGAATATTCACCAGTCAATACAAAATCACCATATTACCACAATAAATGAGGTAAATCGTGTGTGTGTGTTAATCATAATAGTTGCAAAATCATTAGCAAAATTCAATATCCACTCGTGATACAGTCATCAGACTGGGAATAGAAGGGATTTCTTCAACCTGATAAAAAGCATGTATGAGGAAATCTAAAGATAACGTTTTATTTAATGGTGAAAAAACTATGTCCTTGAGATCGAGACTAAGCAAGAATTTCCTTTCTCATCACTTATACTCAGCATTACATTGAGAATCTTAATCAGTGCAAGACAAAACAAAGCAAAACGCACACACAGACACACATACACACACACAAGAAAGCACAAAAGACATACAATTTGAAAGGAATAGGGAGAATGGTCTTTATTCACAGAATACTTGATTGTGTACCTAGAAAATTCTAAGAGATTTACCAAAAACTACTTGAAGTGAATTTAACACAGTTAAGAATACAAAGTAATATACAAAATTTATTGTATTTCTATATATAAGCAAAGTACAATGACAAAAACATGAAATAATTAAGGATAAATTTTTATATATGTAAGATTTATATTCCGAAAACTACAAACCACTGCAGATACAAATGAAAGGAAACCTAAAGAAATGGAGAGAGATATATCATGTTCATGCATCAGAATGGCCAATAGAAATTATATGTCAAATATCCTTGAACTGATTTATAGACTTAACATAATCATAATCAAAATAATGCCACCTTTCCTTTTGGTAGTAATTGGTAACTTTTTAATAAAATTTACCCAGTAATGCAAATGACATAGGGTAATCAAAGTGATTATAAACTAGAAGCATAATATTGCAGAATTTACTATCTTAGCTTAAGCTACGAAAACAAAATACCACAAACAGTGAGGCTTAAAAAACAGGAATCTATTTCTCACAGTTCTGAAGACTGGGAAGTACATGATCAAGTTGCCAGCTGATTTAGTTCCTGGGGAGGGCCCTCTTTCTGGCTTGTAGAGAGCTGCCTTTCCACTGGGTCCTTACATAGGGGGAGAGATAGAGACAGACAGAGAGAGAGAGAGCAAGCTCTGCGGTGTCTCCTCTTACAAGGACACTAATCCTAGTGAATCAGTGTACTGCCCTTATGATCACTTAACCTTAGTTACTTCCTTACTCCAGATATACTCACATTGAGGGTTAGAGCTTCAACATATAAATTTTGGAAGGACACAGTTCAGTCCACAGCACTTAGAGTATCTTATTTCACAACGTAATGCTTACTATAAAGTCATAGTAATTAAGGAAGTAGATACTGGCCTAAAGATAGAAATGTAGATCAGATAAACAGAACAGTCTATAAGTAAATCACACATTTGTGGTCAATTGATTTTTTACAAAGTTGCCAAATTAATTCAGTGGGGAAGGATGATCTTTTCAACAAATTGTGCTGAAACAACTGGACATCCAAATGTAAAAATGTATGAAGCATTAGCTTTGCTTTACATCATCTACAAAATTTAATTCAAAATAGATTATAGTCCTCAACCTAAAGCTACAACTATAAAATTTCTAGAAAGAACCACGGGATAATATCTTTATGATCTTGGGTTAAGCAAAGTCTTCTTAGACAGGGCACACTTATTCATTAAAAATATTAGATTTTATCAAAATAAAAACTAACTTATAACTTCTGTTCTTTGGAAGATCTCTTAAGAAAATGAAGTGGTAAATCACAAAGTGAGAGAAAACATTTGCGAACTTTTTTTTTTTTTTTTTTTTTTTTTCTGAAATGTAGTCTCACTCTGTCGCCCAGGCTGGATATGGAGTGCAGTTGGTACTATCTCGGCTCACTGCAACCTCTGCCTCCTGATTTCAGGTGATTATCTTGCCTCAGCCTCCCGAATAGCTGGGATTACAAGCGTGTGCCACCACACCTGGCTAATTTTTGTATTTTTAGTAGAGACAGGTTTTCACAATGTTGGCCAGGCTGGTCTCGAACTCCTGACCTCAGGTGATCTGCCCACCTTGGCTTCCCAAAGTGCTAGGATTACAGACATGAGCCACGGCGCCTGGTCCTTGCAAACATTTTTATTCAGAATGTATAAAAACTATTATAAATCTACTGTAAGAATACTAACTATCCAATTAATTTTTTTAGACAGTCAAAAACTTTCAAAAGACTTGACCAGAAACGTCATGAAAGAAGATATTTGAATGGCCAATAAATACATGAAAAGATGCTCGTCATAATCTTCATAATCATAATCATAAGAGAAATGCAATTAAAACCACAATGAGGCAACATTACATGTCCACTACAAAAGCTAAAAATAAAAATAAAAAAAATGACAAGACCAAATGTTGTCAGCGATGTGGAGCAACTGGAATTCTTGAACATCTGATGGGAGTGTAAAATTTTATCATCACTTTGGGAAACAGTTTGGCAGTTCCTTAGAAAGTGAAATATACATTTACCATATGACCCAGCAATTCCACACTTCAGTGTTTACCCAAGAGAAAATGTATCCACACAAGGATTTGTACATAAATGTTCACTGCAGCTTTATTCATCACAGTTGAAAACTGGAACCAAGCCAAATGTCAAAAAACTGGCGAGTGATAACCAAATTGTTGTATATTCATACGATGGAATACTACTTGGTAATAACAAAGAATGAACTATGCAACCTGAACTATGTAGTAACATGAATGAATCTTAGAAAACATGGATGATGAGTAAGGTAATCTGACACCAAAGAGTACACACATTGTATGTTTCTTTTATAAGAAATTCTAGCCCAGGCAAAACTAGTATATACTGTGAGAAAGCAAATCTGTGTTTGCCTAGGGCCAGGGTTGCGGGAAAATTGAAGATGAGCACAGTTGTTTCTGGAAATTTGGGGGAACTTAGAACTTTGATTATAGTTTTGTTCACATGGATATGTAAATTTATTAAATCCCATCAAACTATACATTTAAAATGGGTATGTTATGTTGTATGGAGTGGATAATTTAATAAAGATAGTTCATCGTGTTCTTACCAATACATAACTAAAAGAAAATGGTACAGGATTAAATGATATAAGGTGTGTAGCTGCCAGTACTGTGCTTGGTAGTTAGTAGGTTTCACAAAAGGTGGCTCTCTCTCCTATTTCTTTGTCTTCTCTTGCAGCAAATTCAAAACTTTCTACCCACTCTGGAAAATATTAATATGTTTCAAATTTCTATACATGTATAATAGTGATTGTTTTAGACCCAATGAACTTTAATTGTTGGGTATTCTTGGGTAACAATATTTTTAGAACTTTGATACATTTTGGTAACCATTTGTAAGATAGTTTTATTTTATTTACATTCTTATGAGAACTAATTGAAATGAGACTGGTGATACAAGTCAACTATTGCGTCAGAGCTAACCAATTTGAAGATAAAGAATTGAGGTGGGGTTGAAGTGGGGGTAGAAGGCAGTGAAGAGCACTGGATTGAAAAGTGATAAGATTACTTCTTTGGGTTAAATGGTAATTAGATTACTGGTCCATACCTAAATGTTTTATGAGTCTGGACTTTGAAAAAAATGGAGAAATTTTATGCTACTGGAAATATATGTATACATATGAGACCTCAGGGGAAGATCATATTTTATTCTCTTTATAGGCAGTTCATTTTGGTATTAAAAGTATTAAAAGTCTAGCTATTTATTCCATATATCAGGGAATAACTAATTTGCTGTTTTCTCTTCCTCATTATTTAAAAACTTTATTAATGCTGATTCCTCTTTTTGAGTTCAGGGGATGAAAGAAATGCCCCCCCTTAGCCATTGAAGACAGAGGGGAAATATGCAGCCTCATGACAAGTAGACTATTGTATAAAATACCACATCCCTAACACTAATCTTACCACCTGTACCCTGTCCCATCTTCTGCTTCCTTCTGTTCCCTTGTCACTTCAGTCATTGCTTCAGTCTCCCAATTTCCTAGAATCAAATCCCTGGGGATGCCTTTAAATTATCTCTTTCCTGCCAGGACTCTGCATGTCCTCTGCATGGCAGAAAACATGCCAGGACATGCAGTGTCCTGGCATAGGACATAGCATGTGCTTTGCTAAATCCTTTAAGACTTTCTCATATCAGCCCATTAACTTCTATTTTATTTGATATCACCGAGTCTACCCCCATATTAATCTATTGTAGACCAACTGTATTTTCCATTCTCTAGACTTTTTACCTGTGTCTGCATATTGCTCACAAAATTTTAATGGTTTTCCGTTACCTGATTAAGTTACACACCTTATTCTAACATCAAAACTCTCCACAGTACCAGCCTCTCAACTTTCTTACTACAGACTTTGCAAGCAACCTACTTCATTTTATTTTTGTTAACACTTCATAGATATACCATATAAAGTGCTGCCTTCTAATCCTTGCTCATGCAGTTCTCAGATTTCTATACTGTACTTAACTAAGTTTTGTCCTTCTATCAAAGTCCTACTCAAATTCTGTCTTTTCACTGAAGGCAAAATCTTTGATTTAAAATGGTGTTTCTCACTAATGATTTATTGATGTAAAAATATGCCTGGCTTTTGATCCTTGCATCCCTCCATTCTTTGCACTCAGGGACACTTGTCCCTTATTTTAGATCAGTGTCCATGCTGTTGGTCTCACTTTGATCTTGTTTTTAAAATAAAGAAACTAAGTCCTTGCCTTGTTGACCATTCATTATGTGACTTAATCCCACTGGTTCCCAAAGATCTTATAGGAGGAAGAGTCCCACCCACAATGGTATTCTTCATGGTGAGACTCCATTTCCAAGCACTTAGGCTTCCATGAAGCCAGTGGCTTACCTTCCTCTGTCACTCTCTGATATGTGCACTTGCCCTAGTGTGTGCCCCATCTTTATGTGAGGTCTGACTTTTCCTGATCTGTCCAGACTTGCTGTCAATAACCCTTGGTTAGGAAACCTATGACACTGATGAAATTGCAAAGGTTACTTATCTTGCTAATTATTATTCTCATGCAAATTTTTCTTTTTCAATAATCTGTAATTTCCTTGAATGCATGGATCACATTGAACAACTCTTCTACCTCTACTCCTAAATATTTTATTTATGGAGAATACAAACTTAATAAGTGGTTTGTTGTTTATTATGATAGTGGTGATTTTATTTGTTGTAGCCAATGGCTTGGTACAAGTTGGAGTTTTGGATAATGGTGAGCAAAGATTACAATCATATAGCTATGTCAACCTTTCTGCATGTAAAAGTGCATATAGTCTGATTATAGATGTTTCGGTAAGAATAGCAGTTGAAGCATTTATAATAAAGACTCATCAGCCAGGTGCGGTGGCTCATGCCTGTAATCCTAGCACTTTGGGAGGCCGAGGCGGGTGGATCACCCGTCGTCAGGAATTAGAGACCAGCCTGGACAACATGTTAAAACTCCTTCTCTACTAAATATACAAAAATTAGCCGGGAGTGGTGGTGGACGCCTGTAATTCTAGCTACTCAGGAGGCTGAGGCAGGAGAATCACTGGAACCCTGGAGGCAGAGGCTGCAGTGAGCCGAGATCATGCCACTGCACTCCAGCCTGGGTGACAGAGTGAGACTCCATCTAAAAAAAAAAAACAAAACCAAACAAAAAAACAGAAGGCTAGGCGCGGTGGCTTACACCTGTAATCCCAGCACTTTGGGAGGCCAAGGCAGGTGGATCACCTGAGGTGGGGAGTTTGAGACCAGCCTGACCAACATGGAGAAACCCCGTCTCTACTAAAAATAAAAAATTAGCCGGGTGTGGTGGTACATGCCTGTAATCCCAGGTACTCGGGAGGCTGAGG
Organism: Homo sapiens; assembly: GCF_000001405.40. Taxonomy (NCBI): domain Eukaryota; kingdom Metazoa; phylum Chordata; class Mammalia; order Primates; family Hominidae; genus Homo; species Homo sapiens. Next base: position 59,135,258 of record NC_000002.12, read on the forward strand.
TGGGAGAATCACTTGAACCCGGGAGGCAGAGGTTGCGGTGAGCCAAGATCACGCCGTTGTGCTCCAGCCTGGGCAACAGGAGCGAAACTCTGTCCCCCCCGACCAAAGAAAAGAAAAGAAAAAAAAAAGACTCATCACTTTGATGTGCCTGGACTTCAGGAACATAAATGCCCATCAGTGATATATAGCAAGGAATACATATTTCATAGTCATGAATGCTTTCAGGAAGGTAAACATGGGTTATTAAATAATATGCAAATTTTTAATAATATAAGCTTGATTCACACTAGTGTCTTCTCAGTAATCTCTAAATGTTGCTAATTTCCAGCAGTCTTCCAAAATAAATGAAAGCTGCCACTTAAATATGTCTTTTCTAGTTGCCAGATACAGGGATGGTTTTCTATTCCATTTTTCATTTTCTTTAGTGTATTGTTGAAAAGTGATATTCATACCCATTAGACAAATGTAGTTGGAATTGTTGCAGTTATATATAACATATCAACACCTGCTTGTTTCTTCTCATTAAAAATGTGATATGTACTGAGATCTGGTTGTGTTTGAAAGGGTGAAAATGCATATCAAAAGCAAATCAAAGATTTTGTAAAAGAGCAGTGGTGCAAATCTCTGAGAGTATCACTTCTTGAAGATGATGTATTGAAATCTGTCCTTCTTATGAATTTTTGTGTGCAGCCTCTTTAACTGGTGAAGGCTCCCTCTCCTAACCTGATGAGTTTGTAATAGATGTGTTGGGGAAAAAGGTATAGGGCTTTCATTTATGTGACCTTTCTAGTGGAAGGTGAATAATGAGAGTATTCAACAAACATCTTTTTGACTGCCACATCTTATTTTGTATCATCGTAGGATTCACTTAAAGGAGACACGGGCTGTGCTGGCTTCTCAGATTTGCAAAAGATCAATGTCTCCAAGTACCCAAAACTTACCTGGGGTTTTCAAGATTATGCAGCTAGGGTAAGTTAACCTGCTTCCAGCAGCATTAAGTTGTTTTTATGATGACAAGAGTTTCCAGGTAATTTTATTTTATTTTATTTTATTTTAAATAAGTTGTAATGTGTATATTTAAGGCATATAACATGTTATTATTTACATATATAAATATGTAAATATGTATGCATATCTATTATACACACACACATATATATGGAGTGAAAGAGAAAGAGGGAAGAGAGAGAGAGAAAGATAGAGAAATGGTTACTATAGTGAAACAAATAATTAACACCAGGCATTTCTTTTTTAAGTGTTGGTTATCTCACTTGACAATGAGAAATAGATCAGTAATCACTGACATAGACCATTCATGGCATATTTTCATGTTTGATCCAACTATGTTTGATGAAACAAGAATATTTTTTATTTTTTATTTTAATCAATATGAAGTACTTATATGTTGTTTTCTTCAACTATCCCTTTCCAAATGTGGTGATGGAATCTATGATTTGATTATATTTAATATAGTCTTTCAAAGGGGTATTCATATGATTTGGCTACCTATCCTGTCTTACACTTCTCAATAATATAAACATTATTTTCTCTTGTTGATTAGGTGCAGAAATATGGGACAGCTAAAACTTTGGTTAAGAAACACAAATATCTATAAAAGTTGTAGAAAGCAGTTTGCATTGCGAACAATTAGAGAGAGTGTGCTAACCATTAACAAACAAATTGGTATCAGAGTGACTTTACACAGTAAAGATGGCTTCTTGCTCATGTTAGAATGAAAAGAAGCCCTTTATAGTCATTTAGGAACCAAGTTCCCTCCACATGGTGGCTCCATCACTCTCTAGGTTCTTGGAGACCTCTCCAATCACCCTCTACATCAGAAAGAGACAGGATAAGGATCACTTGGAGAGTTTTAATGCACCAAGACACTGGCCAGAAATCAATCTGTGATGATGCCCACAACTTTACTGCAAGGGAGACTAAGAAATACAGTAACTGGCTGGGCGCGGTGGCTCACACCTGTAATCCTGGCACTTTGGGAGGCCAAGATGGGGGGATCACTTGAGTCCAGGAGTTCAAGACCAGCCTGGCCAACATGGCAAAACCCTGTCTCTACTAAAAATACAAAAATTAGCTGGGTATGGTGATGTGTGCCTGTAGTCTCAGCTACTTGGGAGGCTGAGGCCAGAGAATCGCTTGAACCTGGGAGGCAGAGGCTGCAGTGAGCCGAGGCTGTGCCACTGCACTCCAGCCTGGGCGACTGAGCGAGACTGTCTCATATGTGTGTGTGTATGTGTGTATATATAGTAATTGTGTGAACAGAAGAAAAGGGGAACCATTGGGTAGACAACTGACAGTCAGTGCTGCATTAATTGACATGCCAATTTCAGAACTACAAAGCAAAGCACAGATAATAATTCAAGCCTATCACTGTAGCCTCCTGTGAAAAACTGTGTAGGATGTTTACTTGTTGAAACACTTGGCCAGAGAGATACAGAGATTTTTCTTCCATAAAATTCTGGATGTTGTTAATAAAAGACTCACAGGGTACATGGGCATAACTTCTTTCTTGCTCTGTATTTCTTCTTCGATTGGCAATTGATTGGCAATCACATTTGCTGAGTTCTTGAGCTCCCAGGATTAAGCCAATATTAGTCTTAAGTGTGACAATTATCTATCCCTCAAGCCAAAATTCCCAGAGGGTCATCATATAATTAAAACATTTCCAAAACAGTCATCATGTTATATTCATAGTAATAAGTAAAGCTGTACCAAAGGCTATAAAGCTGTGGGGGAAAAATAGGGGTCATTCTCCTTTAAATAAAATGTGGCACATTTTCTACAAAAAAATGAACTTTTTTTGAAATAATAGGTAAGCTGTCCTTGTTATTCATAAACATCTTATTTATGCATCTTCACTGTTGTGATAAATTAGCTGGGTTTGTTTTATATTTCCCTACAGTTTACTTTAAATAATCCTTCACAGTCGTTCACCACAAGACCACATAAGGTTCTTTTTTTAATACCTAGAATGCTGAAATAGCATTTTGAGCACAGACTGTAATGCATAACAAGTGTAGTGTATTATTTCTTCTTGGGAACGCCATGCAAAAACTTGTTCCTCTCACATTGTCTGTTTTTAGTTTAATTCTTTAAAGCTGTTCTGTATTTTAAAAGGCGACGTTCTTTGACCTTGTAACTGCGTAACACCCTAACTTTCCTTTCCCCATATGCCCCATCATCCACCCCATCGTCCGTATTCTAGCATAAGCATATCCTGAGTCTCACTGCCACAAAATTCTAGCCATTTAAATGAGATTGTTAACATAGAACACTGCCCACCCTCTTTCCCACTATAACCATCTCTCAGTTCCTTCACCAAGCCTACTGAGTCTCTCAAAAGGCATTCACTTATTATATCCACCCACTCTACCGAGTTCCTGAGTGCTGAATTTCAGGGACAGAGTGTAGATTTCAAATTTTAAAAGCTAAAGGCTAATTTCCAATTGAAACATACCACCAACCACCCCAAACCCACCCATCCCATCACCACCATTGCTATTGCCATATATATGCCCAAATACAGACCATTATCGCATATGATACACCTGCTAATGGAAAAGTATCTGGCCTCTTTGAATCTCACTTTAGGTGTGTCTTCTTATGCTGCAGACCTGATTGATACTGAGGAGCATAAAAATGTAAAAGTTCTTATTTATCTTTTAAATTATGTATTGTGAAAGCAAAGATAATTTTATGAAATCATTCATTCAAAAGGCTATGCTGAGTACCAGCTCGGTGGAGGTGACAAGATAATAAGAACTAGGATATGATTTCATAAAGTTCACAGTCAAGTGGGTAGAGGCAGTCACATTACGACGATAAAAGCAGTGTGGTAAAGGCTAGGAGAGCAGGTGCAAAACACTCCACCAGGACACGATACTATTTCACATCTCCCTGCTTGCCCCTGTTGTTCCCTCTGCCCCAAATGACATTCCACCTTACTTTTCTAAAGCACTACTCAAATCCTGTGTTACATCTTGTATTGGAATATCTTTATTCATGCTCCACCTTTGCAGAAAGAAGTACTTCCTCTTTTGTATGAACACTCATCTTTCTGTGTGTTCTACATGATCTGTATTATCACGTTAAATTATAGTCATTTGTTTACATATCTGCTTCCCTGCGTTAATCCTTGAGTCTGGGATCAGTGCCTTGCACAGTGCCTAGAAAATAGCACTTAAATATAGGCTGGCACTTACATGTATCTTTATACTTATACATTTATAATATATAATTAATAATATAAATATATATTTATACTTATATAATAAATTTGTATTTTATATATTAGCATATATATATGTGTGTGTGTATGTGTGTGTGTGTATATATATATATATATATATATGGACTGTACAACGAATTCTGTCAGGAAAAACCAGGGACTATTTATAGAAGAGAAGATATTTGGGAAGGCAAGAGGGAGAAATATACCCAATAAATGAGAACAGTATATGTAGAGGCACAAAGAGATGGGAAATACAGAATTGGGCCAGGAGTCAGGGCAAGGATTCAGGGTTTCAGAGTTTCAGAAGCATATAGTAGCTGATTGGAGGGAGCTGTGAGAGTTTAGAAAATGAGATTGCTGAGGAAGACTGGGTAAATAGTGAAGATCTTCATAAAGCAACACTTAGAAAGGGAACATACTTCTTAGCACTGGTGCCTAACCATTTTTTTAAGTAGACTTTACTTTTTTTTTTACAACAGTTTTAGGTTCACAGAAAAATTGAGCAGAAGGTACTGACAGTTCCCATATGTGCCCTGTCCACAGATGCATGGCCTCCCCCCTTATCAATAACTCCTGCTAGAGTGGTATAGTTGTTGCAATTGATAAGCCTATGTTGGCACATCATTAGCACCCAGAGTCCATAGTTTATATTAGGGTTCACTCTTGTTGTTGTAGTTAGAAAAACATATGTCTGTAATTATAGTATACAGTGTAGTGATGTAAGAATCTTTTGTGCTCCACCTATTCATCCCTGTCTCTGCCCTCTAACTCCTAGCATCCCTGGAAAATTACTTTCTCCATAATTTCCCCTTTTTCAGAATGCCAGATAGTTGAAATTATACAGTTCATAGGCTTTTTGGATTGGCTCTCATTTGGTAATATGTGTTTAAGTTTCCTCCATGTCTTTTCATGGTTTGAGAGTCTGTTTCTTTTTAGTGCTAAAAAACATTTCATTCTCTGAATATACTACAGTTTATTCACCTATGGAAGGATGTCTTTCTTGCTTCTAAGTTTTAGCAGTTAGGAATAAAGCTGCTACAAATCTCCATGTGCAGATTTCCATGTGGACATAAGTTTGCAACTCCTTTGGCTAAATATGAAGGAGTATGGAAACCGAACTGTCTTCCAAAGTGGTTGTGCCATTTTACATTCCCACCAGTGGTGAATAAGTGATCCTGTTGTTCCACATCCTTACCAGTATTTGATGTTGTCAGTGTTCTGAACTTTGACCATTGTAATAGGTATGTAGTAGTGTTTAAACTTTTTAAAAGTCACAGAGCCCTTTAAAATCTGAAAACATCCGTAGACATTTCCACAGAAAATGAACACTCTGTGTTTGTTTGTTTGTTTGAGATGGAGTTTCCCTCTTGTTGCCCAGGCTGGAGTGCAATGGCATGATCTCAGCTCACTGCAGACTCCACCTCCTGGGTTTAAGCTATTCTCCTGCCTCAGCCTCCTGAGTAGCTGGGGTTACAGACGCCCGCCACCACACTCGGCTAATTTTTTTTGTGTGTGTTTTTAGTAGAGACAGGGTTTCACCATGTTGGCAAGGCTGGTCTGGAACTCCTGACCTCAGGTCATCCACCCTCCTTGGCCTTCCAAAGTGCTGAGATTACAGGCGTGAGCCACCGTGTCCAGCCAGAAAATGAACACTCTGTATGCATACTATTTTGTCCCTTTTGATGCCTTAGACTACCTAAAACTCTTCCAAGGATGCCAGAAAAAAAAAGTGCTTTTTTGGCTTTTGCCCTGTTGGTGACTGAGAGTTGTGAAAGCTTGTAAGGCCACATTTGTTTCAAAATAAATCTAGTAAACTAGTTTAAAGTTCAGTTAAAGGAGAAGAGATCGGAAATCAAGGTATGAGTTGAGTCTGGCAGTCACTCAATGAAATCACTTTACTCAAAAATTTTAGAGTCTTAATCATCTTTGGCTGTAGATACATTGCTGTATTATATTTCCATATTGCTAAGATTCTTGGTTTCCATTAGACAGAGCTCCTTGGCTCAGGTGCCATACATCTTTTTTATATATGTTTTTACAGAACCTAGTTGAGTGCCTGTGCTAAGTAGTCACCTTTTGATTAACATTTGTTAAAGAGGTAAGTAAAGTACACCTAAACTAAGAGAAAGAAGATAGATTATACATATGTAAACATTTTTTCTAGAGAAATTATTTTGCCATTTTATGGTCAATAGAATAAGGTAAAGATTTAATCTGTTGCATGAAATTATAAAAAAGCTTACATGAGGTTTACATGCTATATGCTACATGTTTTCATGCTTACATGCTAACCTCTAGGACAGAGTCAACAAACAACATATACCATTACTCTCCATTTCCTCATTCATTGCAAACATAGCTTCTTGAGCACTATGGCAGCCAGCTTCCTTGTTGGCCCACATTATGGTTGGTTTGTGTGATCAACAGAGTATGTCTAAAGTGATGGTAAATAATTTCTGAGACCAGGTTATAAAAGCTATCTATCTGTTATTTCTCTCTCTCTCTCTGTCTATCTATCTATCTATCTATCTATCTATCTATCTATCTAACTATCATCTATCTATGCCTATGTTTACCCCTACTTCTGTATATTTGATAACAAGTCCTGGGAAAGTCAGTTGTCATTTTGTGGAAAAAGACCCACATGATGAAAAAATGAGGCTTCTGGACAACAGCTGGCAAAGGACTAGCTACTAACACCCATGTTGGTGAGCCACCACACATGTAGATGCTCCATCCCCAGTCAAGCCTTCAAATGATTACCACCTTTACAGATATCTTGCAAGCAACCTCATTAGATTCCTTGAGCTAGAACCACTCAGGTAGGCTGCTTCCAAATTCTTAACCTATAGAAACTATGAAATAAGTGTTTGTTGTTCTAACCTATGAAGCTTTGAGGTAATTTGTTATGCAACAATAGATAGTGAATGCAACCACAGTATTCTTTGTTCTTTGCTCTATGCTCTGAGGCCATCACTGAAGTTTTTCCAACATCATGATCCAGGCAGCCACCTCTGATCCACTGATGTTGGTAGGAGATAAAACTCATTTGCCAGCCGATTTTGAATGGAAGTCCAAGGTTGCTTTCCCATGTTTTATACCATCACTTGGTAATAACTAAGTTGTCGTCCCACTGAGACTTTTCCCACTTAAAACTTGCCAATCAATTTCTTAGAAACCTACACATATAAAAGCCTAGCAGAAAGTGGCTGAAGAAGCCACACAACCTGGGTTCACCAAGATCTAAAATTGATAATGACAAAGGAATCCTTGTAGTTCAGTCCATCACAGTAGGAGACCACAGAGAGGGGTGAAACTCAAATCTTACTGTGATGTCTTATGCAGCCTTCTGGTGTCCTGGTTCCTCAGATTTTAAAGAAATAGCTAATCCATAGAAACTGCCATCCAGAGTAAGATTATAAAGCTCATCCAATTCCACATTCTCCCTGCCATACCATGAATGAGTTGTGGGAAGTTATGGCTGGGAGTGAAAGCAGAATATGACACGATTCTCAAAAACTTAAGGATGTTTTCTGTTCAGGCCTCACTGCCATTCACATCCTGCTATGTAGCTATTTTTCATAGCTTTATGTAAACTTTTCGTGAGACCAGTTATTGTTTCTCTCTGCACTGTACCTTATGTTAGGATCTTCTGTAAGCTAAAGAATTCTCCAAGGCAAGGGTAGTTATATAGAAAGATTAAATAGAATTTCATTTCATGTGGGGGTTCCTGAGTTTAGAAAGTATGAAGGGTTCTTTTCTAAGATTTATGTCTTATTCCAACAATTTCTTTCATTAATGAGCTCTTTCTTTTAGATGGCTTTCAAGCAAATTCACTGGTGGTCATGGAATTGAGGAAAGAATGCAAGATAGGTTTTTTATTATGCTCTCTAAACTTTTGGAGAGTAAAGAGAATCAGTATCCATGTATTACATCAACAAGAAGCTTGGCTCAGAACTCTCACCCAAGGCCACCATGTGGGTCAGCGGGTATATGGCTTTATTCCCTAGGAAGGGAACTCTTACCTACTATTTGAACCTTTGAATACCCAACTGACTGCTGCACTATATATATATATGGTTTTCATTAACAAATACTTAATGACTAGTTGATTGAAAGAAACAGTGGAGAAACAGGAAAAGTGGAGGAGGCATTTAGTAGATTTTCCTGTAAGAGCAGAAAATCATAGAGACGGGAAAGGGAGAAAGGGAAATGGTGTTGTTTATGGTACACTCTGAGTGGCTCTACATTACAGGACCTTATAGGGACCTCTGATAAGACCCTGAGAAAAAAGACTGATATAGTTAGTAAAGAGAGAAATGATCTTTATTCACACAAATTAGGCTGGAATAGGTAGAAAGAGCCTTTAAATTATGAATTTTGCAGCAACAAAACTTACTGAGGCAGTTTCTTAAAGCCCCAGAGAAATTATTTTGGTTTTCATCTTCAGGTCGACATTGGCTTTGAATAGCAGCCTTAGAGAGTTTGAAGTTTCTTCTCTGTACTTCCATTCCTCCCTCTAGCCATCCAGTGTTGAAAACCTTTTCATTTCAGAGACCAATTGAGTATGTTTGCCAGAGAGAAAGTTTTTCACTAGACTCACTTCTCCCTTTTCTTTCTGACGCAGAAAGTTGGAGTCAGACCTCTGGCCAATAGAAGGGCACTGACGAATCCCTACACAGCCCGGCACATAAAATATTTATACTCAGAGAAAGCTACACTAAGTAGTCAGCAGAGTATTTTGCAGCATAGAAGCCAAACACCTCTCTAAAAGAGTAGATTGTGTTCGCAAAAGCTCCTGTCGATAGAATGAAATGTAAACTGTGATTTCCATAGTGGAGGATTGCTTGATGTTCTTTTGACTGGTTCATGCCATAGGCTTCTAAAATCAGAGTCTGCTTGATTGAAGAAAGGACAGATTTTGTTTGTTATTTGTTTACTTACTTATTTTTGCTATTATCAAAGACATCAATTTCTGGATGGGAAGGGTAGATTTCAAATAGTAGGTGAGAGTTCCCTTCCTAGGGAATAAAGCCATATACCCGCTGACCCACATGGTGGCCTTGGGTGAGAGTTTTGAGCCAAGCTTCTTGTTTCACTGCCTTGACATTATTTGGAATTGTGGAAAGAGGAGCCGAGCTTTGATGTTGGAGACACTCAAAGGAAAGCAAAGGACAAGGAGAAAAGCACAGTGAGTGTAGCACCACTGACCCTAGACAATGCTTGACTGGTCCTCTTGGCCCAGCCTCATATCCATGGCCTCTCCATCAGTAGCAAGAGGGCAGGAAGGGCTTTCCTTTTAGTTGAAAGCAGAGGGTGAGCTGAACAGGCGGTTCAGAGGGTCATTAGAAAGCATCAAAGGAGGCAGCCTCATGATGGTAATAAGACAGCTGTGAGGAAATAAAGTGGGCATTGATCTGCACTATCGAGTGTGACATTTTAACCGAAGCTAAAAGCCAAGAGCAAATCTAGCCCTCTTATTCATCTGCCTGCCTGTTTTAGTAAATTGTCTCCCCCCTCCCACAAAACCACTGGCCTCAGAGGTCACTTCATATTAGCTGGCTTGTTAATACTGAGGCAATCAATACTTAATCAACAAGTAATGGGATTTTGCAGTCATCCTGTATGATCTTTCAATAAAGCCCCGAATCCATCTCGGCCCATTCCAAGCCTGACGAAAGGTGTGCGGTTGCAGCAGACCCTGGATTTGATGGTCTGATGCTCTTCAGCTGATCTGCATCTTATTAAGACACCAGGCAGCCACTGTCCTTCACCCCTTTGTTTCCTGATCCCCACAGAGCACAGCGTGGCATAGAATCCAAACATCTAAGATTTTACATGCATCAGTAAGAAAATTCAGATTTCTTTGCTTCATAGGTTTCAGGCCTCATTGGTAGCATTGTACAATTTTTACAAAATGCATAAATAAAGGACTGAAGAAGGAGGAGATGCAGCAAGCCAGGAAATTTAAAAAGGGAAGATGGCTATTTTAATATATGATATTAGGCCAGGGAGCTGAAATCCCCGCATGTCCCAATTATTGAACACTGGGCTGCCCAAGCTGTTTGCTAAATGGACTCAATGAATGATGAAGGGGGAAGGATGCAGACCTCAGCACTGACTCTGACCATCCGGCTTCTGAGAGAGACCTCTGGGTACTGTCATAAAGAGTGGAATTGATTTTGTGATTCAGAACAAAATTTTCAGTATTCCTGTGGTACCTTGAATATGGGTGTTTTGTCCACCTATACTATTGCAATAGCCTTTAGTAGATGTTTAAAGGGGTTCCACAGTAAGAGAGGGGAGGCTTTCCAGGGGAAGACCTTGCTATCATCCTTACATGATCCCCCAAAGCAGATTTTCTTTAGTGAATTAACCTTTTGCCCTTGTCTGACTTTTCAGGCACCAAAAGTGGATCTTGACAGTGTCTGACTCAATGGTGCAAGTGATGAATAAAAATAGAATGCTAATGTATTAATATAACTTTAAAGCAGATAAGCTATCAGGTGCTTGGGCAGACCAAAGTCCCACCAGCACAGCCTTTCCTATCAGAAAAGAAGCTGCATTATTAGATATTGACTGGCAATCACGGAACTTGATAAAGGGGAATTAAAAGATAATATGAACATTTAATGGCCACAGGATCTAGCACCGTGGTGCATGCAACTCCACAATAGGCTGTGCTTGCTGTTCTGCATTTACAATTATACTGTGTTTATTATTACCCCTATATATTATATATATATTTAATATATATATAATATATTATATATATCATATTATATAATATATTATATAATATGATATATATAATATATTATATAATATGATATATATAATATATATATTATATAATATATCATATATATATTATATATAATATAATATAATATAATATATATATCTAATATAATATATTATATATATAATGTAATATATATGTATAATATATTATATATATAATATAATATATATGTATAATATATATAATATATAATATAATATATTATATATTATATAATATATATTATATATTATATAATATATAATATATATTATTATATACCCCCTGATATATGCATTATTTCATAGCAACCTAAAAAAAAGCAAATATTATCAGCATCTTCATTGTACATGTAGATAGACTGAGATTTTGGAAGTGGTTGAATTGCTTGCCGAAAATCATGTAGCTAACATTATAGGAGAGCAGAGATCTGAATCCATACACACTGACCTCAGAGCTGTGTTATAACCACTGAGCCGTATTCTGGCTCTGCCATTTACTAGCTGTACAACATTGAACATGGCCCTTAAAATTTTTCAGCCTCAGTTCCCTAATCAATAGAGTGGGAATACTCATGCCTATGATTGCCATTGACTTGAGGGTTTAATGAGTTATACAATTTAGGCCCTTAGTATAGAGTTTGGCTTATAGTCAAACTCACTAAACATCAGTTACTATTATGGTGTCACTGTAGCATCATCATATTCACATCAGCTTGTTATATCATCTTTTCTCTTCCATTCTGCTTGGATGAGATCCGCCAACATTTCCCTCAGGAACACTTCTTTGTCTAGGGTGAAGGATGATCTACTATTCCCCTAAATTGTGCAGCCTTCCTTTAGCTATGTTTGTAACCTCAGTCATATAATACCTTCTGGGAGTCATAGTAGCTATTCTATATCTCTTTTTTGTTAATAGATATATGAGGGGATTTGTTATGGGAATTGGGCCACATAATTATGGATGCTGAGAAGTCCACAAAATGCCATTGGCACCCTGGAGACCCAAGAAATCTGGTGGTGTAATTCAGTCTGCGTCTAAAGACCTGAGAATTTGGAGGGTCACCGGTGTGAGACTCCAAGTCCAAAGGGCTGAGAACCTGGAGTTATGATGTCTAAGGGTAGGAGAAGTTGGATGCCACAGTTCCAGAAGAGAAAGAAAACAAATTTGCCCTTCCTTCATCTTTTATTCTATTCAGGCCTTCAAGGGATTGGATGATGCCCACTCATGTTGATGAGGATGATCTTCTTTCCTCAGTCTACTGATTCAAATGCTAATCTCTTCCCCAAACACCCTTAGAGGCACATTCAGAAATAATGTTTACCAGCTCTCTGGGCATCCCTTAGCCCACTCAAATTGGCGTCACAACCAGCTTTTGGCTTTGTTGATTTTCTCTATTAATTTCCTGTCTTCAATTTCATTGATTTCTGCTCTGATTTTCATTATTTATTTTATTCTGTGTACTGTGGGTTTCTTTGGCTTAATCTGGATTCATGTTTCTTATTCCTGGTCTAATACTTCCAACACTCCTGCCGTATTTCACTCTAGTTATGATGCTTGTTTGATCTCCTCAAACTGTTTGAACTGCCTTTTAGTATGCCTTGTAATTGTTTCGCTGAAAAGCGGACCTGACCTACTAGATAAGAGGAACTGTGGCAAATAGGCATCTAGTAATGTAATGGTAAGGTGCAGGGGAGGGGAAGTGTGCTTTAGTTGGGTCTCAGCCTTTTGGTAAGCCTGTGCACCTGGACTGTGAACTGTACCAGTTCTTCTTAGTATTTTTTCCAGGTAAAGTGGGACAGGAGAACTAGCAGGAGGTTGATTTGGGAATTTCCTTTCCCCCAGGTCATTCAGGCTCTGATGGAAACTCCAGCACACTGGCTCTGGTAACAGTTTCTCCTGAGGGCAAGCCTTATTAAGAAGAATAGGATGCTTTGGAGTATTTCACAACGGTTCCTTTTCTCCTCCCACTGCCAGAAACACTAGAAAATGTTTCTCAAATAACCACTGTAAGGACCTGGTAGAGCTCCTAGAGTCAAACTCATAAAAGTGTAGAGGCTCCCCTATGACTGGAATCCCTTGAGGTATTTTTTTAGTATCTATTTTTTTTTTCAGATGACTTAAAAAAATTGTGTAAGAACACTTCAGATCAACCATCTTCATAAATTTGTTACAATAGGTCAAGCGTGAGCAGGACAGGAGAGGGCTCCCCCTACCCCACCAGGAATGTCAGGCGACCATCAGGTGATGGTCAGGCAGTTGTCACACTGCCTCTCTAAAATAATAATTAGTCACAATCAGTGCCAGGGAAAGGCAGTTTCCTAGTAGATAAAAACACCTATAACTGGTGATTGGCAGCTTCCCAATAGGATGTCAGGAGTTAGGCGAGTGGGTTCAAGCATGTGCATTAAGAGGCAAAATGGTAGAGTTTAACTGGTATATGACCTTCCTGGGGCATTCGACCAGAAAAGGGAAGAATCCTTCAAGTGAGCATGTGACAACTCCAGTGGTCGTGCATGCGGGCAGCCCACCCTAAGGGGAAGAATCAAGGGAAATGTAAAGAATCAAGTGAAATAGGAGGCAGGACGCTGGAAGTATGCCAGCATATAAAACCCGAAGTCAAAAGGTCAAACCATGCACTTGTCCTCCAAGATGTCCGCTTGGTCATCTTCCAAATGTACTTTCCTTCCTCTTGTACCTGCTCTAAAGCTTTTGAATAAACTTCCATTCCTGCTCTAACACTTGCCTGGGTCTCTTCTTCTACCTTATGCCCCTCAGCTGAATTCTTTCTTCTGAGGAGGCAAGAATTCAGGTTGCTGCAGACCCGACCGGATTTACCGCTGGTAGCTCAGATAACTTCTGCTGCTGGTAACAAATTTGTAAGTGCATGATGTGTTGTTTTTAACTCTAGGCACGATATTGTACTATAGAGACCTAGAACTTACTCATCTTGCATAATTGAAACTTTAAACCTGTTGAACAGCAACTTCCTATTTCCTCCTCCCTGCCAACCCCTGGCAATCAATATTTTACTCTTTGTTTCTATGAGTTTGATCTTTTAGATAATTCACATAAGTAGAATCATGCAGTATTTGTTGCCTTGGAGCTTTTAAACTCTCAGAGTTGTCTACCATGAGCCTCCAGTGATCTGTCCATTACTGTTCATGTTTTGCTGCTCTGGCACTGTTTCCTGTGGTGGTTTCTGCTTATGGGTTTCTGCTCTGTGAAGTGGTGATTCTCTGCATCTATTTCAGGTTCTGCAAATTTGGGTGCAGCACTTTTCCCTGGGACCTCATTTCTCTGATGGATTTAAGAACAGTTCATGATTTATCAATTTGTTCAGCTTTTTAAATTGTTGTTAGGATGGATGGTAACTTTTAAGGTCCTTACATGACAGACTGGAAGTCCAATAACAATCACTTTTAGTTGTATGGTTTTACTGAGTATGAGCCTATCAACCAGCTTGTTCATTCCCTTATTTTACAGATGAGGAAATTTAACTCGCACAAAATCATACATACATTAGAAGTAGAGTCCAAACTATAACCCATATCTCCTGGATGTAGGGCAATGATTTTCTAGGCTAACTGGGCCTGGTAGCCATGGAAGGAGAAATACATATATTCATAATTTATCACTCAAGTTTGAGCATTCGTATTCCAGTTAAACTTCCCTCTGCACTGAATTGGAAATATGAAGAAAGTGAACACAGAAGATGAGGTTGGACAACTCGTGTTACCTGCGAGAGTCACCTATTGAGATAAAAACGTAACACGTAAGACTTAAAAAATTGATTTTCCTTTTTTTCCCCATTTTTGCAAAGGCAAGAAGACAACTTGGAAATTATTTCCCTTTCACTCATTTAGTTAATAAGCCTTTCTTTTTCTTGCATGTTGACTCTTTTTTTGTGCTGCCATGCTCACAGAGCGTCAGTACAGAAGAAAATCTGTCTTTATTTAGTGTTCCAAGTGTTCTAGCATGTACATAGCCATTCAGATTGATGCAAGTAATTCCAGCAAACTTCAAGAAGTTAAATGTCAGGAAGTAGGTAAGGCATATGCCTACACAGAAAGACTACTCAAAAGGGAGCCATGGCAATAAACTACACACCCTAGAGCTTAGCTCAGAGACCTGCTGACTATTCAGGGTCTTTCTTCTTAGCACCAATATCAACAACATTCTTTTTCTCTTCCACATGACTCCCCAGTGCTGTGATGCCCCTCCTCACTCTCTGATTACTCTCCAGGCTGCCTGTCCTCTAATTTGCCTTTTAGTAAACTGGCTCTTCTTATAGATTTCAACATGCCTCTCACTTCTTGATGCTGACCTCAAAGAAATTCCAATACTTGACATGTGTGCCCCAAGGGGCTGATGATCTCAGAGTCATCTGTCTTCTGGAACCTCCCAGTACTTTCTAAGCAGTGAACCAGATGCCAGTGACTACTGTAGTTCTCCCATAAAAAAATAAGGCTTATCTCCCATTCTGCCTGGCAAAACAAACAAACAAAAAAACCCAGTTATCCAAGTAAATAATCCCCACCTCTTCCTTTCTCTGAGCAGAGCTCATGAATACTAATAAGCAGGCTCATCCAGTCACCAATTTCAAAAGGTTACTGAAGAGAAATAGAAGGAAGTCCAAAGATACTTGGGCTTCAGGGAAAGGATATCTCAAAAAATGACCTGTGAACACATTTAGCTTGATTTTTCAGGGCTCTAGTCTACAGGGCAGCACTGAATTTTCTGGGTTTTCAACAACTTGCAAGAGAAATGGTTCTTCAGTTTTCCAGAGATACCAATTCGAATGTCAAGAAAAATGCAAAGGACTTAAAGTGATTTGCAGGAAAGGAAGCAGTATCTATGTGCTGAATATTTTCCATTCCACCCCCAGTCCTGCCCAGACCTACTCTCTACTCCTCTCTATCCTGCTCTGGGCAGAGGAAGCCGATTGATATGTGAACTACTTCAATGGAATCCTTCCCTTTCTGGCTTGTAGTTGGCTTTGGCTAGTGGGAGGATCTGCAGCAGATCTGACAGCAATTCAAGAGTGGGGTGGATATTTTATTCCTTCAGCTCCCTCCCTGTGGGTCACTTAGGGTTGACTGGGCTTTTCTGCTGAAGACCACAGCTCCTGTTGGACAGCTCTCTCTCTGAGCTGTGGCCAGCCTCTCTTGGTTCTATAACCACCCGCTTTCTTTGCCCATTCAGGTTTAGGAGTGGTGATAGCTCCCAACTATTGCTAGCCCCAAAGTACTACACAAAGCCTTGGGTTTCCCACATTCCTGCCCTTTGGATTGTCCCTCATTTCAAGCTTTTAAACATTCTTCTATTTGAGCATGCTGTCAGTGACCCTAACTGATACCATGAATAATAATAAAACATTGAGTAAGAGAAAGTGCCTAAAGACTCTTAATATCTAAATAAAATTTAAATTTTAGAGGGCTTCTTGAAAGAAAGAAAATGTGATACTCTATTGTAGATTACCTTCTAACTTGACAGAACCCTCTGAAGTGAGCTATGAATTGAATATATGTTTATATTTTGGAAGACGATGGTGGTAAACTTAGAAATTAGGATGAGTATCACATGTGAAAATAAATGATGCTGTGAATGGCATACTTCTCTAGTGATTATGATAAAGCCCCAACTCTTAATTTGGATAAATTGCTAACAACCCAACTTAGCGCACCCATTTGCGGTAATCATTATTTTGCTGACTTGGCTCTATGTCTGGCTTGCATTTCAATAGTGAATGCAAAGCCTATAAGCATTTAAGGGCTTTCTTGCTAAACATCTTCCTATTCACAGGGAGCCCACACCCAGAATCAGAATGTCCCTATGCCTGGGCTATATTTCTAGTAGAACATTAAGGACTTTTGAAGTATGCTTTAACTATTAAATGCTGTCAAATATCTTTTGAATCTGTCACTGAAGCTGGTTATAAAATTCAAAAGCATTTATTTCAAAACTGAAACTATTAACCAACTGCCTATTGACACATTGAACCATATTCAGATAGAATCCATAACCCCAGCATAAACTCACTCCTTGCTTTGTCACCAGGTGCACGAGGCAAGGATGAGAAAGGGTATGTGCATCAAATGAGTCTAGTCGTACCACTATCTGAATGTCTGTCTGAGGATCAGCCAAATTAGCAAGCTGAAATATTAGGACTGATTTTCCTCATTGGCCATTCTTGTGAGTTAGGAGATTCCCTCAATCAATTTAGAAAAGAGCCTTGGTTTGGGAGTTTTATTCCTAGCTGTTACTAGCCAGCTTGAATGTTTTTAAAAGGTTGCTTAATCTCTGTCAACTTTTGTTTTCTTATATATAAATGGAACATGTGCTAAAGTTATTTTCCACACTGAAGTGGCCTGGCCAGGTCCCTCCAAATGTTTGTGGGCTCCGTTTCTCCATAGTGGTGTTACTCCAGTATCTCTTGAATGGTGTCTGGAGTGTATCAGGGCATACATTTGCATGTCTGGATGTCTCAAGGTATTTAGGAGAAAGAGCATGCATTTTGAGCATAGATACTCAGTCCCCAAAACACAGTGGTGCCCACCTCTGCTCTTCAGAAACCAAGCTCATCTGCTGGCTTAATATCAGCTTGACCCTCCAAGTTTGTGTCTACATTCCAGGCCAATTTTGATTTCATTTTCAGCTGAATTGTCTATTTTTTTGACATGATAGATTATAAAGCAAACTTGAAGGGACTCTAAAATTGTTCTGGGCAGTGTTTTAGCAGGGGCCTTGAACTTCAGTGGAAGAAGGCCAGTCATATATTCTGCATGTATTTCACCAAAGATGACAGTAGCTAATGCCTCTGAGCCCGCCTTCTAAAGACACCTTTAACTGAGAAGAGCTCAGATGAAGGAAAGGGCAAGTTATGGGAAATGAATATCTGGCAAATCCAACGTGTTATAATTGTGTCCAAAACCAACCATGTTCTGACTAAATATTTCATGCTTTCCTCAATAGGATATCACCTAACCTCCAGCTGTTCTCTTCGACAGAGATAAATTCACCTTTATGGGGTGATGCATTAACATGGGTTTAATACACTTTATGAAAAGTTTGTTTTCAATTGCTTGTATATTCTCCTCCTCCTTTTTTTCTCTCTCCTTTCCTCTCCTGTCTCCCTTTCTCTCCCTTCTCTTCACCATCCTATTCCATCCTACTCTTAATTGGAGATATAGATTTTACCCAAAAGTACCAGTCTGAATACATTTTATCCCCTTCCAGCCCCAGGATTCACACTCTCTACAGGTTGAAGGTGGCTGCAAATTGGTTCCCTAACTATGAGACCTTCTAGAACCAGATCATAAGCCTGGCTAGACGAAAGACACTGTATTGCATGTCTGCACTGTTGGTATTCTTTTCTTTTGTAGAGTTCTTAGCTAATCTCTTTAGGTGAATAGACTTCATGGCTGCTGAATCTTTTTTGGTGGCTTGCTCCTTATTCACTCTTCTTAAACCTATTATGATTTTATTTTCCTTAAACTTTAGGTTGTCGGATACTAATATTGCTACCGCCTTCTTTTTGGCTAGTATTTACATTGCGTATCTTTTCCCTCTTTAAAATGATAACATGGATTTGTTTAGGAGCTCTCTTTCAAGTAATATGTACCTTTACCTATTTAATACAATCTGAAAATCTCTGTATTTTAATGTAAGAGTTTATGTACTTACTGTGCATTTTCGCTTCATGTATTTGTGCTTAAATGCAATTTATTTATTGCATTTACTTTGCTCACTGACATATTTTGGATTATTCTTACCATTATACTTTGTGCTAGCTGTTTACCATCCTTTTTTTTCTTTACTTCTGTTTGATTGAAGAAATTCTTCGTATTTATCTCCAGTCTTCACTATATACTTTTCTCCTACGATGATTTGATATCTATGTATTGCATTTCAGTTTATTTAATGAGTGTCATTAATTTTGTAACCTACTTACATGACTATAATTTTTAAATATACTAACTCATTTTTTTCTATTTTTGTCCTAAGTACTAGAATAATTCTAGCACAATCTAGCGAGTCAATAAACATCTTACTCTTCTTGATTTTGTAGTCTAGAATCATAATTTTACTTATATTAACCTAAAAATGGGGATTTTAAAAAATGATTGACATAAACTTAAATTATTGATAACTTCAGTCAATTTCTGTGCTCTTCACAATTTAGTTTTTCTCCTAAAATTTTCTTACCGTATAATATTATATATATATATATATATATATATAGAGAGAGAGAGAGAGAGAGAGAGAGAGAGAGAGAGACAGCAGAAGCATGTGTTAGTCATTCTTTTAATAAGGGCCTGTGTGGGAAAAAGCACTTTTAATCTTTGTATGGATAATACTGTGATTACTTTGTCCCTATTTTTGAAAGAAAGTATAGCTAGGCATAAAAGTCTAGGGTTGAAAGTTAATTTACCTCAATTCACTGAAGTTAAGAATCCACTATCTTCTGGCCTCTAGTGTTACTGATGGGACCTATTTACAAAAACAAACAACAACAGCAAAAACCTGTAATTTCCTGTCAGTAATATGTCTTATTTTTATGGGAGCTTTTAAGATTAGTTAATTATTTATTTACATTAAGAGATACATGTTGAAGTATGAAATTATAGCTCCATGTTTTATGAACATGCTTTTATAAAAAGATAAGGTGAGTACCCAATGTTTCAAAATGTTGTGTCAAAAATGAACAAACTAAAAGAAAATAATTTAATGAGAGAAAAATCTACTGTTATGTATATTTTATTGTACTATGTGGTAACATCTTTCCCAATTAATAAGTAATCACTTACATTACATTTTTAATGGTTTTATAGAAGAAACACATAGGCTTTAGCTAGAAGTAGTCGCTGAAATGTCAGGAAAATCACAAGCATCATTAAGTTTCATTGTCCTGATACTCTTAAATTTCTTAAGGATAAAAGAAAAGAGTAATGTTATATCCATTTAATATTTTGAGGAAATGAATGGGTAGAATAAGAGTAAATAATGAATGAGTGTATAAATAAATGAATGAGTAAGCCTAAACAAATGAATAACTGGTCATGTGAGCAAGAAAACAAGTCACTCTTTTTTTTTGAGAAGAAGTCTTGCACTGTTGCCCAGGCTGGAGTAGAGTGGCGCAATCTCCGCTCACTGTAACCTCTGCCTTTTGGGTTCAAACGATTCTCCTGCCTCAGCCTCCTGAGTAGCTGGTATTACAGGCGCCTGCCACCACGCCTGGCTAATTTTTTGTATTTTTAGTAGAGACGGGGTTTCAATATGTTGACCAGGCTGGTCTTGAACTCCTGACGTCGTGATCCGCCCAGCCTCGATTTCTCAAATCGTTGGGATTACAGGCGTGAGCCACCACGCCCATCCAACAAGTCACTCTTGACCGTTCTCTTGCCCATCTCCTAAATCCTGTGATTGGAGAGAGTGATTCTCCTAAGACCCACTAAGCCTCCTAACGATGATCAATTATGTCACATTATAGTGCCAAAATATGAAACCTCAGTATTTAGAGCATCTTGTTGTATGAAGAGTGGCTGTATTGCTGCCTTTCGTATTTTTTCTCAGGTCCTGAAATCATTTAGAGGATCTGGAAAACTCAGTTTTTGAGAATGAGCTGTTTTCTATTTTGTCTAGATAGGACTGTGAGTCCTCTTGCCCTTTTGTTTACACATTGACCAGAAATGTGCACATTTGTGTTTGCACACATAACATACACATGTCATCATATTATTCAGACTGACCCCAGCACAAATATTTCTGTATGGAGTTTAAGTATAACCTAGAGACAGGGGACCTATTTTTTTTCTGGCAATTGGGAATTGCTAAAAGGGTTAGTATTCCTGTGTCAGGGCCCAGCACGCAATGCTCTAAAGATGCAACATTAAGTGACATTAAAATCTTGCTTTGGTCTACTAGATCTGCAATGAAAGAAACACTGTTTCTTGTCCAGACATTGGATGTCTGTAATCCTCCATGCCGTTTGTAACTAAGAAAACCAGGAAATAGATTGTGGACATTTGAGTTTTATCTCTACTGCTGGAAAATAAGTTATTGTTCATCGTCAGTTAATGGTTGGTAGGTAAGGACTAACACATATTTTGAAAATTGTCATTATTTAAAATGAAATAGTCAAATTTAATTTCAATCCATTAGAAATGTTTAATAAGTAGTTATAAATCTTAGAAGAGTAAAGGACTCTCAAGAGAGCATCTCATTCAGTGTCCCATAGTCCTGCAGGTAAAATATTATTCTTTATTTCTCCTGTGATAACACTACATTTCGGGCACTGTGCTAGGCTCTAGTGAATAAAATACAAATTCTATCTGTTAGTCACATTAGGATTAGGCTTCTATAGATGACAAATCTGATATGCCTCATAAAATGTAAAAGGTGTAGCCCACAGACATAGGGCCAATAAATAATGGCAAAACAGGTAGAATAGATGCTTCCTGCAGATAAATGGCCTGAAGTCTGGTGTATACAAAGAAAATATGACATATATTAACTGACATTAGTATAAGAATGTTTTTAAACTGAGTTCCCAGATATTAAAACAAAAGTAATCCAGATGCCCATCTTCAGTATCATTCCTTTTAATAGTAATAGTTAATATTTAAAATGTCCTCATTATGTCTCAGAGATGTTCTTACCTCTTTATATTTATTAAATAATTTATTTATCCTAGCAACCCAATGGAATGAGTTGTTAAACCCATCTTACAGAGGAAGAAAACAAAACTGAAGGCACTAATTTTATATGTAACTTGCCCCAAAGTAACAAAGCTTATAATTGGCTGAAGAGGCTCTGATATCCTGGTTCTTGACCACTCTGTTATCCAGCCTCTCAGGAGAGAGTTCATTTATGTTACATGGGCAATAAGTTTTTTCAAATCATGAATAAATAATAAACCTAATTTTTTGCTACATCCTATTCTTTAAAATTCTTTGAAAAATCTATGTTTTCAACTATATTAATTAGAAGACCTCATTTCTTAACTATAACGAATGCACTGAGTCTCATTTCTTTTTGAAAATGGGTACTTTTCTTTACATTTAAATTTCTCAGATCATGCTTACACATTTAGTCATTCATACATTTCTTGTCAAGTTTATAAATTTCTGAGTACCCTATGATAAGGGACCTCAGAGGTTTAGAACCTATTCACTGGGAACCAATATGCTCCGCTGCTTTTTGATGCAGTCTAGATGCTTGCAGATAGTTCTCCAGTTCTTAAAGTTAGATTATCAGGAGACTAAATGCTTTTGAAAAACAGAGATGTGCCATTTGTTCTCCATCTCTTAACATCTGTATTTTAGTAATTGTTTTCTTGTAAGTGCTCTATTATTTTTCTGAAAAAAAACCTAAATAATTTTCACTTCATTTTTCTGTACTTTGCAATGATCTCACCAAGAAGTAGATGGGCTTTTTAGTCTATACTAACACAGAATTATTTCAGCTGGGTAAATTTATTTCATTTTTATCTCCAATATTCATATACCTTGTGAAAACCTGCCTACCCCCTGCAACTCCTGCAACAACAAAAATGAAGGAAGGAAGGAAGGGAGGGAGGGAGGGAAGGAGGAAGGCAGGAAGGAGAAGGAAAGAAAGGAGAGAGAGAAAAAAAGAAAGAAAAAGAAAGGAAAGAAAGAAAGAACGAAAGAACAGAAAAGAAAGAATGAAAGAGAAGAAAGGAAGTAAGGAGAAAAAGAAAGAGAAAGAAGAAAGAAGAAAAAGAATGAAAGAGAGGAAGGAAGGAAGAAGAAAGAAGAAAGAAAAGAGAAATAAAGAGCAAGAGAGAAAGAAAGGAAGGAGAAAGAACAGAAAAAAAAGCAAGCAAACAAGAAAGAGAAACAAAAGAAAGGAAGGAAGGAGAAAGAAAGAGCAAGAGAGAAAGAAAGGAAGGAGAAAGAAAGGAAAAAAAAGCAAGCAAACAAGAAAGAGAAACAAAAGAAAGGAAGGAAGGAGAAAGAAAGAGCAAGAGAGAAAGAAAGGAAGGAGAAAGAAAGGAAAAAAAAGCAAGCAAACAAGAAAGAAACAAAAGAAAGAGGAAGGAAGGAGAAAGAAAGAAAGAGCAAGAGAGAAAGGGAAGGAAGGAAGGAGAAAGAAAGAGAAAGAAAGAAAAAGCAAGCAAGCAAGCAAGCTAACTCTAATTCTTTTGGGCATATACAAGTATCACACCAAGAAGATTGTGCTTTTAGTCCTGGAAAATTAAAATTAATAATAACATACTATGTATATGATTGCATATTAAAAACAGAACCATATTGTCAACTTCTCAAAGAAGAACATAGACTCTTTCAGAGTGGCAACCAAGTCCCGTGTGTGTTTATGACCTATGTAACACATTGCTCAATACATAGTAGGTAATTGGTACTCTTTGGCTGATTTGTTTCGTATATTACTATAAACTACCTGTCATTTAGTGAAAAGGCTAATATTTGTTCTTAGCCTATCCACGTCATTTCAATGTTAGCAACATCATGTATCACGGTCTTCAATCTCTGATTGTACTTAAGGCTGATCATAAATAGAAAGGCTTTGGGCTCTGGGACTATGATTATCAGCTAGCGTATTCTATCTAAACAGTGAAACCATTGTGTGCATAGGAAGAAAGAGCATTTGCTAGGCTATCTCACTGCAAAATGCAAGACAAAAGTCTTAAGATTTTTATTTAAATAATTGGTTTTATATAACAAATTTAGGGAACACATGGATCACAAAACAAACCTTTTTATCTCAACATGAAGTAGTCAGTGATAAATTTCTTTGGAACACTGAGAATAAAATGAATGTAAGAGTGTTCTGTAGAAGAAGTTCAAATGTAGGGAAGGCCCTTGTGGTAGATACTGCTAGTTATTCCCCAATAAGTATGCTTCCCTTTTCTTTCAGTCAAAACTTTAGATTTCTTTCCATTTCTGGTATGGCTGAACAAGCTCCTACTGCCTGACACTCTTGGAGATAACACTTATAAACTGTGGGGAAAAAAAATACAGAGAGACAATGACTCAAAGGTACTAGAGACTGAACAAAGCAGGGAGATTTGGGAGGGAAGTGACATGATAAAAAAAAGAAAGACTGATTGATTTTTCCATTTGCTATGACTTTTAAACTGAGGGCAAGCCACAGTTGGCATTGAGCAAGGCACTTAAAACTGATGGAAAACCAGGCTCTCTGACGTTAAGGACTAAGGGAAAGAGTTTGAGGCAGATGTAGTAACCGGAAAGTAGTGCTTCATCACAGAAAAGAGAGAGACAGAAAAAAAAAAAGGAACTCCAACTTCTGTGCATACACTCTGCTTAAACCTCTGGCTTTACTCTGAACCATGCATGGACAGAATAAATTCCAGCTAAAAATAAAAGCAGTGAACTGGGATTTGACCTGCAGCTCAAGAGAGAGAGAATTTTAGTTTGAGTCTGACCAACTTAATTGCCTCCTAAAATGAAAATATGTATATATCTGAAGAAATGTAACTGAGTACAATATCTTCATAAAAATATTAAAAAATTTACAATGTTTAGAATACATTTTAGAATTACTTGACATATAAACAACCACGGAAATGTTACTAGTTGTCTCTTCTCTTAAGAAGTTACTCATTCTTTCTTTCTTTTTTTTTTTTTTTTTGAGATGGAGTTTCGCTGTTTTGCCCAGGCTATAGTGAAGTGGCACGATCTCGGCTCACTGCAACCTCCACACCCCCGGGTTCAAGCGATTCTGGTGCCTCAGCCTCCTTAGTAGCTGGGATTACAGTCACCCACCACTACGCCCGGCTAATTTTTGAATCTTTAGTAGAGACGGGGTTTTGCCGTGTTGGCCAGGCTGGTCTCAAACTCCTGACCTCATGTGATCCACTGCCTCATCCTCCCAAAGTGTTAGGATTACAGGTGTGAGCCACTATGCCCAGCCAAAAGTTACTCATTCTTGAGAGAAAACACACTCAATGGAAATGGTTCTTTGATGGCTGGGATATCAGAATTAATGGATAATTGTAACTATGAACAATGATGTAGAGGACAATAGGCTTGTAATTAATTAATAAAAAAAGGATTGCTCAGCAGATATATAAAAACTTATAAAAGTATCAAATGGAAATTCTAGAACTAAAGGAACTATAATATATAAAATTAAAATTTAACTGGATGGGCTTAACAGAAGAATGGAGACAACAGAGGGGAGTCGGTGAGCTTGTCTATAGGTCAACAGAAGCTGAAGAATGGAGAGGATAAAAGATGAAAAGAATAAGCATAGCCTCAGAGAAATGTAATGTAATAACAAAACATCAAACATACATGTAATTGGAGTCCCAAGAAAGAAGAGATGGGCTAAAAAAAACTATTTGAAAAAATAATGGCTGCAAATCTTTGGTTTGTCAAAAGACATAAATTTACAGAATCAAGAAGCTTACAAAACCACAAGCAGGGTAAGAGATGAAGGAAAACATGGACAGATGCATCACAGTCCAACTACTGAAAACCAAAGATAAAGAGGAGGTTACAGATTTTTTGCTGGCTGTATGATTGCCTGAAATGAAAACTACATTTGCCAGTCTCTTTCATAACTAGGTGGGTCCACGTGACTAAGTGTTGATGAATTGCGTGTAAGGAAAAGTGAGGTATGCAATTCCTACAGTGTGTCTTTATAGAAAGATGTGCACTTTCTTCCCCTTTTGGTTTTTGTGCTACCTGGAGAGGAATATAGTGGCAAGTCATCTTCAATTGTGAAAAAGAGTAACAACCTAGAAATAGCAAAGTAACCACTGAGAAGGAACCTGGAATTTCTAATGAACAGAGCACCATTCTGGTTTGCGATGACCTCTGTCTTAGTTTGTTCTGTGTTGTTATAACAGAATACCAGAGAATGAGTAATTTATAAGGAACAGAAATGTATTTTTGACAATTCTGAGATTGTAAAGTTCAAGGTGCCAGCCAGTTAGAGACCCATCTCTCTGCTTACAAAATGGCCGCTTAAATGCTGCATCTTCTGGAGTGGAGGAACACTGTGTCTTCATTTGGCAAAAGAGCAGAAAAGCAAGCTGGTACCAGCTCCCTCCATCAAACCCCTTTATGAGGGTACTTAATCCCATTCACCAGGGAAAAGCCCTCATGGACTAATAAGCTCTTAAGGGTCCCACTTCCTAGTATTTTTATATTGGCAACACCTAGATTTTGGAGGTCACACAGTCAAACTGTAGCAATCTCAGAGCAGCAACAGCACATCAGCCTCAGAATGATGTATGGCACACAAATGAACTTCTATCTTTTACCTTTGAGGAAAAACAACAGTTTTATCTACTGCTTTTGGTTTTTCTGATGATGAAACCAAACCTATATCTATGTTAACACACGTGAAAACACCTTGTATCGGGCTCAGGTCACACTTACATAGGGCAAAAGCAAAAACATGAATAAGCCAGAAGTCTGGCAAAGATGTAAGTGGATTTTTAAACTTGTTTTACTTTATTAAGATAAGAAGTTATTAGTGCTGTTCTGTTTGGTATTTTTCGCAAGCTTAATGTAAGTATTTTTTTTTTGTTAAATGGCTCACAGGAATTTTCAATCAACTTCTTTTTTTGTTGTTTTTGTTTTTGTTTTTATTTTTTTATTTTTATTTTTTATTATTATTATACTTTAAGTTTTAGGGTACATGTGCACAATGTGCAGGTTAGTTACATATGTATACATGTGCCGTGCTGGTGTGCCGCACCCATTAACTTGCCATTTAGCATTAGATATATCTCCTAATGCTATCCCTCCCCCCTCCCCCCCACCCCACCACAGTCCCCAGAGTGTGATGTTCCCCTTCCTGTGTCCATGTGTTCTCATTGTTCAATTCCCACCTATGAATGAGAACATGCGGTGTTTGGTTTTTTGTCCTTGCGATAGTTTACTGAGAATGATGATTTCCAGTTTCATCCATGTCCCTACAAAGGACATGAACTCATCATTTTTTATGGCTGCATAGTATTCCATGGTGTTTATGTGTCACATTTTCTTAATCCAGTCTATCATTGATGGACATTTGGGTTGGTTCCAAGTCTTTGCTATTGTGAATAGTGCCGCAATAAACATACGTGTGCATGTGTCTTTATAGCAGCATGATTTATAATCCTTTGGGTATATACCCAGTAATGGGATGGCTGGGTCAAATGGTATTTCTAGTTCTGGATCCCTGAGGAATCGCCACACTGACTTCCACAATGGTTGAACTAGTTTACAGTCCCACCAACAGTGTAAAAGTGTTCCTATTTCTCCACATCCTCTCCAGCACCTGTTGTTTCCTGACTTTTTAATGATTGCCATTCTAACTGGTGTGAGATGGTATCTCATTGTGGTTTTGATTTGCATTTCTCTGATGGCCAGTGATGGTGAGCATTTTTTCATGTGTTTTTTGGCTGCATAAATGTCTTCTTTTGAGAAGTGTCTGTTCATGTCCTTCACCCACTTTTTGATGGGGTTGTTTGTTTTTTTCTTGTAAATTTGTTTGAGTTCATTGTAGATTCTGGATATTAGCCCTTTGTCAGGTGAGTAGGTTGCGAAAATTTTCTCCCATTCTGTAGGTTGCCTGTTCACTCTGATGGTAGTTTCTTTTGCTGTGCAGAAGCTCTTTAGTTTAATTAGATCCCATTTGTCAATTTTGGCTTTTGTTGCCATTGCTTTTGGTGTTTTAGACATGAAGTCCTTGCCCATGCCTATGTCCTGAATGGTAATGCCTAGGTTTTCTTCTAGGGTTTTTATGGTTTTAGGTCTAACGTTTAAGTCTTTAATCCATCTTGAATTGATTTTTGTATAAGGTGTAAGGAAGGGATCCAGTTTCAGCTTTCTACATATGGCTAGCCAGTTTTCCCAGCATCATTTATTATTCTAAAAACAAAGAGAAAAGAAAGTTAAGAAAGTTATAAACATAATTGAAGAGCTTCTTTAAATTTTTCTTACTTCTCCCAACTTTGTTTTCTTATAAATTAAAGCCAATGCCCATTCACTGTCTCTCACCTGTTCTGATCTAACTTCTACCTGAGATCTTGGCTTGCCATGAGGTTTTGCTGAGCCTTTATTTCTTTTGACTAGACAAGCAAGGCTTTATTACATTGGCACATAGGAGATGTGGTTTATTTTTTTCATTTTGTGTTGGAATAGAACTTCGATCCCCCATAGGGTTGTAGATTTTTTATGTATCCTTTTGTATATTTGCCTGAACTGACCATATCCTCACAGGATTTTCAGCCTCTGCCATCAACTCTCCCTTGGTGAGATAGTTACTCTTTAATGGTGTTACTCTATGAAGAGGAGTAGGGACCTCTTGCATAAATTTTCAGTACCAATTGTTGAGTATAAAAAAGATAGTATTTTTTTCTAAGCATCCACAATATCAGCAATGATCTCTTATATATATGACAAAGGATTTAGGAAACTAACTACTAATTTAAAGCAGGTCCCTAAGGTGAAAGCCTTCATTAGGCCACTTTAGGTGGCTGAAAATTGATAAATGTTTCCTGTTTTATAATTCTTACCGGTTCCCTTTTATTAAGGATAGCCAGCTAGCTCTCACATGGCTCTTCAATGGCTTTTTTGTCAACAGCTTTTGGTGCTCTAAGGATCAATACTTTAGAGCTAAACATGAGGCTGATTTTGTGTCAAGATGTTTCCACTAAATGGTACTGCCCAACCAATGCCTCTTGTGAACACATGTATGAGGAAGCAAGACTTTTCCCTGAGTCTGCTTAGCACTTCCTTCCAATTTAAATTAAACCCACAAGCAGGAAAATGGCAGCTTCCCAGCTTCCTTTATTTCCCATACCTGCATTAGGACCAATCTGAAAAAATTTGACACTTGGCAGGTTGCAGCATCTTCTACTTCACCGACTCCCCATGACTCAGTCAGCTTCTGTGGCCTCCTCAAGATCAGAGCTCTGTGCAACCTGAGGAGTCATTACATCTGATCAAATGCAATTTGCTTTGCAATCCATGCTTATAGTTTTAGTCCACAAGTATTACTTTGAAAGGTTCAACCACTTTTTATTGATTTGAAATTTAACATAATGAATTTGGGACCAACAAAGGTGTTTTAAAAGTAAAAAATAAATATTAGAGCTCTGTCCCCAGTTTCTGGTGCACAAATCCTAAAATTCTTGGACTTTCCTGAGGACTAAAACTATATTTGAAGCTATCTTTTGTATGCTAATTATGTTACTCATGGGGGCAGGAGGGGGCATGGAAGGTAGATATTTTCAGGATGGGGAATAGTCTCCAAAAGGATAAGGTGTAATTAGAGGGTCTGAACTTTAAGCCCCAATCCCCGGCCTCTGGGGAGGGGAGAGGGGCTGGAGATAGAGTTAATCATCCATGGCCAATGATTTAATCAAGCACATCAACATAATAAAACCTCCATAAAACCCCTGAATAAAGGGGTTCAAAAGGGTTGGTAGACACCTCCAGGTTCTGGGAGGGTGGGGGTGCCTTGAGAAGGGTCAGAAGCTCCATGCCACTCCCCCCATACTTTGCCCTATGCATCTCTTCCATTTGGCTGTTTCTGAGTTGTGTCTTTTATAATAAACAGGTAATAGTAGGTAAAGTGCTTTCCTGAGTTTTGTGAGTTGTTCTAGCAAATTATCAAAATGGGACTGGAGGGAGTGGAGAATCCTCAAATTTGTAGCTAAGTCAGGCAGAAGTGTGTGTTATCTGGTGACCTGATTCTGGAGACTAGTATCTGAAATGAGGGCAGTCTTGTAGGACTGAGCCCTTAAACCTGCGGAGTCTCATGCTCACTGCAGGTAGTTCGTGTCAGACTTGAATTAAATTGTAGGACACTCAGTTGTTGGAGAATCAGAGAACTGAAAAATTAGTGTGGAAAATACAATATGTATTTGATATGAGGAGGAAAAAAATCCTCTCATTTGACGTCAGACGTGCTGTGAGTAAAACCAGCTCAAAAGAGTAGGTCCTCATCAAAAGATGGCTTTGTCTCATCAGATTTTTGTTTTGCAGTTAGGGGCTCTGGAACTTCCTTAGACCATTTCTTAGAAGAAGCTTGAGAGTGACATGGTTAAATTGCACAAATGCATGATCTTGGAAGTGAAACAGACCCCATTTTTTAGAGAAAAATACTGATTATACTAAGCAGGAGTATTTGGAGGCTGACAAAATAAGCAGTCCATGTAGGGGGCACTTCAGTTGTTTTAAGAGTTGGATAGAACATAGTATAGAGGAATTTATCAGAAAGATTGGTATCCTGTAATCTAGGATCATAGGCAGCAGGTTTGTATCAGGCAAGTGCTTTAGCAGTAAGTAAGAAGCAGGCCTTTGGATCACACAAAGCCTGTCTTGGGAGTAGTCAGAGGATGAACTCTCAAGCCAGCCAGAACAAGGCCAAGGCCTACAGAGACCATGTACAAGGTGAGTTCCCAAGATTTCTCTGTCACCGAAGAATCACCACCGTTGGGATTCCCAGGTGACTGGCTTTTAGGAACACAATGCCTAATTATCAGAACAAAGTGAGAGTCAGAATTAACACAAGAGAGGCTTGATGCTGAGTCCCAGAATGTTAGACTAATGCTCTTTGACATCCTCTTTCCTACGGTGAGGTTTCGACCAAGAGTTTAGCAGTACTGACCTTCAGGTTGAAGCCATTGTCCCACCTGCAAACAAGATATGATGGGATGTTTTGACAATTATCTTGATCAGAAAGTTGCTGAGGACCATTTTCATGTATGTAGAATAATTAGGAAGGGCAGATATGTATTTTCATTGAATTTGTGTAAAATTTTCAATGACTTTGTTCTGGATATGTTTCTTCAACTACTTGTTATCCTGATGGAAAATAATTAAATTTCTACTCTGTGCAGTGAAGTGTTCAAAGAGCTCGAAAAGATACAACTATATATAGTATTCTCCTTTAGTTAAAGACATAAAATACATATGGAATAACGACAATTAACCACATATGGGAACTTAAAACTAAGTGTTTCATATAAGAAATACAGACAAGTCCTACTAGAATTCTAAAGAAGGCAGAACACTTTTGAGCTTTGATGAGCATGGTCAGACAAGGTCTAAGAAGTTAATCTGTGTCTTAAAGGAGCGGTAGGAGCTAAATGTTAAAGAGGATCGGGGAAGTTTTTGATTAAAGACAGAGGATGGAATTGTTATGGGTTGATTTTTGCCCCCCCCAACCCCAAATCCATATGTTGAAGTTCTAACCTCCAGTATTTCAGAATGTGAATAGTATTTGAAAATAGGGTTATTACAGAAGTGATTAGTTCAGATAAGGTTATACTGGTGTGGGCTGGGTCTCCAATCTGATGTGACTGGTGTCCTTATCAAAAGGAGAAATTTGCACACAGACACACAGGAAGGAGGCCAGGTGAATATTGGAGTTATGTTGCCAAAAGCCAAGGACCTTCCAGAAGCTAAGAGAGAAGCCAGGAACAGATTCTTGCCTAGCACTTTCAGAGGGAGTATGGCTTGGTCTTGAACTTCTAGACTCCAGAACTGTGAAACAATACATTTTTGCTGTTCAAGCAACTCAGTTTTTAGTATTTTATTATAACAGCGTAAAAACACAAACACAATGACCAAAAACACAGAGGCAAGAATGCACAGGGCAGATCCTAGGGAATGCTAAATCAATATACACTGTCAATACCTAACGCTTTCTAAATGCCTATCATCAATTTCATGCACATTTTATAAATTTTATTCTTGTGATCATTCAATAAATTAAGCCCTGTTATTCCCATTTTATGGATAAGAAATAGAGATTTGGATAAGTTAAAAAAATCTCCAATGGTCATACAGTTAGGAAAGTACAGAGAGGGTGGTAAGAGATACTGAAAGAGCTGAGGAGCTGATGAGGACAGAGTGTCGGGCATCTCTGAATCTCTATCATTGATGCATTTTCTCTGTACCAAACAGAAAATGACAGACTAGCAAAAATACACTGCTGAGGAAAGTAGAGCCACCATGGTTTATTTCTGAAAGAGACCACCAAATTGGTCCTCACTTAGCAAAATGCTCTCATTTAGCAATGGGAAATTCATATCCAAAAAGGATTAAAAAAAGTCGTGGAAGACCAAACAGCTAGTGTGGAGTTATCACTAGGGACTAAGCTGTGTGGCTGTCAGCCCAGAACCTCTTCACTATATCACCTATGTGTGTAAATAACATTGATCAGGGAGGCATTCGGGTTTTATACACCTGCTCCCGCCTTTCCTTTTAAATGGAGATTAGCAGAACTCTCACAGCAGGCACCCATCCCAATCCAAGGAGGAGATTTCTGATCAGTGGTGCCCTGCCCTGGGTTTTGCACCTGCCTTGTGTTTGGACAAAAAGAAAAATGGTACCTCTCCCCTGAATTGACACATCGCTATTTCACTAAGCATGCAAAGTGTTCCTGCTTGGGCTGCCTTGGTAAATATTTACCTTGAATTATCACAGGCTTGAAACATCAGCTGCCCAAAGGAGCCGAATAGTGACTTTGGACATTTGGATCTGGAACCTGTGAGGAATAGAAATATAGCATTGCATGTTGTCAGAGTCTCTGGTGTGCCAAGGGAAAATGTACTTTATGCAGCCACAAGCTTGACCTCCAAGAGCCTTAAAAAGCCTCACATACTCAAAGGTGCATTACTAGGCCTTACATTAATTCATCACGATAGCTAAAGTGCTGTGTGTAAACCACAGGAGATCTGAATCCCCTGGGCATCCAGGAGTCAGCATTAATTGCTTCAAGTTTAGCATAGGGAGCTATAAGTGAACATAGGGGAATGACTATTTGCATATTGTTTGCAATAAAGCTTAGAAATGGTTCCAGATGTCCCAGCTTAAACCTTTTCCCCAAAAGTTTGTCCAGGTTGGGAATCAGCACAAGCCAATCTAATAGAAGTTTCTTCTAGTCTGTCTCCTCCTGTTCCGAATCAGAACTTGCCGGTTGCTACAGGAATACTCGAGACAAATTTTTATTCTGAGCAGGCTGGACATGATTTGTTAATTCACTTCTGAAATAACAATTGCAGTTGGGAGGGATCAGTTGAAAGCCTTAATTACATTGGAAAATATGCTTCACTGTAGCCTGCTCCTATCCAGGGTACAGAACACATAATTATCATAATTTTCAAATTTTATTATTATTATTTGAAAAAATTTGATGGAGAGCAGACTCCGTCAACTTAGCTACTTCAAAGCAGTGGCCGAGTCACATTTAAACCTTTGAATAGATGATTTCCCCAACTTGCTTGTTAAGGCCTCTTAAATGGGAAGACATCTATGGGCTGTTTACAGCCTCAGATGTGATTTGTCCAACAGAACTAGCTTCCCAGTTCCTTTTTCTTCCTTTGTGCCAAGAGGGAAATGCTCAGGTGTGCTGTTGCCAGAGTGATTAGGCTAGCTGGGAACTCTCCTTGGACAGGAGGTTGGAAAGCCTTTGGGATCATGCCCTCTCATCCTTGTTAAATGACTCTGTGTGTGTGTGTGTGTGTGTGTGTGTGTGCACGTGCACGCACACGCTTGCTGCATGCACACCTGCCTAGAGGGAAGAAGTTTGTTTTCATTTTTTAAAGTCCCAGAATATTTTTAAAGATAAAGCAAAACATTTCTGAAATAATGTTGGTATCTGTGTTAACCAGCGAGGGTGCTGGCAGAAGCCTCATTTGTGGTTATTGGCTTTGTTATCAACTTACCATGTCTTTAGAGAGTCTCTGCCTCTGGGTTTCTAACTGTAACCCTGGGGTGAGGAGATCTCTCTCCACTTCTTTGGGTGGCTGTGATGTTTATCAGACTAATGAGTCCAATTCTGGTGTCAGTGAGTTCTAGCATGTCCCTGACCCAGTTCTCACCTGACCTATGAATTATCTACCTTCCATTTCCAAGCTTCCTCCTTCCAAGTTGCCATTGATCCTTAAATAGTAATAAAACCCAGGGGAGGAGTTAAACCATTTTGAATAATTCAAACCCTTTGTTCAAATGGATCCATTTAGGAAAACAAATCAAATTTTTAAAAAACATCCAAAGTAATAAGAAAGACTGGTTGGCCTGAATTTAGCTTGAAGGTAAATCATCCTTCTGTAAACTCTCCTATCCCAGAAAGGTATCTAATGGTTGTCTGAATAGGAAGCAACTGAGTAGAAAGCACAGAGCATTCAAACCGGGAAACCTGGAATCTAGTCTTGGCTCAGTCACTAACCAGGGCAAAAACCTGGGGAAAGCCTCCTTATGGACTTGGGCTTCAGTTTCCTCCCTGGTAAAATTGTAGTCATAATATTGGGTCCTCTTACATAATTTCTCGAAGCATGCTCTAAATGTGGGCATTGTTTAAAATCATTAGAATTGACTCAGAGCTTTGAACACAGTAGGAACTAAATAAACATTTCTTGTAGTGAGTTTACCTCCCTATTTCCCATTTTATTTTCAGAAAATATTTTGCTATTCCCTGAAATGACACAATTCCTGTCTATATCTTCCCTGAATGTGAGGGCCCAGGTGTTTTTTTGTTTGTTTGTTTGTTTGTTTGTTTGAGGAGAACTGCAAAAGCAAATATAACCACTGAGGACCCCAATGTCTCTTAGAAAGATAATATTTTATTCTCTCCCACAGACATAAACAAAACATGTTTATTTGGAGCCAATGACATTTTAGGGTCATTAAGGTCTAAAGATGAAGGGGCTTTAGAGAAATTAATGTTCATTTTTTGTTTTCCAACTCCATTTTCAGAAAAAGAAGCCAATGCTAAGACATTGTTACTTGCCTAAATTGTTGTGCTTTCTTACCAATTGGAGGAAGGTGTCTGACTTCCCACCGAGGCCTGTAATCTTTGTGCCCCCTTTAAACTAATCATTTGGTAAGACTCTCTGCTGTGAAGAACACAACCTTGGAAATACTGCTCTTGTCTAAATGCATTATCTTACAGAGAAGGAGCCTCAGGTCCACATGGCCCTCTGCTGAGTCTGAGGAGGGAGAGCAGGAGTCACTTTTTCTCTAGGCTCCAAGCAGCTCCCCCATGACACATCATGGACAGCTGTTTCTTGAGATACAGTTGTGTCAGGACTCTCTTTCCATAGCTGCTTTCTTTGGCACCAAGGCTAACTTTGACAAATCTCTCTATGCCCCAATTTTCTCTGATGGAGAAGACCAGAGGCAAAGCTGTCATATTCAGTCTCTACCCACCTCCTCACACCCTCTTCCTTGGGAACATCTATTTCTCTCTTCAGATAACAGCAACTATGGTGTGCTTAGTGCTTTTCCCAGCATCGTCAACACACTGCTTCCCTTTGGCTTCCTTCACCCAAGTAGGTAAGTCCATTTTCTGATCTGATTAAGTTAATAGAAAAATGGTCTCCTTCTCCTCCTCCTCCTCTTCCTCTTCCTTCTTCTTATTCTTCTTCCTTTTGGTTGAGTTGTATGAGATCTGACAAGGAAGAATAAAGGCCAAGAAAAGGAAGAAATGATGATAGTATCCTTGGCTGTAGCTATTGTTCAGGAGCTGAAGCTTCTTCTGGTTTTCCTCAGCAAGAGTAAGTGCACCTTTAAACAGGTGGAGACTGTGTTAAGACAGCTCATCACTCCTTTTTACTCAGCAGTTTATAGATTCAGCTCTCTAGTACCAATGGAAAAATTGATTAAAGCCTTCCCTTGAGGACACATCACCTCCAGGCATTATTATTTCAGAAGTCAGAGCTTCTTCACTTTGACAAACATCGTGAATACCTGAAAGGAAGGGGAATAAATGGGCCTTGTTGCCCAAGGAATAGAAGGAGTGAAATGACATAGTATCCTAGATATGAAGACACTATTGCTCACTATTGGCTTTGAAAATTAAAATGTGTCCCACCTAGTACTATTTGTGAGCACTAAGATAAGTAGGAAAATACCTGGCCACAGCTTTTGGTGTAGGAGAATGGTTAAGAAGAAAGATGCAAATATGTGGTGTTTCAATTCCTCCCACAAACACCTCTTCTCCTCTCTGCCTCCAGACTTCTCTAGAACAAAGGTCTCATTTTTTAACCTATCTAGGTGGTATCACTGGCAGTGACAACATATTGATTATCAAAATATAAAAATTTAGAACATATTGAGATGGACCCCACTCTTTGGGGTGTCATATGGGAAGAAAGCCCATATTTCCAGGGCAGAAGCTTGCTCAACTTATGAGAAATAAAATCAGCTTGTGATTCTCCCTGTCTGCTTGGTCTGCAGGCTTCTATTTCCATCATCTCCACCATTGTAGGACTGGTTTTGTCCTCACACACACATTGCATTTTGCCCATTACATCTGTCTTACTGTGGATGTCTGTTTGAATTTGATTCTATACAAGTTGGAAATTGGGTGGACCGGAATAGTGCATTTTCAGTACCCTCTTGAATGAATTCCATGGTCAGCATGGGGGATGGCAGCATTGACCCAAGAGGTATGGAGGAGGAAGTGGAAACTTAAGGAAGACATTAGTGAGGCAGTCAGAGAGCATGTCAAGGTGATTTGATCAAGTAAAGAGGGAGCAGTGCCTCATGTTGTGGCTTATGGTGTAATTGTAAGCAGGACACATGTGCCTCTGAAGGGGCAGCAGAGAACAGTGAGGCTGGCAAGATCAACTTCAGTCAATTTGGCTTATCTGAAACTGAAGAGTTGCCTTTCCCTCATTTGCTTTTTAAAATTAATTAATTAATTTATTTATTTTGAGATGAGGTCTCACTCTGTCACCCAGGTTGGGGTGCAGTGGCATTATTTTGGCTCACTGCTACCTCCACCTCCCAGGCTCAAGCGATCCTCCCACCTCAGCTTCCCAAGTAGCTGGAACTACAGGTATGCACCACCACATCTGGCTCATTTTTTAAATTTTTGGTAGAGACGTGGTTTTACCATGTTTCCCAGGCTGGTCTCAAGCTCCTGAGCTCAGACATTCCACCTGCCTTGGCTTCCCAAAGTGCTGGGATTACAGGCTTGAGCCACTGAGCCCCACAGGCTCGTTTGCTTTAAAATGTCAACATTTCTCCTCCTCCTCCCACTCTTCTCCCAACTTTGGAAAGGTGTTAAGGAGATATCATATGTGGACTCTTCTGCTGACATGTTTCTGAAAGACCTTGTCAACTGGTACTAATTGTTGTGACTGCAAACTTCCATTCCATCCTGGATGCTCTTAACATCCTGGGCCTATCTCACATTCTCATGTAGTTTTATTGGCATTCACAAGACCTCAACCTCCAGAACCTGTGGGCGGAGGATTACCCAGGTGCCCAGGCAAGAGACTGAAGGCACAAACTGTTTCTGTATAATAAAGAAAATAGTTAGAATAAGAATAGTTATAATACAAATTAGATATAGAGATGATCATGGACAATTATCAATCGTTAGCATAAACATTATTAATCATTAGCTTTTTTTTTTTTTTTTGAGATGGAATCTCGCTCTGTCACCCAGGGTGGAGTGCTGTGGTGCCATCTCGGCTCACTGCAACCTCCTCCTCCTGGGTTCATGCCATTGTCCTGCCTCAGCCTCCCCAGTAGCTGGGACTACAGGCGCCCAGCCACCACGCCTGGCTAATTTTTTTATATTTTTAGTAGAGATGGGGTTTCACCGTGTTTGCCAGGATGGTCTCCATTCCTGGCCTCCTGATCCGCCCACTCGGCCTCCAAAAGTGCTGGGATTACAGGTGTGAGCCACCGGGCCCAGCCCCCTAATCATTAGCTTTTAATATTACTCTTTGTTGCATTACTAATATAACCTAGGAATAACCGGCAGGTATAGGGTCAGGTGCTGAAGGGACCTTGGGAGAAGTGACCTAGACGGCAAGAGGTGAGCCTTCTGTCATGCCCACATAAGGGCCGCTTGAGGGCTCCTTGGTCAAGCGGTAATGCCAGGGTCTGGGAAGGCACCCATTACTTAGCAGACCGCGAAAGGGAGTCTCCTTTCCTTGGAGGAGTCAGGGAACACTCTGTTCCACCAGCTTCTTGTGGAAGGCTGGATATTATCCAGGCCTGCCCGCAGTCATCCGGAGGCATAAACCCCTCCCTGTGGTGCTGTGCTTCAATGGTCACGCTCCTCATCCACTTTCATGTTCCTCCCGTACTCCTGATTCCTCTTTGAAGTACATAGTAGATAGCGGTAGAAGGAATAGTAAAGTCTTAAAGTCTTTGATCTTTCTTATAAGTGCATAGAAGAAAATGCTGAGGTATGCTGCCTTCTCTCTCTCTGCTTCGGCTACCTAAAAGGGAAGGGCCCCCCGTCTTGTGATCACGTGACTTGCTTCACCTTGTCAATCACTTACAAGATTCACCCTCCTTACCCTGTCCCCTTGTCTTGTATTTAATAAATATCAGCGCGCCCAGCCTTTTGGGGCCACTACCAGTCTCCGCATCTTGATGGTAGTGGTCCCTAGGGCCCAGCTGTTTTCTCTTTATCTCTTCATCTTGTGTCTTTATTTATTACAATCTCTCCTCTCCGCACACGGGGAGAACACCCGCTAAGCCCCATAGGGCTAGACCCTACATCTGGTACTCCAATGTGCCTTTCTCCCTCGCTGTGTGAAGTTGCGCTTTGAGCCGGGGACTCAGCGGAGGAATTTCGACGACAGATTCCTGAGGATTGCGGTCATTAAGCTTGGTGGTAAGTTTGGGCACTCAGAGTATCTAGGGGACACCATGGGACAAGCCAGTACTAAGTACTTGGCCTATTTAAATTTCATAAAAACCCTTCTTAAAGAAGGAGGAATTTCAGTTTCCTCTGACAAACTGATTGAACTCTTTGAGGTCGTTGATCTCATTTGCCCTTGGTTTCCAACTGAGGGAACTTCAGAACTTAAAGACTGGGATGAGGGGCCGACAGTTTAAAACTGCTCATAGAGGGGGACATGTTATCCCGCCTGCCATTTGGACAGTTTGGTCCTCGGTTCGCTCCATTTTAGAATCCTTGCAGCCACAGGAGGAGGGAATGGAGGGTACTCTACCTTTCCTCTCCTCTGAAGAGGTTGAGGAAGTCCTCAGTACTCTCTCTCCAGAGGACGCCGCACAACTTGAGGCCGTCATTTTAGAAATGGACCCCTACTCTGATATTCCTTTGGCACCACCAAATACACCACAGCCTACCGCGCCTACTGCGCCCCCAATATCGCCTTATGAGGATTTTGTGGAGGATCTCCTTCCCCCAGATCCAAAAAAATCCCTCTAAAATGCACTATCAGCAGCCGTTGCGGCCCAAACCTCCTGTACTATCTCAGCCTTGCTATAGGGCTCTCCACCATCCGCCTGTTCAGCCCGGTTATGAGGCTCTCAACCCTATCCCTGTTCGGCTCGATAATGAGGCCCTCAACGCTATCTCTGCACTCAATTCTGCCTTTCTTTCTATGCATCAGGCTCCTCAGAAGTCTGACTTGCAGTCAGTGCACCAGCCTGGAACTCAGGCCCTGCAGTCAATGCACCAGCCTGGAACTCAGGCCCTGCAGTCAATGCAGCAGCCTGGAGTTCAGGCCTCTGAAAGACCTGCACAGCAGGCAACCGCGCGTCAGCCTGGCTTAAAGGCTCTCAATTTCTCCTCTATTCAAAACTCCAATTTCCTTTCTGCTTCTGGTCCGGTCACAACTGCTGTTACTACCCATAAGCAACAGGTTACATACCTTCCTGATAATGACACCCCTCTTATGAGGGCCATTTCTCAGGCAAGGGAATATGGGGATCCCGAGGCATGGCAGTTTCCTGTTATTTTACAATCTGCTATACCTGCTGCCTCTATTCCTGCCGCCCCTGCTCCAGCTGGCTGCACCAGTTCAGCCACAGCCCTTTGACCAAGCTCAGCAGGCAGCTGATCCCGCTGCCGCTGCTCCTCCAGACCCGCAGCTTAATGATCAGGCCCCTCAGCATTTCTCCTCCTCCTCTCACTCTTCTCCCAACTTTAGAAAGGTGTAAAAGAGATACCATATGTGGCCTCTTCTGCTGACATGTTTCTAAAAGACCTTGTCAACTGGTACTAATTGTTGTGACTGCAAACTTCCATTCTGTCCTGGATGTTCTTAACATCCTGGGCCTATCTCACATTCCCATGTAGTTTTATTGGCATTCACAAGACCTCAACTTCCAGAACCTCCTACTTCACCATCACAGCAGCCTTTCTGTCAATTCTTCCGCACATAGCCCACAATGGTAGAGCTCTGTGTGACTTTAGCTAAAGGCACCTAATTCTCAGAACTCATTTTTCCCCCTGTCCAAGGGCCCAGGCACCAGCTGTATTCCTTTATTTGCATTAGAGGCTGTTGAGCATATTCATTGTGAGTGAGCTGTGTTTAGAAACTCAGAGTGCATTATCCGTCAAGCTATCTCTGTTGATATGCATGTTGTTGACCTGTACCTCACAAGGGCACCAATCAATGTTACAATGTTCTATCTCCAGCAAAACCTGGGTGATCTGATGGACTCTCTGGGTAATATTAAAACCTGAGGAGAGAAGTGAAAAGGGAGGCTTTATGAAAGCGACTTCCGAACACTATCCAATTATTAGTATGATTTTTTATAATACCAACGGTTTCAAATTTTATTGAGAGAGAGAGTTTTTCCCTAGCCCTCTTGGGAATGATTTTATTGAAAGCATCAGAACGAAGAAGATGGCTGCATCATTTCTGTAGTGCCAGGGGTCAGAATCTTTGACTGGTTTGGTGTAATGTGCACATATAAAATTTCACTCAGTCCTTATTCATTGCCTTTTATTTAATATATAATCTGGCTAGATCCACTTTTGTTTCTTTACATTTACTGCTTGCCTGCATTAGGTTATTCTTTTGGCTGCTTTAATATGTATATATTAAATCATATATATATGTATATATATATTTTCTGATCAAGATTCTTACATGAAGGAAACGTTTTGCTTTTGCTCTTTTTACAGAGTAATTACAGTAGCATAGATGGGAATGAGAAACTATCCATAGGACAGCTCTTTATGTTTGATAGCCATTTAGTTTAGAATGCTGTTGTTCTTACAGAAGTAAGTGTCTGTGCTTTTCCTTCCCTCCCTTCCCTTTCTCTGTATTCCATACCTACCCCCCATCCCATTAAATATTATTCACACTCCATAGCCCACCAAGAGCACTTTAAAGTATAATAGATTTTTTGAGTTGCATTATTTAAAATGCACAAAACAAAATGCAAGAGCTACATTTGTAAGGAGAGCTTGCTGACTCAGAAGAGTGTCCTCTTCTTTAGCCTCTAATCAATGGAGAAGAGCCCTAAGCAGAAAAATAAGAACAATGAGTGTTATCAGTTTTATTTGTGAAAGCCCAGTGACTCCCAAAATATGAAACTCCCTAGTAAAGTTAGATTAGGGGATGGCATTGGGATCTGGGCCAAAGTGGTTGCCTCTTATACATTCCCATTGTATTGACAATAACTGTCTCTTGGTGAAGGACCGAACTATATAGGCTAGCAATTTGTTGAGTATCATATGATAGGAACATTCAAAATAACACTGCCTAAACAAAATAGAAATTTATTTATCTCCCACATAAGAGAGGACTGGAGGGAGGCAATCTAAGGTTGCTGTTGTGGCTCCATTAAGTCATCAATGACTTATGTTCCCTCTAGGAAATATGTAGCTTTGCATTACCTATGTTATGGGTGTCTACTTGTCATCTAATTAATTGTACTCCCCATGCCCCCTAAAGGTAGCTTTCAGAATTTCCATGTGATGCTGTCATGTCTCTTTGGCCAGAATGTTGTCACATGGCTATCCTGAGCCACAAAGGATCATAGGCAGCATTGTCTTTTAGGTAGGTAATATTGGGCCTACTAAGCATGGGGATTCTTATTTCTAAAGAAGGGTACAGAGAAAATTGAGGTGACCTAGCCATTTCTGAAAAACTTGATGGTGAAAGGATTATTTAAGGTGAATCATGCCTCTTTCCTGCTGATTCCCCATCACCTATAAAATAAAGGCCAGTCTTATAATCATGACATGTAAGTCGAGTGACCATATAATTTATCATCTAAACTAGGATATCTTTGAAAATAAAAAGGAGAACTATTAATAATACACCATGACAGCAGGACTATACCAACTCTCTTAGGTAAACAAGGATGTATGAACTAAGCACTAATCACCTTTTAGACCTCATCACCCTCGACTTCTCCACCTGCACTTTATTTTCTATCTATAAAAATAGTCTGATTTTCCCCAAACATAGCATGAGTCTTCACATGCCATGGAATTCCCATGTCTACCTTGTACCTAGTAAATCCTTATTTGTTCTTTCCACCCCTACCCAATCTTAGATATTTCCCTGCAAAGTCTCTCCTAATCAGGCTTCCTCAATTCATTGTGTTCTTTGAAAATTATTAAGATTTGCTTACATGTTTACTTCATATCAGGACAGGATATGTTATGCTGTGGCAAAAAAAAACTCATACAATTTTTATTGCTGTTGCTCATGCTTCACAATCAATTTCAATTGGCAAGGAGGCTCTGTTCATTGCAGTTCATTGTAGGCTGATGGGAGCTACAGCATAGCAAATAATTGCACAGCAGAAACATAAGAAAATAGGATATGGTAACTCACATAAAGGCTTTTAAACATTTCCATGTAGAGAAGACACGCATCAGTTCTGCTCATACTTTACAGACCAAGGTAGGTCACATGGTCACTTCTGACTTCAAAGCAGTCATGAAATATGATCCGACCATCTGCTTGGAAATGGAGAGAATAGCACTAACTTATTAGATCAGGAGCTGGCAAACAGTTTCTGTAAAGGGACTGAGAGTAAATATTTTATGCTTTGTAGGCCATGGAATTTCTGTTGCAACTATTCACTTCTGCCATTTTAGCATGAAACCTCCTTTAGAAAATACATAAATAAGCAAGCATGGCTGTGTTCATAGAACTTTATTTACAAAAACAGGTGGTGGACAGGATTTGGCCCAAAGGCCATAGTTTGCTGACCCCTGTATTCTGCTGAGAACTTCATTTCTATTACTTGATAAAGGTGTCTACAATATGCTGAGTGCAGTGGCTTGCAACTATAACCCCAGAACTTTGGGAGGCTGGGGCGGGGGGCGGGCGGATCATTTGGGCTCAGGAATTCAAGATCAGCCTGGGCAACATGGAGAAACCCCATCTCTACAAAAAAAATTTGAAAATTAGTGGGGCATGATGGCTCGCAACTGTAGTGACAGCTACTTGGGAGGCTGAGTCAGGAGGATGGTTTGAGCCTGGGAGGCGGAGGTTGAAGAGAGCTGCACTCCATCCTGGGCAATGAGGGAGACCCTGTATCAAAATAATAACATGGATAATAAAATAAAAAGGTGTCTACAATATATCAGGTTCTTAAAAACATCTTATTGATTTGTCTGAAATACTTAAATATGTCTGAAGCAAATGAAATGCTTCATTTTTCCATCTGTGAAACTAAGTAAATGTTATATTATTTTACCCATTGTCTTAGCCCATTCAGTCTGCTATAACAAATTGCCGTAGACTAGGTAGCTTATAAGTAATTACTTATTTCCTATAATTCTGAATGCTGAGAAGTAGAAGATCAAGGTGCCAGCAGATGTGTCTGGTGAAGGCTGGCTTCCTGGTTTTCAGAAAGCAGTCTTCTCACAGTGTCCTTACATGGCAGAAGGAATGAGGGATCTCCCTGGGGTCTCTTTCATAAGGGCACTAACTCCACTTATGAGGTCTCCTTTCTTATGGCCTAATCACCTCCTAAAGGTCCCATCTCCTGATAGCATCACATTGAGGATTAGGTTTCAACATGTGAACTTTGGGAGAACACAAATGTTCAGCCTATAGCATCCACTCCTATAAAGTTTTTATAGGGCAAAATATAATAGGATGAGCTAGGAGCGGTAGTTAATACTTGTATATAAAGTTTTGAGAGGTGTAAAATCTAAAAGAGTCTGGCCAAGAGATGGGTGGCTACCTGTGGCAAGATATGCACAGGAATTGACTGAATTCAAAGTAAGTAGCCAAGCATCTGTGTCCAAAGGACTAGTCTAACCAGAAATAATTGGGGCGGGGGACTGGAGGAAGTGAACTCCAAAGAAAGAGATTGAGTTCAGCATCCTGTTTCTCCACACAGGCATATAAACCAACATTCCAGGGCCTAGAAGATAAATTATCATTTATCAAGAATGAAAGTTGGCCAAGTTCTGCACTGGTATTTAATATCCTGCCAAGAACAAGCAGACAAGGGTTGGTGGGTAAGCATTAAGTGCCAGAGAGAGAGAGAGGAGCGTGG
Source organism: Homo sapiens (assembly GCF_000001405.40). Classification (NCBI taxonomy): domain Eukaryota; kingdom Metazoa; phylum Chordata; class Mammalia; order Primates; family Hominidae; genus Homo; species Homo sapiens. Next base: position 59,179,503 of record NC_000002.12, read on the forward strand.
AAGACACACACACACACACACACACACACACACACACACAGAGAGAGAGAGAGAGAGAGGGAGAGAGCAGGTATCTGGGAAGTCCCTCAGAAGGGAGTCAAGAGACAAATTTTATCTACCAGGAGATGTGCTACCAACATCTGAGGAATGGCCAGTCTTTATCAATAAAGATAGATTCTTCCTTCCAAGTCATCTTTTCATGCAGACATGCCCCATCTTTCCTCACCCGAGTCATCAGAGGTGTGATTGCCATCTTCCGAAGTACAGTCTAAGTAAATGACAGTCTAGTGCTTCTTTGCACACAGAGTTGGGGAGGCTATTGCCTCCTAGAGCGTCCTCTTGTTTGACTAGAACCTCCGGGTAGGTAAGTATATGGCCTGTTTAAATGCTAATGACCACAAAGGAGGACAGGGAGGCCTTTGGTAGGAAAACATTTAGCTAAGCAGAGCAATTTTAATTAAAGCTCGTTGAGGTGTGCATTACTCTCAGGGCAAGGCGACTAGTAATAACAATGGCAGTAATATACAGAACAGGCTATAATATGTGAGTTAGTGGCCGCCACATGGTTTTTAGTGGCTCCTCATCACAGAATCCAAAAGGCTGCTCAGGGCCAAGTACAGAAAACATTTGGCCCAAGGGGTGTGGAAAATGTTCCAATGATGCATATGTTCTTCAGTAAACAGAGCAGCCACTGGTACCACAGGACAGCCAGTGCTGAGGAGGAGAGGGTGAGAGGGGACTCTGCAGGAGGAAAGAACAGGGCTCAGCAGCAAGAGCTGAGAAAAAGGATGAGGGAAGCTAAGACCTTGAAAGAAAGCAGCGCTGGGCTCTGCTCCAAGCCTAAATTTATGAAAACATTGGGCCAAAACAAGATAATATGGCAGCGTCCTTTCACACAGGGGCCCTTGCTGTTGGGCACTATTATTCCAATTCTGACACTTGAATGAAATGTGGTATAATTGGGTTTCCGAGCCTCCGCTTCAGGCGACATCAATTGCCGTTTTTAAAAATGATGATGGCGTGGAAGGAGACTCCTTTTTCCCTTTAATGTTTGGAAGTTGCCACACTCTCTGTGCCACTTGTATACTCCTTGGAAGAGCCATGGGACTCCTGGGAGGATCTGAAGTACTAGTGGCCGAGCCCATGAAGAAATATGGCAGGTTGATGGCAGAGAAGCTAAATGTGGCAGAGGATGCAGGATTAAAGTTGGTCCCATGACACATCTTTCTAGGTCTCTCTCTTTTCTTGCTGTTTTTCTTTCCCATCAAAGAGTGTTTTTTTTTTCTCCCTCGTCCTTTGGCTTTCCTTCACTGTTTTGCATACAATGACTAGGATTTTTTCCAGCTGTTGCAATTTTTTCTTTTGGACTGAACAATGTGACATCTATATTATTGAGTCAGAGAAAAAATATTGTCATGAAAAAAAGCATATTCCATGCAAAATGGCTAACTCCTCCCTTAGTGTGGCACCCTGGATACATGTGTCCTTGTGTATGCTGTTTGCCTCAGTGGTGTTTTTGGGTTGGGTTTTGGAGGCAAGTAGTGGGAGGAGAGAAAGTTGAGGAATTTTTAAGCATCCTTGTATTCTTTATTGATATCCATAAAAATAGAGGCAAAGTTTTCTTTCCATTTCAGGTTTTCCTTCTGTGTGTGTGTGTGTGTGTGTGTGTGTGTGTGTGTGTGTGTGTGTGTGTGTGAAAATGTTCTTTAAAGCAGAAAGAGCCAATCCGATTTGTAGAATTTCCTCCAAGCAGTGGAAGAAGTTGGAAAAGCAAGGAGCAGCGTGATACTCAGAAGAGATTCCCTGTCTTCTAAAATACTTTCCTCCCCTACCAGAGAGCACTCCCTCCCCCTAATTAGTCTTAATCGAAGTAAATAAATATAATTTGCAATGCAATCTGGAGTCTCTACTCTGAAAGTCCCTATGCCAAGTGAAAACTGTCAAATACAGTTTAAAACAATGTTTTCCAAAAATAGGCCTTACATAATTCATGTTTCTTATACCAAGTTGAGAATTCAGAGACTCCTCCCATATCACATGATGTCATCGTGTGAAACCAAAACAAATATGAAGCTACTATGCTGTGACATTGTTTATAAAACTGTAATACTTATCTTCAAACACAGTCAAGAAGGTAATATGGGGTCAGCAGTGAATCTGAAAACATTAAATGCTATTCTTCCCAATTCCATGTGTACCTTATATTAAATATGAGAAAAATTTAGTATGTTTCTACTGTGATCATTGTGGCTAGAAAGAGAGTAGTTCAGTGGCCTCAGTTTTATTTCAATTAAAAGGCTGGCTTGACCAATGTGGTGGTGTTGGGGGAGCCACTTTTTCTCTGCCTCACGTCTCACCTATAGGATGGGTTAATAAATTCTCTTTATAACTCATAGATGTCCTGAAGACAAATTCGTAACAGAATCCATCATCATCATTTATTATTCAACATATAGATGTATACCAGACACTTACCAAAGGGCTACATAATTATCCACCTGGACATTTCCTTTAAAAGAATGTCCTCATCCTAACTTTTCCGACAGCACATTTGATTGCCTTTGTTCTCTTAGCTGTGAAAGGCAAGAACACCAGACTGTCCCCACCACATATATCCCTTAGGGAATGGGACGCAGGTAGAGACTCTCTTCTGCCTCTGCTTTGATAACAGTCTGGGATGCAATCAATGTTCGGCTGAGGGTAGAACCAGACCGTGTCATTTCTGATGATGGGTTTCCCTCTTTATAACTGTGGGAGAAACATACCCCAGGCTGTTCTGGGGACTGCTGTGAATTCCTTTAGCCTTCGGTGAGGCCAACCCGCAGAGCTGAAAGGGACTGTGAGAATGTTATTGCAACTTCTTAATTCAAAACATCACTGAAAAGAGACTTCCTGGGATGGGGCTGGAGGAAATGGGGCTGCTCAGCTGGGATGAATTACTGAGACCGTTGGGTTAGTTTTGCCCCCTAGTGGTTAGAGGCTTAGGGACCCCAGGAGCTAAATGGCTCCCAGCATTGAATAAAGGAAGCAGCTGGGGGAGCAGGGGGATACCACATGGGATAACCTGAGCCTTTAACTAATGGTGTGACCTCAGCTCTCAAGATCCCAGTCCCCACACCTGCAAATTGAAAATGATGGACTAGATCATGAAGAATTCAATTCTTCTGTCTTTATTGATAGATGACTCTAGAAACATAACCTGCGATTCTGCAATTCCCTCACATATTTCCTGAGGGCAACAGAGATAGAGTTTTAAGGTCCTGATGGTTGATCAAGGGGCCGTAACATCTAAGTGGGGGCTAAGAGAGCTTACTCCTCAAGTGTCTTTAAGATAAAGACTGTCCAAGAGGATGAATCCATGGTGGCCTTTGGAACAAAAGTTTCTCTCCTGCACGGATGCCCTTTGCACCCTTTACAAATTTCTTGAAAGTGAGCAAGAAGAAGAAACAGCACAGGGTACCACTTTCACATACACTGCAAGACTTTCTTCCATTCAATCCATTGTTTCTCATATCTCAATAACATAGAGATCATAAATTTAAAAAAAAAAAGTTTCACTCTACCCCAGAAAGGATTAAGACCATCCTCAACTCCTACAACACAGGGGCAATAGGATCCTCCCCTTTAAACTTACAGAGTGAGAAATAAAACAGTTGTTTGAATTTCTGGGCATTGACCCTATATTGCTCTGTGTAAGAATGAGATTCCCTCAAATGTGATGTTATATGGCTTATTTGTCTCTCCTTTGTGAAACTTACTGCATCTCAGAACATTGCACAATACATGAACATGCCATTGCTTCTTTTCTTCCTGTGCCATCTTTTTAGATTTTCTGTTGCATTCTCCTATATTAGGCAGATAAATCTCCATAGCATCTGTACAATTTAAAGGTTTTGACCAAATCAAGCCGCAGACATGCATTTTTCTGTTAGTGTTTCCTAACTCAGTGGCTTGTTACCATTTCTCCTTATATTTCAGCCTAAAAAGAAATGGATGGCATCTTCCTTTCTGGGGCTGTGTCATGTTTGAATGTAGCTAAGGGTACCATTTCATCAAGTCAATTAGGTTGAGAGGATGAAATGAATTTGGGATACATTATGCAAAGAAAGATGATAGTTAATTTTTCAGGGCAGGCAAGTGATTCTGGGTCACCAAGGATTGTTAAAACAAACAAACAAACAAAGGAATTCCAGGTAACTAGAAAAAAAGAAAAAGGATGGCTCTGTTCAGTTAAAAGTGGCAGAAAAAAGAAATCCATAAATTCATTTACTCAAACCTGTTTCTGGCTAGAGTGAAAATGGAGACAATGAAATCATTTTCAGCAAATTATTAGTGCAATATATTTTTTTTCCTTTCAAGAAAAGGAAACTAAAGAATGGTTGTGGCCTTTTGTTGTAGATAGCTTTTCAGAAGAGTGTAACGTAAACAGATTATCTGCAGTGTTTATTCAGTGTGAAAAAACAGTTCCAAGAGCCCCAGGTGCTTGCCAAGATCATAATTGTACCTTCTTAAATACTTTCATTACTTGGAAGTACAATAAGCGAAGCAGGGACACATGCTTTCCATTTTCTTGTCAACAAAACACCTCCAAGAAATTAAGCTCTATTTTCTCTAGAAAATTTCTCTAGAACTGTTCAGGGCATATGAAAAAGGAAGGGAGGTGGGGCTTTGGTTTAATTTCTTTATGACCTTGAAAAGAAGCGTGTAACTCCTCCCCCCACCCCACCCCACCCCACCCCACCCCACATAAAAGAAAGGTGGCTCGAGTATGGGGTGCAGGGTGGCTCAAAACCAGAATATTAAATCTATAATGGTTCGTATTTGGTTAAATGTGGATATATGAGGAGTATAGAGTGTTAGGGAAACATGATTTCACACACAGATTTTTCTTTAGCGGGAGCTGAGTCACTCTGGGGTGGGAGGAAGCCGCAGGACAAAGCTCAGCTCATCTATGTGAACATTTACTGGGCCAAGTCTTCACAGTGGGATGAAAAATACTTGTTGATCTTTCTACAGGAGTTGGCCTTTGCATGAGGGGGAGGGAGGTAATCTACTTCTGCTTTTACATTTTAGTAACTTTTGAACCAATTGATCATCCCAAACACAGGTTCTCAGGATGAAATGTCAAATTGGCATGTGTGCACAGGACCTCAGAGGAAGTTTCTGTCTCAGGAAGAAAGGCCGTTACGTCTGGCTCTGCTCCTACTGTTGTATCCTTCTCTGTTCTTTCACTCACTGCCTTTTCTCTGAGCTTTTGTCCATCCTCCCTTCTAACCAGTCCTTTCTCCTTTCACCTTCAGTCACAGTGTTTTCACCAGCTTCATCAGGGCTTGAATCTCCTGGGGTATGTCACAGCTGCTCACATATATGCAAACATTTACTTTCCTGTAGCCTCTGCTACGTTTCTCTAAACTTGATCACCTTATGAAAGTGAGGAAAGTCCTCCTGGATCTGGAGCAATCAGAGAAGATACAGAAATCAGAAAAGCTGCAAGTCAAAAATTCAACAGTTTTTCTTCAATTTTCCTATGTGTCTTTTTCTCCCTTTTATCAGGCTTACTTCCAAACCACTGCTTGGAGGGGATATGCTGGCAGAGAAAGAGAGAAAAGAGTGGGGGAGAGAGAGAGAGAGAGAGGGAGAGAGAGAGAGAGAGAGAGAGAGAGAGAGAGGGAGGGAGAACTGGAATATCTCTAACCAAAACAGTAAATCAATTATAATCTTTCTGCACCTGAATTTTAGGAGAAATGTAAAGGAACACAAAATTGTCAACATTAAACTCTTCTGCTAGACACTCCTGTATGCATTATTTCAGTTCATCTTTATACCTACCCTTCTGGATAGATCTTTTTGAAGGTCATTTTATGGGCAAGGAAACTGAGGCTTAAGGAGTTTAAAACATAGATCTGCAAATTATGGCCCATGGACCAAACCTGACTCACTACCTGCTTTTGTTAAAAAAAAAAAAAAAAAAAAAAAAAAGTGGCATTAGAACAATGACTCCCATTGGTTTGTGTCCAATGGCTGCTTTCATGCTACCACAGAGGGTTGAGGAGTTGCAGCTCAACAGTATGACTCTTTATGGCCTACAAAGCCATATTGACTATCTACCCTTTTATAGACAAGGCTTACCAAACTCTGGTTTAAATAGTATCTCTGTCTTCAGGTACGTGAACGAGATAGGGGTTGACCTTTAACTCAGACCTTTTTGGTTCTAGAGGCCACTGGACTTTGAGACAAGAAACAAGAATATAAGGTGATAGGACTTTTATTAAATAATCACAATTTCAAACAGTGATTTCATTTGTGAAAAAACAAAAACAACTACACTGGAATGCTCTCAGGTCAGCTTTAGAGTGAAGGCAATCTTTACAAATCATACATCTGTCCTGGAGCTCAGGAATGACTTAGAAATGCTGTACTATCTCCCCAATCTTGCAAACAGTCTTAACCTTACTAAGGCAAGGAAGTGGGTCCCCACAGTGCCTTCCAAACCTCAAGGTAGACACAATTTACCCAGGGTTTCTGCTCAAAATGCAGATTTTAATGTGGTACTTCTGGGGTGGGGCTGAGAATTTGCATTCATAACAAATTCTTAGCTAATATTTATTCTACTGAACCTTGAACCATACCCTGAGTAGCAAGGCATTAATATACTTATGCCAAAATCCTGAGCCAAAAGATTGCTGGGTCAGACCTAAATTACCCAGAAAAATCAAATAACATCTACATGTTCCCATAATCCCCACGCTAGTAGTCAAAAGTGGTAGACTCAGGTTAGTTTATGCCACTGGTTCTCAAAGTGTGGTCCTGGGGGTAGAGCAGTGTCAGCAACTCGTGAGAACAGCTGTGCTTTGTCTTCTACCAACCCCTTCTGATTCTGATGCATGTGATAGTTTGAGAACCATTGGTTTATGCTCTGAATAATTAGTCAGGAAGTTTTTTTTTCTATGGACATCCTAAAAGTCTATCTTTGTAATATGTTCAGTCTCTGTTTATATAGTGTATACATCCTCACCTAGTAGAGAAGAGAGGAAAATGGTAGAATGAGGAGAAACACATTCTGACATTATTCTGGATCTTTCTCCTCCCTTCAGTATGGTACAAAGCATTCAATTTATTTCCCGTAGACTATTAACTGATATTAAATAGCAGCAGAATGGGAAAGTTTCTCATTTAATTACTAAAGACTGTTATGTATACTTGTCCCACATTTGTTAAGATAAAACATGGCTCTAATATATCCCAGTGAAAAACCTGGGAGGGTAAGGAAAGGTATATTTTGACGTTTGGAAACTTTCGTTCAATGTTTTATTGCTCATTCTTCTAGTACCATCTTTTCTATGTAACAAATGTGCTGTTTATTGGAAATAACTTCTTCATTAAATTGGGAGAAAAATGTTGTTATATGAGTCAGACACCTTCATGTGCCACTTCAGATTATCTTAGTTTATCTGCAAAGCTTTTGTCAACACAACTACTACTTCATTGACAGTTCTGTATGCATCTTCTTCCTCCTCCCCCACAGCTCTCTTTCTTGCTACCAGGGATGTGTGCCATGCTGCAGGACCACCGTGAGCTCATAAATGCGCAACCCCAAAATGTGGGGAAACTAATGTCCCATGGAGTGAACCTTTGATCAATGGGGGGGCTAAAGCCAGCAGATAGATGCCTCCACTGTCTTTCACTAAGTATTGTGATACACAGCCACTACCCAGCGTCCTTTTAGAAAAACGTCTACATTGCAGAGCAAGCTGGCACCCTTGAGGCCCAGCAAAGCCCAACTCAGTGATGCACTCTCTTTCCCTTCCCCTCCCCTTTTACCTCACTCCACTTACCTGGGCTTTCACTCTCCAATCAAATAGAAGCACATACGCTATTGCTCCAGGCTCTGTTTTCTGTGAAGCCCAGGTTAAGGCGTCATTTTACACCACAACAGAGGTCAGAAACTTCTTTTTTAGGTTCATCTCAGTCTGTGGTCCGTAGAAGTTTTAGGTTATTCAGAATGTTTGAAAGGTTGGAGAGGGCACTTGGGTGACGGTAACCAGATTACTTCATGATGGATGCAGTAGCTGCTTGGGGGGTGGAAGGAGAGCAGTATAAGTCAAGGTGAAGTGCAGAAGTCCACACTACTTCCTGGGCTTCAGAAACATCTGTGGAGAATTGTCCAAGTCCCTGCCCAAAGACACTGCATCAGAACCTCCTGGGGGTGAACTATGAAATATTTGTTATATTTTTATATCAACATGATTCTGATGGGCAGATAGGGTGGTCAGCCTTTAAGATAGGGTAAAAATACACACTGGAGCAAACGTGTTTTTTAAAATACTTTATTGAGGTATAAGTAACATACAAAAACTTGTACATATTTAATATATACAATTTGATGAGTTGGAAGATGAGTATGTGTCTGTGAAACCATCACCACAATCGATGCCATAAACATATTTATCACATCCAAAATTTTTCTCCTATACTTTTTATTATTAGTTGTGTGTGTGAGTGTGTATGCATATGATAAGAGCACTTAAAATAAGATTTACCCTCTTAGCACAATTTTAACTATACGGTACAGTATTGTTAACTATAGGCACTATGCTGTGTAGTAGATCTCTGGGACTTACTCATCTTGCATAGCTAAAACGTTGTACCCTTTGATTAATACCTGCCTCCCCCTAGCTCCTGACAGTCACTATTCTACTTTCTGCTTCTATGTGTTTGACTGTTTTAGATTCCTCATATAAGTGGTATCACGTAGTATTTGTCATTCCGTGTCTGGCTTACTTCATGTCCCTGAATGTCCTCCAAGTTCATCCATATTGTCATAAATGGCAGGATTTCCTTCTCTTTTAAGGCTGAATGATATTCCATTGCCTGTATACACTACACTTCCTTTATCCACTCATCTATCAATAGATGTTTTGGCTGGTTCCATGTCTTCCCTATTGTGAATAATGCTGCAATGAACATGGGACTGCAGACATCTCTTCAACATACGCATTTCATTTCCTCTGGATATACACCCAGAAGTGGGATTGCTGTATCATATGGTTGTTAGTGATACGTTTAACTTTTTGAGACATCTCCATACTATTTTCCATACTGGCTGCGTCAGTTTGCATTCTTACCAAAAATGCACAAGTATTCCCTGTTGTCTACATCCTCACCAACACTTGTTAACTTTTGTCTTGATAATAGAGAATGGATGTGGTTATAAATGCCTGAGTCATTCACTTACCTGCCTCACGGCCTTGAGTGAGTTACTTACGTCTATGAACATCAGTTTTCTCATCTCTAAATAGGAAAGATAATAATACCTACCTTAAAAAGTTATTAAGTTAGCTCATAAAGCACCTAGTGCATAGTATATGCTCAACAGCTGTTGATTTCTTGGTCCCCTCCTGCTCTGTTCTTTTTGGTGTCGTTATAATTAACCCATGTTGAGTCCTATCTAAACACAAGTTATCACCCAAACCCCTGTTGTACATTCCTGGCTCCTCATCTTGTATCCCTCCTTGTTCCATTGCACCTCACTGCTTAGAATTTCCATCCTCTGGTCCTGTCCGAATCACACTCCTTCTATGAGATCCTGTCCAAATTCTGCCCTACCCATAAAGCCTTCTGTTACCACTTTAGCTTGCTGTGTTCTCTCCACCTCTGAAATTTTCTGGCATGTATTGTCTTTTCCACTTAGCACTGATTCCTTCCCATCCTTTTTATAGTTTAGTGTATCTCTGAATTATTCTCTAACAAAATTCTACTACTTGATGGAAGGCATTGTGCCTCGTATTCACTCGTGACCCTCAGAGTGGCCAGCATGGCACTTTCAGCTTTGTTTGCTAGTTTCAATTGGAGAGTCCATTCTCCTTTTTGGGAGAAAATTGAGTGAGTATGAGACAAATGATACCAATAACATATTCCCAGGCTCCAATTGTGAATCAAGCCAAACTGCTTAACAATAGAAATGTGTCTGTTTTTCCTGGTTTGGTTTAACGATTTTCCTGTAGATCCACATCTCTTTCTATCACAAAGAAATCACTTTATCCTGCTGGGTAATTAATATGAATGTACAGTATAGCAAACATATTCCTAAATTCCTGCTTATTTTGCTGGTAAATTACAGGAAATCCTATACAGTACACCTGGGATACCCTGCAGTTTGAAATTAGAATGTAAAGTGTCTCCCAGTTCCTCCTACTTGGCCAGGATACTGGTCTGATTGTGAAAATCTTTCTAGTTAGACATGTAATGAACTGGGATGATAGCAAATTCATTTATTTCCCTTTAGCTTAAAATTAATAAAGATTTTAATTCTAAGCTTAAAAAAACCCACCCTGTTTACAGCCTTCTGAGTTACTAGAATGGCATGTGATATGATATTGGTTCCCAGTTGTGGATTCATTCAAAAAACATACACCACATACAAATTTGTAACTAAATCCTTAGAGTCTAAGGTATATTGCCAGTAAAACTCCTTGGCCAAGCTTTAGTTCTGTGTGATGTCACATCTATATGAGCCCTTCGATAGCATTAAACTGGCCACAGCTGTTTCTGATTGAAGCGCCATAGACCTCTTAAAGGCAGAGCTCACCTCTTCCCCTCCCCTTCCCGCCTTCTTCCTGAGTGGCTTGCTTTAACAAAAGGGCTTCTCTATGAACATGGTCATTGAGCTTTAGCTGGTTATTGTCACAGCAAGCTTTTCGTGATTTGGTTCAGCCTTGGAATGGCTGAACTCACGCACACAAGTGAGTATGCGCGGGCTAGCATACACATGCACACACACATGCCAACAAACATATGTACACACAGAGACAATCCAGAAGGTTTTTCTTTTTGATAATTGATGTGTAAATCCTCTCTAGGTCTGTGTGCTGTGTGCTGAATTTCAAAGCAAATGCCTTGCCATCTTTGTTTCTGGAAATAATAGTGTAGTCCAGTCCAGTCCAAGTAGCCAATGGGAAGTATCAGACCTCATCTCTCCTTGGAAGGGAGGAAGTAGTGAGAGGGTAAGTGAAGTAAACTTTGCTGAACGCAATTTCATTTTTTTTTTTTTTTTGTTACTTAGAAGGCTCTAGTTCAACAGAGGTTCACAAACTATTTCTTAAAGGGCCAGATAATGAATATTTTAGGCTTAAAGGCCAACTACTCAACTCTGCTGTGGTAGCATGGAAGCAGCCAAGGACAATTCATAAGTGTCCCCATCAAATTTTATTTACTAAAACAGATGTCAGATGGGATTTTGCCTACTGCATAGTTTGCCAACTCCTGTTCTAGTACAGTGTTACTCAGTGCACAGTGGCCTGGTGCCAGTTTGAAACTACTTAGAGCTGTCCCAAGAAATGGTAAGTGTAGAAGTTAAAAGTAAATTGATAGAAACTTATAGCAGTGACATTGCCACACAACATTCAAGTGCATGAGCCATGCCTTTCTCCCCATGAAGAAGGAATAGAGCAGTTCAGATGTCTATCTTGTGTAGGGTTCTTGCACATGGTAAAGCTGCACACGAGTCCTGCTCAGTAAGACACATAGTGATTCAAACACAAAAACAATGGATGGGTTGTTTACTACAGGCAGTTTGAGAGGCTGCTGTAGCAGGCCCATGAGTGAGAAAGATCTCAGCTTTACAATCCCAACATCTAGGTGTGCTCCTCTGTCTTGTGAAGAAAGGTTTTGGATGGCAGTCTCTACTCTGCCTACTTGAAATCCTGAAACAAAGAATCTCCATTTGCCTGTTCATACTTTAGAAATAAAGGGGATTTAGCCCAGTAGCAGGAACTCCTGCTGTATCATGAAGAAAGTTGGAATTTTTTTCTTTTTTGGTCTTGTGGTGAAAATTATTGGTCAGACCAGTCCTAAAGGGAATGGGAAAGGAGGTGCAAATTGCAGAACCTGGCCAAAAAAGAAAAAAAGAAATCATTACTGCTTGAACCCAGACTGTTTTGTCTCTTTTCTAACTCTCCGTCTAACCTCCCTCCAGTCAAAGCACCCTACCAGCCAGACCTCTTTTATAAGGTGCTATTCATAAGGTTGGCCTCACAGTTTGTAAACACATAGAAACTTATCTGGACGGAGGGTCGTAGTCTTCAAAACCCGAAGAAAACTTTGGAAACTTAAGGTTGTTAAATAAACTACCAAATGCCAAATTTTGATGGGTTAGGAACATTTTAAGATACTAGTGCCATTGGATTCCTATCTTTAAAAGCTATGGTGTCACCATAGAGGAATATGATGTCAGGCTGTAAAAAGATCAGAAAGCTTTTGAAAATTCTTAGGCTGTGTTGGGAAGTTTATGTGCAATGCTGAACAGAAAATACAGTGTTTCTTTACCTCTTGCCTCCACCTCCTTCATAAGTACTCTGCCAAAACACGAAGGTGAGGCAAAAGCCGCTGTTCCTTTTCTCTCCCTGGAATTGTAGCTGGCTTTTATTACCGGAACTTGTTCATTCTTTGACAGAGTTGCAGTAAAAGTTTTTAAGAAAAGTTTCTTGGCTTAACTACTACATGAAATATTCAATGGTTGGCCATCCTCTTTTAGAAATAGCGCTTACTTTCCATGAAGTAGGGAAGATACTTTTCTCTGTGTTGGCTCAAACTCTTGGTAACAAGGAAATCATTTGTGCATTTTCATTTAAGAAGGCTCTGGAATTCTTGCCCTAGCTCTCATTAGGAATGTATTGGGGCTCTCTCACTTCCTTTCTGTCTCCAAGGACTCAGTACTAATAATGATTTTTTAAAAATAATTTATGTTGATATACTTTCAAGACAACATTCTCACATTTTGATGGTAAACTATTGGGCAAATCATCTGTCAAGAATAATTAAGGAGCTGGAGAGACTGATTTATGAGGAAAGATTAAAATAACTAAGTGTGCAGAGCTTGGCGAAGCAGAGATTGGGGGGCATCCGATAGTCATCTACTAAAATCAGGAAGGGGTGGGAATGCAAGAGGAGGAGAGCATTATCTCACCTAGGAGCTGGCTCTAACGAAGAGTAATGTGAGGAAATCAGGAGCTGAGGATATAAGATGCGTATCACACCAGTCATCCTGACATTGAGATCCATTAGAGGGTGGGCTCATCTCAGGAGAATTGGTATGAGAATGCCACTGGGGAGCAACCTGGACTGCCGGGAACAATCAGATCCCAGAGTATCTGTGAGATGGGAGGCTTTCTTTTGTTCAGTCCTTTATATTATTTTTGCAGGGTTGTCGTTCTGATGCCTCAAGTCATTGCAAAGCAATATATAGCAACAGTAACAAGCGTAAAAAGGAGAGTCTGAGAGGTGGATGGGCTTGGGACCTGTACCTAATGATTCCTTCAGGTCTTTCTTCTAAGAGATTGTTGCTTTTCCCAGCTTTAGTCTCAGTATCCCAAAATCTAGTAGGTGTACAATGTGTTCTTCAAGTTTAAAATAAAACAAAACAAAATAAAGGTAAAAGTGGAGGAAGAAAATGCCCAGCGCTTTGGGAGGCCGAGGTGGGTGGATCACGAGGTCAGGAGATCGAGACCATCTTGGCTAACATGGTGAAACCCCATCTCTACTAAAAAATACATAAAATTAGCTGGGCGTGGTGGCGGGCGCCTGTAGTCCCAGCTACTCAGGAGGCTGAGGCAGGAGAATGGCGTGAACCCAGGAGGCAGAGCTTGCAGTGAGCCGAGACTCCGTCTCAAAAAAATAAATAAATAAATAAAAAATAAAACAAAATAAAGGTAAAAGTGGAGGAAGAAACTACCCACTTTGCATACTGTTTAAAAAGTGAGAAAATACTTTGAACGTTTTTGGAAAAAAGAAAAATAATCACCTGAAATTTCACAGACAAAGATAAATAATGTTATCAAGTCAGCGTGCAAGTCATTTATGGATTAAATAATTATCCCTACTCATACTGTTTTAGATTCTTTCAAGTTTGGGCTACCTATGCTCTCCTGCCATATTATGTGTTTGACCACCACAGATATAAGCAGAGTGTAAAACTAGGCCTATGTGATTGCTATCCACCACTAAAAAGAGCTCTTGGTAAGTGGTGGAATTTTAGCAGACTCATTAGGAAAATCCTGGCCAGATTCTGTTGAAATTATTTACATATTAGAGAGGTGAGACCACGAGCTTTTGGAATAACATTTCTTTGAATATTTACTATTTGCCATTTGTTCTCTCCTCCCTGAGTGTTACTAGGGAATTATAAAGAGCAGATGAGGTTATGGAGACATGAGATTAAAAGAGCGAGGGAGTGAAGAATTAAAAAAAAGAGAACGAGGAGAAGGAGGAGCAGTGAGAGGAAATAAAACTGATTTCAAGAGTTTCAAGAAAACTGATTTCAAGAGATGTACAATCTGGTTAATATTATCAACCTCTCAAACCCCTAAGTTTCATATGTATTTTTCCCAAGACACATAGTATCAGCATAAGGCTGATATTAATTTGAATCTGTCTTAGCAGTCAGTAGACATAATATCCAAAAATTGTCAAGAAATTTTTGGTCAAGAAAGAGAAGGGCACATATCTATGTGACAGGTCACATTGAAAAATATAAGATAACATAGAGAAAGGATAATATCTGCTTAGGAAAGAAGCTACATTTTCCAAAGTTTGGATTATTCTTCATGCAAATATTATTAAAAAGCCAAGAGAGTACAATATGAAGACAAATATTGAGCAGATTTTGTGTGGTCTATATATAAAAATGACCACATACATTTTTCTGATAAACTGATATTTTTAATATTAATTTGAGCCTCTGCTATTACAAATGAAACAATCAGTTGTTTTCCTGAAAAATCATTATATGGATTTTAATTACCCAAATACTTAAATTTTTGTTGAACTTTTAAGCTCTCAGCAAAATTCTTGCTATAATGAAGACATAACCTGTATGCCCTTTGTAAGACTTTTCCATAAAATTGTGCAACTAATATCTAAATTGAAAATGTGTAATTCCTTTACCAATTTTTTTTATGTAGGTGTATTATGTAATTAGTAAAGAGAAAATGCCCAGCTGCCCTTTGCGTTTGCATACTAATGCTAATGGGAATAGAAAAATGAACTCTTTCCCCTCCCCACCCTTTCCAAGGCCAACTGACTTTTGCTCATTTCCCTTCCACATGCATACACCTATGATAAAAGGAAACGAAGAAGATAGATTTAAATCTTGCTTCTAATTTTTCTGGATTTTCAGTTTTGTTTTTCTCTGCTGTTTGTCACTTTTGTGGATGTTTTGTGTGGGTGAGAATCTGTGTGTGTGTGTGCGTGTGCGTGTGTGTGTGTGTGTGTGTGTGTACGTGGTTTAATTATACGAAAATTATACTGGGGGTTCAGTAACCAGTGGCTTGAAAATTAACTGAATTATGAAAGCTGAAATGTTGCTCATAGGATCAGTTAATGACAAGGTCGCCGCCACTGTCATATTCAAAAGAAATGTCACACTTGAATGGGGCTGAGATGGCTGTGTTGTCCCAGGGTCCCAGGTAGAGACAATGAAACAGGGCCTCCTTGGGTACTGTTTCATCCCATGTTTGAATCTAACGCATTCTTCTTTCAGCTCATTTTGGTTCTGCTGTGTTCCCATAACATATGGAGTCCCTGGGTATTCTGCTATAACATGGAAACTTTTGGGGCTGGGAATAACAGATCATGAATAGATTGGAAATTCTCTCTAAGTGCCCCCTTGGGTGGTCGATGTAAAGGCTCATTGTGTGTTGTTTCTGTCTTTTACAAAAATCAAATATGTCTAGAATTATTTGAGTCCAACAGGCTATATTAGGGATCTGAATTCCAGCATACCCCATACACTACCAGATAAATGATGACAGATGTATGCCCCTAGTATCTCCTCCTATCGCCCCAGCTCTGGGCAACTGTAGTTAATTGAAAAAGAGGAAGGAGGAAATTGAGTTTGGGATGGAATCAGTTGGAGATGAAGGAAAAATCTAAATAATAGATTTTGATGTTTAGCCTGTCCCAAAGCAGTTGATGGAGTTGGTGCAAGTACTGCATTGGGGCAGCTGGCAGGGCAATAAATTTGCAGAGCAGCAACCCAGAGAAGGAGCCTGACTGATGATGACTTGGAACTTGAAAGGAGGAGAAGCCCCTAAAAAGATCAGAATGGGACTTCAGGAAAAGGGGAGGCAGCTGCCCTCCACCCCCAAATATAACAACCTCCTCTTCACTGGGCGGGAATATATTGAATCTGATATTGTGCATGCATTGTTTATTTTCTCTCCCTTTTGTTCTCAAGACGAGGGTTTCTTAAGAAGTAAGACTGGAATACATAAACATGAATATAGTTTCTTCTTTCAATTTTTTCCTTTCCCATTTGGAGCCCAAACTCAATGTGTCAGCTTAGCAGTCCTCACACAGGGGATATATGGCTAACGGCTACTGTTTTCCTGTCACTGTGTTAAGCCCTTTATTTATACTGCCTAATTTAAGGTTCACAGAAGCCCCAATAAGGTTAATAATGTCATCCCCATTTTTGAGATGAGAAAACCAGAACTTGGAGAGGAAAAGGAGGCAAGTTGCCAAAGGCTGCCTGATGAGAAAGCGGCACAACCCGGACACAAACCCAAGTGTGTCTGAAGCCAAAGCCTGTGTACTGAACCCATTTGTGGTCAGCCTCTAAGCTACTGTGCTGCATAGCTAGGGTAACCTTAATTCTTGTAAAGGATAGTCCTCCTTTACACTTTTGTCCCAGTTTCCTGCCTGCTTGACATTTGTCCCAGACAAACGTTTCCTGGCTTGGATGATGTGGATGCTCTGCATATAACCCAGCTCACTGTTATATTGATAGGGTTCACCCCACTGTGGTTCCAGCATCAGGCACAGAGCTACAGCTCTGAACCCAGGTGCCCAGGGAAGTGACAGTGGCAGTGGGGAAGGTGGGCTAATTGCTCCTGGCTGAGCGCTGAGTGCCCACATGACAAAAAAATGATATGCAGAATGTATGGCACCTGCTCTCTTCTTGGTGTCTATTAGCTCAACTTCTCCAGAAATTGGAGAAGGTAAGAGCAAGGAGAGGTGACATGAGCAGGGATGAGAGCAGGGACTCTTGGATGAGAATTAATCAGTAATTCTGTCTAATTAGATAACTAGGCAATATGTTGCAATTTTCTCTGATTAGTCATGCTGAAACAATAACATACTGGGGAAGGACATTCCTTAGTGTTTATAGTTTGTAGAGTGAGAGCAGTTGTGAGGAACATTTTTGCAACTCTTAACCTTGGTGGAGAAAATGTATAAACATCTGAAGAAGATTTGTCTTAAGGTTTCCACATCAAAGAGTGAAAGCATGTCATATACTTGGGATGTACGTGTTGCTTGGGAAATTCACCTCTAGGACAGAAAGCAAAAAGGAAACACTGTCTAATCAGAAATTCCATAGGGCTGAGTCTGATGATTCAGATAAAGGTCGTGGGTATCCTGTGGGGATAGAGGTGCCTTGGGGGTCCCGTCCACTTACCAGCAAAGAGAAAAGAACCTGTACCCGACTCCTAAGTCCCACCCTAATATCCATACTGGCTGCTCTGGATCAGTACATCAGCAAGATCATGTATCTGGGTTTAGTACAGGTTTTGTTTGTTTGTTTGTTTTCACAGAAATAGTGGATGCTATTTCCTGAGTTGGGGGTGTTGGGGGGTGGCAGAGGTGGGAGCTACATTATATCTTTGAACTGGATTCTATGATAGAGATAAGTCAGTCACTTTTTCATTGTTTGGAAGAGCTAAGATAGCTAACCTTCTTGAACACTTGTAAGATCATGCTCTGTTACAGGGGTTTTACATGGGCTAATTGATTGAATGTCCTCGCTCCACACTCAAAGAGGGTAGGACTCTTGTCCCTTCTTTAAAGCAGAGGAAACTAAGATTCCAAATGGAACATCACCCCTAGAGTTACATCATTCTACATCTCAGAGTTTTACCTCCCCTGTGGGATAGGTCTAAACAAGATGAGAAATAGTTTGAGTTTTCTTGGGCTCAGTTGGGTAATTATTCTTTTTAAAAATTTTTAATTATACTCAACATTTTGTTTCTAAATTTCCATCATGTCTGCATTTCTACTTATACATGTGTAAGTGAGAGGCGTAGTATTGACACTACCTAAAAGTGGAAATAATAAACTGATTATATACCAGGAATGTGGCAGAAACTACTTGTTGCTTACCCAATACACATTCTATTTTCCTCCCTTAGATCACCCATTTGGTTACGGGTGACCATGTGCTCAGGTGAAATAAAATAACAAAAATACAAGTCTATATTTCTCAGATACCTTTGCAATTATATGTGACCATATGACCAAATTCTGACCAAGAGTTATAAATAGATAATTTTAGATGGGTTTTAAGGAAAAGGGAGGCAAGTGCTGCAGAGACATATTCATTATGCATGTCTTTCTTCTTCCTGGTGTCATCCCAGCCAGGCATCTTACAACTGAATGTGAGGGAAAAAGTAATAGGACTGCAGAAACTTAAAGCTTTGGGTCATTACATCAAACTTGGATCTCTTCAACCTTCAGATCTTTTATTACAAAAGAGAGGATGTCACTAGGGTTAAGTGAGTAAATATTTAGCTTAAGACAATACCTCACATAGTAAGGCTATAAATGCAGCTATTATTTGTTTTATGAAAGGCACTGTTATATAGGTTTCTTTTTATGTATAGCTGATATGGTTTGGCTGTGTCCTCACCCAAAACTCATCTTGAATTGTAGTTTGTGTAATCCCCACATGTCATGGGAGGGACTCGGTGGGAGGTAATGAAAACATGGGGACAGTTACCTGCATGCTGTTCTCATGATAGTGAGTGAGTTCTCACGAGATCTGATGGTTTTACAAGGGACTTCCCCAACTTCACTCTGCACTTCTCCTTGCTGCTGCCATGTGAGGAAGGATGTGTTTGCTTTCCCCTTCTGCCATGATTGTAAGTTTCCTAAGGCCTCCCCAGCCATGCCGACCTGTGAGTCAATTAAATCTCTTTCCTTTATAAATTATCCAGTCTCAAGCAATTCTTTATTAGCAGTGTGAGAACAGACTAATACAGCAAATTGATACAGAAAGTGGGGTGCTGCTATAAAGATACCTAAAAAGGTGGAAGTGACTTTGGAACTTGGTAACAGGCAGAGGAACAGTTTGGAGGGCTCAGAAGAAGACAGAAAAATGTGGAAAAGTTTGGAACTTCCTAGAGACTTGTTGAATGGCTTTGACCAAAATGTTGATAGTGATATGGACAATGAGTCCAGGATGAGGTGGTCTCAGATGGAGATGAGAAATTTGTTGAGAAGTAGAGTAAAGGTGATTCTTGTTTTGCTTTAGCAAAGAGACTAGCATCATTTTGCCCCTGCCCTTGAGATGTG
This sequence comes from Homo sapiens, assembly GCF_000001405.40. Lineage (NCBI taxonomy): Eukaryota > Metazoa > Chordata > Mammalia > Primates > Hominidae > Homo > Homo sapiens. The sequence goes on from NC_000002.12 coordinate 59,198,847, forward strand.
TGGAACTTTGACCTTGAGAGAGATGATTCAGAGTATCTGGCAGAAGAAATTTCTAAGTGTCAAAGCATTCAAGAGGAAACAAAGCATAAAAGTTAGGAAAATTTTGCAGCCTGACGATGAAGTAGAAAAGAAAAACCCATTTTGGGAGGAGAACATCAAGCTAGCTGCAGAAATTTGTGTAAGTAATGAGGAGGCAAATGTTAATCACCAAGACATTGGGGAAAATGTCTTCAGGGTATGTCAGAGACTTTCATAGCAGCCCCTCCCATCACAGGCCAAGAGGGAAAAATGGTTTCCTGGGCCAGGTCCAGGGCCCCCTGTTGTGTCCAGCCTTAAGGCTGTGTTCCAGCTGCTCTGGCCATGGCTAAAAAGGGCCAAGGTACAGCTCAGGTCATTGTTTCCAAGGGTGAAAGCCCCAAGCCTTGGCAGCTTCCATGTGGTGTTGGTCCTGCAGGTGGCACAGAAAACAAGAATTGAGGCTGGAGAATTTCTGCCTAGATTTTGGAGGATGTATGAAAATGCCTGGGTGTCCAGGCAGAAGTTTGCTGCAGGGATAGAGCCCTCATTGAGAATCTCTGTTAGGGCAGTGTGGAAGGGAAATATGGGGTTGGAGCTCCCATACTGAGTCTCCACTGGGGCACTGCCTAGTGGAGCTGTGATAAGAGGGCCATTGTCCTCCAGACTCCAGAATGGTAGATCCATGGAGAGCTTGCATCGTGTGTCTGGAAAAGGTGTCTTTTCAATACCCACCTGTGAATGCAGACTGGAGGGGGGCTATACCCTTCAAAGCCTTAGGGGTGGAGCTGCTCAAGGCCATGGGAGCCCACCTCTTGCATCATCCTTCCCTGGATGTGAGACATGGAGTCAAAGGAAACCATTTTGGAACTTTAAAGTTTAATGACAGCCCTATTGGATTTTGAACTTGAATGGGGCCTGTGGCCCCTTTGTTTTGGCCAATTTCTCCCATTTGGAGCAGGTTTATTTACCCAATACTTGTACCTCCAGTGTGTCTAGGAAGTAACTAACTTACTTTTGATTTTACAGTCAGAAGTACCTACCTTGCTTTTGATTTTAGGCAGAAGAGACTTGCCTTGTCTCAGATGAGACTTTGGACTTGGACTTTTGAATTAATGCTGGAATGAGTTTAAGAATATGGGAGACTGTTGGGAAGGCATTATTGTGTTTTGAAATGTGAGGACATGAGATTTGGGAGGGGACAGGGGCAGAATGATATGATTAGGCTCTGTATCCCCACCCAAATCTCATCTTGAATTGTAGCTCCCATAATCCCCACATGCCATGGGAGGGGCCCAGTATAAGGTAATTGAATCATGGGGTTGGTTACCTCCATGTTGTTTTCATGATAGTGAGTGAGTTTCATGAGATCTGATGGTTTTATAAGAGGATTTACCCATACCCACCTTCTCTCTGCACTCCTCCTTGCTGCCACAACATGAAGAAGGATGTGTTTGCTTCCCTTTCTGCCATGATTGTAAGTTTCCTGAGGCCTCGCCAGCCATGCTGAACTGTGAGTCAATTAAACCTCTTTCCTTAATAGGCTACCCAGTCTCGGGTATTTATTAGCAGTGTGAGAATGGACTAATACCATAGCTGAACCTATTGAATGCATAATTTAATATTAGTGCTAAGTGTAGCTAAACAATTTACTAACAGTCTAATAAGTGCTCTGAGGGCAATAACAATGTGTTCTGTAAAAAGGTAATTGGTGTTACATGGAAAAAGCATTCTGTGGTCAAATAAACTTAAAAAGCCCTGGAATACACAAAAAACTATTAGATTTCTCTGTTGCAGTGCTTCTCAGAGCTTTTAGTAATTTAATGTGCATTAAGAACATCCAAGCAAGAGATTAAGTAAGCGGCATTTTCTGAATTTCTTAAGGCAAAGAACACTCTTTCTGCACTTTACATGACTGACATTCTATACAACAACCTTTTTGGAATACTAACTTGGATGTTTTAAAAGACGATTTCCATTTCTAATATATGTTATGTTTTTTTCCTGAGCATTCCTCTACTTACAGAATTCCTGAATGCACTTATTTCATTCCACCATTTTGTTCAAACTGCTCCCTTGGCTTGAGATGCAGATTTTAAAAATTAAAAGATTAATTGAGTGCTAGCATTAAATGTGTCCAGCATTATAAGAATACATTTGTAAATTGTTCCTGTTAACTAATGAATAGGATATGCTAGGTCATGATGTGGTAAAAACAACAGACAATGACCCCCAAATCAATGATATATTGCAATAGATATTTACTTGCTTATCATACACAGATAGATCTGTGTGACTATCCAAGACATCTGTTCTCTGTGTGATGACTCAGAGACACAGGTGGCTTTGAACTCATGGCTCTCTAAGCAGGAGGCTCCCCCAAGTTTGCCATGTCAGGGAAAGAGACTTGCCTTAACATGGAAGTGAAATATGTCACTTCTTCTCACAGTTCATTGACCAGAACCAGTCATAGGGCCTTGTCTGACCGTAAGAGAGCTGAGCAGTTCAGAGACCCTTGTGCTGGGACATTGGTGAGCCCACAAAAGATCTATTACAAATTCTATAATTTAGCTGGTATTTGTATCTTTTATTTTATTGTAAATGAGAAAACTGAGGCTTTAAAAAAGTAAGGTAACTTTCCCAAGACTACACACCATAGCTCAGATTTTAATCTAGACCATCTGCCTCTTGGTATCACCTGACCTCATATTTACCAAGTCTGAATTCCTGTAAAAGGCTCCTCTCTACCCATCTCCCACTTCTGTGAGGGACAGTTCAGAAAAGAGTCAAAACATCTAAAAGAAGCAAAAGTGTCTGCAATCTTCTCCCACCCCCACTTCTGTATGATGCCCCTTTACTTTTCACCAACACTTAATGCACATCAACCTTAAAAAAGAGAAGAAAAAACTGCCCTCAACCCCCACACCTGCCATGCAGAGACAAGTGACATTCTTCTGCTGCTTTACAGAATAGAGAGAAAACAATGGGTCCCTGTGTAGAGAGTTCTAAGTCTTTTATCTTTCTACAGATTCAACCACAGTATTGATTCTTTATTGACCTAAACTGTCCTAAGCACGGCTGTGGTTTTTTCTCATATAGTGTATGGGAGAGTTAAGGCAGATACTACTTTAATATTGATTTTTGTGAAAAAGATGCAGGAAAGAGGGCAATTTGTGTCTGCAGTTGCTCTTCACTATAAAAGATACCATTGTTAGGAGCTTATAGCATTATATCAAGGGTCTTAATCTGTAGCAATCTTTTCTTACAACTTAGCAATAGGCTTGGGCAAATCTGTTATTGGTGTTAATGATATTTTGAAGTGAAGCAAATTTGTCAGCCTTTCTAAGTAAACTGTTCAACTTAACTATTTGAGGACTTGCCAGGTTGACTCTGAGTGTGCAGAAATCTTACAACTTATTTATTTATTTGAAAGTTCATGAAAGAATGTTTTGTTGTATGAATAGTGACAACAATGTTTGCTCAATGAATCTTTGAGGAATGAGAATGATTATATAGGGCTGAAAGAAGCCATGCATATTTCCCTAGGAGAATATTTCTTCTTATTGTAAGAATCAAAGGATTCTCATTTTTGGAATATCGTTCTGTAATTCAGGAGAGAGAAAGAAAAAAATATCACTCAAGAACCCGGAATTTTATTGGTCAGAATAAAATGGCAGTTAAACTCGTGGGTGGGTTTTCGTGTTCTTGAATGAATATCTATTTTTGGAAACAGGTTCTATTTGTGTAACAGAAAAGCTTCTGAAAAGGTTTCAATAAAGCCAGAAGAAATGGCAGATTTTCTGAATCTGACCAGCTTAATTTGTCTTATTTTTAGCAAGTGCACTCAAAATGGGCATTTGCCACTCTAAGTTCAGAGGGTTTTTCAGCTATAATTGTGTGGTTTTATTGGAATTATTTGCTTCTCTTCAGGTGGGAATGGCCAGTAAGTCAGTGAGAAGTATGAATTATGTATCTACTGCACACAGAGCATTCTCCAAGGTGTTGGAAATAGAGGAACAGAAGACAATGATGATTTAGAGTCATGGTCCCAGAAAATGATGACCAGGGACTGGTATGGGATGCCAGGGCACTGAACTCTTTGGGAATACTCCTCTTATCTATAAAAGCTCAAAGGGCCAGGTTCTCCGTTGTCACTAGGTAAATGTAACATGACAGTCCTTAAAGTTGAAAAGATCTAGTGCTTCTCAAGATGCACAGAACGATTTATCCTGAGAGAAAATTCTATTCACCATCTGACAATATTAAAATGATGACTTCCACAAGTGAACGTTGTATTACCTAGTTTTAGCACTCTCTTCGGGCCTGGTTCTTGCAGTCAGGTGCAAATATTCAAATTATCACTTTCTTGTAACACCTGGTTTCTGCTTAAAACTTTAAGAAACTCCAAAATAACACCTTCTCTTCAGATTATTAGTTGGCATTTTAAACATTTGCTTTTTATCTAGTGCTATTGTTTTGAAATATATAGTGCTGGCCGGGCATGATGGCTCATGCCTGTAATCCCAGCACTTCGGGAGGCCGAGGCGGGTGGATCACAAGGTCAGGAGATGGAGACCATCCTGGCTAACACGGTAAAACCCCATCTCCACTAAAAATATAAAAAATTAGCTGGGCATGGTGGCGGGCACCTGTAGTCCCAGCTACTCGGGAGGCTGAGGCAGGAGAATGGCATGAACCCAGGAGGTGGAGCTTGCAGTGAGCTGAGATCGCAGCACTGCACTCCAGCCTGGGTGAAGAGAGATTCCGTCTCAAAAAAAAAAAAAAAAAACAAAAAGAAATATATAATGCTGGGCCCCAGTGGGCTGCCTTGTATATACTATATCAAAATATCATAGTACCTGGTGCAGGTTATGTAAGAAGGCTAGAAAATTGATTATTTCAGAAGGAATAGAGGGCCTGGTCATTTAAAGACACCCTTAATCATCTTTCTTTCTTCTCTTTTAAATTTCCATATTGAGTTTTCAGATAAAATTTGCAAAGGTACAAAAATATACCCCATATTGATTAACCCTTTGACATGAGTAAATTATTCTTTAAGCATATAAATATATGGCATAGCAAACATGTACACAGAGATGCACACATGTAGACATGGTCACCTCTTCCCACACATTATGTCATGAAAGCTGGGACACCATGAAAATAAATATAAGCCCATATGCCAGGTCCCCAAAGAAACAAGCAAATACAGTAAAATAAACATTTTTTATCGTTTTCTACCACCCACAATTCCCTTTTTGAACTTTTTGAATTGACATTCATATTTGTAGGAGAACTTGGACTGTTAACAGGAGGAAACTGGAGACCAAAGCTTATGGCTGAAGTGGTGAGTAAGCTGGAAGCTTGAAGTGGCCAGGTGGGGCAATCTCCTATGTGGCTTGAAGTGGCCTTGGAGGCTAGGTGAAGCATAGTGGAGGAAATAGGAGTTTTTCATCTGCCTTATTCAAATGAAGCCTATGTGTGATCTTGGGAACAAACTGCATGCTTTTTCTCCAAGAAATTTAGACAGCAGTAGAAATAACTGGAGGTTGAAATTGGTGGAGGGAAGTTATCCTCAATAATAACAAAAATCATAAAATTTCAGCTCAGGGATATGCAGACAAGTAATGCTCCTTTCAGCATCCACATTCCCCTACTACATAGACTCTTTAACAGTACCCACTGCTTGTACAGGGTAAGGGATAAATGGTGGTACTGCCTTTTGGACACATTATGAAAATCTTTGGAAGTATTATTTTTTGTCACAGTGATACTGACCAAGTATTCTAGATAATTTTGCACAACTAGGAAGTTTCACAGTTGGAATTTTCTGAAACAACTGCATGTAAATAAAGCCTATTTATAATTAACCCAGTCTAGAACAGAACTCCACTTAATATTTATATACGTAGCATGATTTTAACATGCACTGACTTTTTCCAGAATGTTACCATTATGTAGATTGAAGGAAAAGCACACTTTTTTTTGTTTTGTTTTTTGTTTTTTTTTTTCTGTTTGTTTGTTTGTTTGGAAGTTATGCCAGGACATTGTTCACCATTTTAAAAAGTCACATCCCTGATTGTAGTATTATATCTACCAATTAGCCCACTTCTATCACTGAGTCTGCATTTGTTGCTATTGAACATGCACAGTGATTCTACATAAGTTCAAACAACTGATTAATTATTTTATTACAACATATAACAAAATATGTGTTATAGAAAAACAGGCATCAGGTCTGATTTGGTTGACAAATACTGATTGCAAAAATAATAATAATAATAATCTGGTTTATCCCTCCCATATACTATCTTAGTTTTAAATAGTCATCTTCAGACATTTCCTCACTGTCCAGTTTCTGGCTTGACCCTTTAAAAAAAAAATTCTTCAGACAAGGCACCCAGGGTTGGAAACCAGGGCTGTGGAATCCTTTTCCTGGCCACAACCCTGGTTTTCAACAATTTTTGCTGTATTCTATTCCATTGCAGCCACAGTACTCCAGTCTACTGTGGATAAATTCCTCTCCCAGGTAAACTCAACTGTGGTACCAACCTCAGTTTGCCTCAGCCCTAGAACTGGAGGAAACTCTGTGGTCACACAATCCATTTGAAGGTGGAAAAAGTGATTCCCAGATAAGTTTAGTGAACGTGTCTAAGTTTATATTGTTATCATAGAGAACTTGAGGCTTTCTCCAGAGATGAGGAAAATAAGATTGTGCCCTGAGCATCGATTCTTCTCATTCTATACATAATTATCAGAGCTGTTGTTAGGCAAAGTTACCTTAAAGAGACCTAATGGCTGTCAGCTTATATTATCAGACTGGACTGTGATATGATTGATATCTTCTTTGAAAATGCAAATATGCTCAATGGGATGCCTCACATAGGGAATTTTGACAGTAGACTTCCAAGCTCTATCTAGCGCTGAGGAAATGTAAGCCATTAGACTTTCAATGTTCAATTCTATAAACAGGAGTATCTCTATTATGAAATAGATGCACAGAAGTCTAGCTAAGCCTGATCATACTAACTGCCAATTCACCTAAATAGCTTCCTTTATTATGAGTCCATGTCCACCATGGTTACATTTCGTTCTCTAAGGAGGAAAAGGGCTGGTTATGTGGAAGAAATCTAAGTTGTGGCATCATTTTTATAGGCAATAAATGTGTTGGCAATCTTTAATTTAAAACAATTAAATACATTTCTGATTATGGCTTGGCCTTTTCAATTAGCTTGATGTACAGATCACAAAGTGGGAATGAGTTGATCATGCAGGCACGATTACTTTGCTTCCAAGCAACAAACATTTCCCTTTGCAAATTGATGAATCAACATTCTGATTAATTTATATACAATTCTAAGAGATAAGCCCTCCATTAGTGCTCACCGGTTTCTGATTCTGCAAGTCTGAGGTGTGTGGTATGAACAGAAATTTCCCACAAGACTGTAAACTCCACATAGGCAAGTATACTTTACCCATGGCTTTATTCCCAATGCCTGAGAGTGCCTGGCATATTTTTTGAATGAATGCGCATTTCTCTGGAGGAGACAAACTTCTAGATACTCTTCAGGGCTGTGCTCCATCTCCACCGCCATCATCACCACTGGTTTCAGTCACATCTGTTTTTCTGCTGTTGTTAGCACACCTGGGACTAGGTGTCCTGACTTTGTTTTTCTGTCCTTTCATCAGACCATAGCATCAGCAGGAAAGAGAGTGAATGTACCCCGTAGGCTTGTTCAGACTTGGAAATGACAAAGAAGAATGGGGAAATGAGAAGTTACTGAGTGATTTGCCCTATGGCAGAAGTGAAAAGTGGGAGGAATGGAAAATATAGCTACAGGAAAACAAAAACGTTAAAGAAAGTTTTCTCTTTTATTTATACTTCTTTTATTACTTTCCACATGGCATTTGGCAAATAGAGATGTAGATCATTTAGGCTGAATCTTATGAAATTAAAATTCAGGAAGGAAGATAAGTATATTAAAAACGAGAAGATATCAATTTGATTTGGTCATACAGTACCTTCAGCCAAATGCTGAGGACCTTAAATAATGACTGTGGTTTGAAGAGAGAACACGAGGTGAGAGTATACAAACATTTTTGCTAGATGTGTGAGTCTGAAGAAAATGAGAGAAGGTTGGCCAGGCACAGCAGCTTATGCCTATATTCCCAGCATTTTGGGAGGCTGAGTTGGGAGGATTATTTGAGGCCAGGAATTCAAGACCAGCCTGGGCAACATAGCAAGGCCCTGTCTCCACAAAAAGATTTTTAAAAAATAGCCTAGCATGGTGGCACGTACCTGTAGTCCTAGCTACTCAGGAGGATGAGGTGGGAGGATGGCTTGGGCCCAGGAGTTGAAGGATGCAGTGAGCTAAGATCACACCACTCACCACTGCACTCCAGCCTGGGCAACAGAGCAAGACCAAGACTCAAAGAAAACAAAAAAGGGAAAAAGAAAAAGCTCAAAGTCAAACAGGTTTTTGTTTATTTGTTTTTAAGGTAGGAGATACTTGAGCATGCTTTAGCCTCGAGTCTAGAGGAATAGCCATAAAGAGTTTCAAATGGAAGATTTATTAATAGAGAAGGAAGAATCCATGTATCATTATTCTAAATTAAATGATAGAGAAGAGCATCTAAAATATAGATTCTTCCCAAGGCAATTAAGAGATGATTCTCTTAAGATAATTTCAACTTGTTATGTACTGGAAATCTCACAAAAATTCTCTTCAAAGGGACATCATAGCATAAAACAATCTTGCAAAGGAGCTTCGTATGTAGCGCTGAGACAGAGAGATGGAGAGAGTTCAATCTAAATTTATTTGTGTTGCATAACTTCTCTCAAATATACAGCATACTTCATATTTGACCTAGTTCATAATATGTAGAGAAACAATGGGAGCAAAATGATCATTACTATTCTTACTTCCTGAGAACAACCTTATTTGTAGAATTGTTTCATACCAATGTTATTCTCCTAACACTCAATGTTATTCACCTAACATTACACTGTGGTGTTTCTGTTTGCTGAAGCTGCAGTATGGTGAAAAGAAAATTCTTAGACTTGGTTGAAAACAAAAAAAGGAAGAGTACCACCATGGTTGAAACCTTATATATGCAATGATCAGAGATCCCAAATACAACTCAAACAAAACAGAAACCACACCCAGACGAGACTCTGGCAAAACCTAACAATATGACTACATAATTGCTTAAATTCTTTTTTCTTTGAAAAAGTGACAGATTCTCAATAATTATGTGTCAATGAAAGAAGGAAGGAAGACTTCAAACACATCCACTTAGTGTACATCTGCAATCTAAATATAAATATATAAAGAAAGGGATACAGATGTCAATCGTCATGTAGAAACTCTCATTTGTTCACTCCAAACAGCTATTCTGTAAACAAGTTCTCGAACACAGGATCAAAAGACATTGGCAGGCCATTAGTTTGTGAAAATAGTCATGGAAATAGTCTGTATCCTTAGCATATGTGCCTTTCAATTAATAGAAATTTGTGGAAGAATTCCTTTGGGAAATTGCATGTCTCAATTCTGTAATGATATAATTACTAGCGTAAATACATGAACGCTTCTGCTTACAAGTATTTCATCCATCTAAAGAGATAAGTTTTAAAAGATTTGAATAAAAATAACTTACTAAAAATAGTGATTCTGTTTATCTTTCCTTACTTGTTTTTTATTACAAGTGTGTATTTACATATAGATTAATGAAAGCAGAGTAAACCTAGGGAAATAAAAATCATTCATAATCCTAACATCCAGAGATACTATGTTACACAGCAATTTGCATCCTGACTTACGTCATATAACACCACTCCCCTTATTCCAGAAACATATTTAACAAATACAAAAGAACCTATTGTATATATTGGATTGAATCATATTACTTTGCTACGAGATTTCTAGCAGTGACATAATTGAGCTGATGATAAACAGCTTTATGTTACTTTAACTTACATTAGAAAACTCTTTTCAAAATACTGAGGAAAATTTACTCTGGTCAACAACATACGAAAAAGCCACATGCTTATCAACATTGATTTTTTTTTTCTTTTCTCGTTTTTTTTGTAAATTTAATAGAAATGCAAACAAAAAAACCCAAAACAGAACAAAAACAAAATGAAAGTCTACCAACTTGTTTAAATTTACCTTTCTTCTTTAATAGTCAGATAAAAATTTTTCCATGTTTATTGGCCATTTGAATTTCCTCTTTGGAAACTGCCATCCCCTAAATGTTGTATTTGTTTTGATGACTCAGTTTTCTTTCTAGTTTGAGTTGTCATATTTGTGGGCTTTCATCTCTTGTTTGTTGCTTGCCTTTGACTTTGTTTATTTGACATGTAAAAGTTTCATATCTTTTGGTTTGCATAAACATTTATTTTAAATTTTTAGAAGTCATGTCTGCATAGTTCTAAGTCCCTTGAAAAGTAAAGAAAAAAAGTATTTATAGCCAAATATTTGGATGTAATAATAATGCTATGTCATAGAGCACAGTAGTAAACATCATGGGATTTGGATTAAAAACTAAGAAATCTAGTTTAGTCTTTTATTAGTTTTTTGATATTTGCCAGTAACATAATATATAATTTAAAAGATTGTTTTGAGGATTAGGTTGCTACATGCAGATTATTTAGCACAATGTGTAGCTAGTCTATAGTAAGCTTTCACTGATCAACCTAAATTAAGATTATTTTTTAATATTTAATGAGCTTTTTCTTCTCATGTGACTAAACTATGACCTTAGAAATGATATCTCTCTACACAGTGATAAAACCAATTCAGGACTTTCTAACAAATCTTTCATTGAATAGAAGATCATTATTTCAGATGGAGCAGGCAAATAAGCAAGACCAATATTCCTCAGTATCTTCTTGTGAAGATAAATAATGCAATTGGTGAAAAACAGAAAAAGTAAATCAGTTTATAATGGTATTTTATGTGTTATCTTCTTCTAGATATCATGCTTCCATATTTCTGCCTCAGTACAATCTAGTAGGGAATAGTAATGTAGTAGTAGTAGTAATAGTAGTGGCAGAAATAATAATTCATTGATTTCTAAATAATGTATATGCCAGATGCTGTTTTAAATACTTTGCATGTATGATTTTCTTAAATCCTCATAACAATCCCATAAGGTAGATAATTATGACCCTAGTATACAAAGGAGAAAATGTAAATAGAAAGGTTCATACAGTTAGTAAATTTCCTGTACTAGTTTGCTAGAACACCATAACAAAGTACCACATGCTAGGTAGCTTAAACAATAAAAATATATTCTTCTTACAGTTCTAGAGGCTAGAAGTTCAATATCAAGATGTCAGCAGGATTGGTTTCTTCCAAGGCCTCTCTCCTTTGCTTGTAGGTGGCCGTCTTCTCCCTGTGTCTTTATATGGTCTTCCCTTTGCACCCATCTGTGTCCAAATCTCCTCTTTTAATTTAATTAATTAATTAATTAATTTGTTTTTTGAGACAGAGTCTAGCTCTGTCACCTAGGCTGGAATGCAGTGGCACCATCTTGGCTCACTGCAACCTCTGCCTCCCGAGTTCAAGTGATTCTCCTGCCTCAGCCTCCCCAGTAGCTGGGATTATGGGTGTGCACTGCCACACCTGGCTGATTTTTGTATTTTTAGTAGAGATGGGGTATCCCTATATTGCCAGGCTGATCTTGTACTCCTGACCTCAGGTGATCCACCCACCTCAGCCTCCCAAAATGCTGGGATTACAGGTGTGAGCCACTTCGCTCAGCCAAATTTCCTCTTTTTATAAGGACACTCATTATATTGAATTAAGGTACACACCAATGACCTCATTTAAACTTAATTACCCTTTAAAAAATTGTATCTCCCACTACAGTTCCATTCTGAGATCCTGGGGACTAGGGCTTCAATATGTAAATTCTTAGGGGACACAACTCAGCCCATAATCCTTCCAAGGTAGGCAACTTCATATTCACATGTCAAATACGGGCACTCTGGCTCTAGGTCCATATCTTTTTCTTTTTCTTTTAGTTTTGAAAAAAATTCAGACTTACTGAAAAAGTTACAAAAATTGTTCAAAGAATTCCCATATATTGTTCATAGAGATTCCCCAACATTATCATTCCATCATACTTGTTTTATCATTCTCTCTATATACATCACAGTACAGTTTATCAAAGTTAAGAAATTTTCATCAACACAATACTATTATCTGATTATCAGAATGTAACAGAACTGTATCAGTTATCCCACTATTGTCCTTTATAAAGAAAGAAAACCAAAATTTTCTTATGATCCAAGATGCCATATTTCTTAAATCTCTTTTGATTTTAAACATACCTTCAGTCTTTTATAATTTTTGTTTTTCATAACTCTAACAGTTTTGAAGAGCACATTACTAATATTTTCTAAATTGTTCCTTGATTTGAATTTGCTGATATTTCTTCATAATTAGATTCTGGTCATGCATTTTTGGCAATATGATTTTACAAATGAGATGCTATATCCTTCTCAGTGCATTGTGTCAGGAGGCACATGATATTAATTTAACCCCCATACTGGTGGTACTAACTTGACTACTTGTTATGGTATTATCTGCCAGGTTTCTGTACTGTAAAATTACTATTTTCCATTTGCAATATTACTTGATAAGTGTCTTGTGAAAGATATAGACAATATATAAGCCCTGTTTCTCATCACAATTTCACCTTCCAGTTTTGGCATTCATTCATATTTCCTGTCCAAAATAATTATTATGGTGAATTTTAAAATTCTATCATTTCTTCTTTATCTATGGATTGGAATTCTGCTGTATGAAGGATATCCCCCCTGCCATTTGTTTATATCAATGTATATAAATGGATTATTATTTTAGTCTATGGGGAATAATCTGTTACTATCATTATTTTGTTGTTTAAATTGTCTTGAATTTGGCCAGTGAAGGCCACTTCAAGTTTGTTCTATATAGTTTTACATGTCTCATTATTCCTTGAGAACTTTCTTAATTTTTTGCACAAAAGATGCCCCAGAATCATTTTGTACTCTCCAGGTCTCAGCCCTAGAATTATATTTATCCATCCCTTCAAGGACTCATAGTTTCCTTTACTTATTTAAAGAAAGATCGTTAAATAAGATCTCAGCTGTAGGTGTGCTCACTGTTACTGAGGTGTAATTGATTCTAAGCCCTCTTATAAGAGAACTACAAAATACGTTTGCATAAGCACATCTATGCTGATTATTTCTATCTGTCTATCTATCTATCTATCTATCTACCTATCATTTAACTAAATTGATAAACATTTAAACATGTTAATACCTGCATTTTAAGTTGTGAAGACAGTCGTCACTTTATAGTCCTGCTAAATCTATGCTTAAAATAATTTAATATCCTTTCGTTAAAATTGTTCAACTTTAATTTCCAAGGTTTTCAGTGTGTTTTCCTAACTTTTAATCCTGGAGGTTAATACCAGATGGTGACATCACAAATCTAGGATTACGAGTACAGAAAAGCAACATTTCAAAGAACTACAGAGGAAATTATTGGAAAACCTATAGATGGAATCATGGTCTTCTCAATCCTTTTTGATTTGCAATTATTTAAGTATCTAGGGCATATATATTACTACATAATCATATCAAATCTGATGTTTTAGAACTACTAATTCCTTGGAGGCATAGATGGCTGAGGGTCAGGTTCTGTTACAGATCTGATCTCAATTCCATACTCAATAGAGCTCTATGCACTAGATCAGGGATTGGCGAATTGCAGCCACACACATTCATTAATGTATTGTCTATGTCTGCTTTTCTGCTACAACGGCAAAGTTGAGTCATTGCTACAGACTGTAGGACCTGCAAAGCCTGGAATATTTACTGCCTGGCCCTTTACAGAAAAAGTTTACTGACTCCTGTACTAGATATTTCTGAGCCCTTGCATTGATAAGGTTTTTTTTTTGTCATAAACATGTGCACAAACACACACATGCACACCACTGCAAGACAATGACATTAAGAGATACTTTATACATAGTGCTGGATGAGAAAAAAATACTGCCAATGGCTGGCTCCATATAATATTGATGCAATTGAGTTGGCATAAAGGTCTCATCTTAGATTTCAAAGTATGCTATACCCAGACAGTTCATCAGATTAGTCTGCCTATTCATTCTGTGTGGCATGCAACCTCTTTGATAATTGGGCAAATAATTGTGAACATCCAAATATGGAAGCCTGTGTCAATTCTGTATGACTTATCAGTTTGACTTATGGTGCTGTTAGAAGTTGAACTTTTGTATTTTTACAAATATGTCTGCATTTCTCATTAATTATTTTGAGACCTAAAGAGGAAGGGAGACATTCTTTGGAAAGACTGTGAACACAATACTAAGTTAAAAGCTGTGCGGAATGGTGTGATGTCTGCCGGTAGTGCCAAATTACTGCATGGTTGATCCACTTGCCAAAGTCAATATGACTGCTGAAGCAACCCAATCTCCCTTTGTTCCACCCATAATCATACATAGAGAGCTATGAATACCAGCAATATAAATTTAATGCTGGTTTATTCTTATTTATATTGGTCATTCAAAGGAAAGAATCTTGATGCTGACTTGATGTGTTTTTTTTTTTTTTTGGTACACCTTTTACTTTATGGTGAATTAAAAATATTGAGGCTATGCCTCCAAGCTTCCATGACCCCAATCTTTGTCCCAGGTCTCTCTGAACATTCTATGAGTGCTATGAAATAGTCTTTCTGAAGTCAAAATATTCTCTGTCAAAAATCTATCCTTCTTTGTTTTCTGATGACTCAGGTTGCTACTTACTTTGTACACCTGTTCAGATGTATGATATTTTTATGTCCATTTCTTTTACCTGCCATAAAGCACCATCACTGTGCTGCCTGCTAAGCTTTTTGTCTTAGGGGTGGTGAGGAGGACACACACAAACACAGGCATCAAGGTTAACTCTTTGACTGCTTCAAAGCAACACTTTCTAGACCTGTCTGAGATTCACATTTAGAAAGTGACAATCTTAGTTTTACAAAACAAGACTTTTTAATCTGTCCTTGGGTCAGTTCCCAAGATCCATGAGCTCCTTAGGTGAAAACTTTGTTTTCTCCTGTTATATATTATTAATCTTAAAGGACTTCAGCTTTTAAATAACTAGAAGCAAACACTGCAAGACTGTAAGAAAGTAAGAATGCTACTTTTTTATATAATTGTAGTGGCAGTCTTCCAAATATATTTTAGCATGCAGATATCTATTATTAGCTCTCTTTTTAATATTAATGCTATTGCTATTTTCTGTTTTGTGCTTTGCCCACAAGTCTTAATACAAAATACACGCTATCCAAATCATCTGAGTGTGTCTATCTGAAAGTCCACTAATACTGAGTGGCACTTATCATTCATGGTCTTTCCACTCCTACTTAATGGACCTCATACCCCTGAGAATGTTCAAAGATGAAACCTTTTAAAAAATGTTATTTTATCCCAGAGGTTTTGCATCTTTGAACCACCAAATCTAATCTGAAACACTTGAGGCCAGATATTTTTCAGAATTAAGGATGTTTTAGAACTTGGAAAGATGCATAAAGAATGTGCTGTGTATATTAAGTATTATAATAACCTTTGTAGGGTCTGGGACAACTCCCTGTAATCAAACAAACCAAAATTTCTGTAGTGAATCATATAAATATTTCCAGTGGGATAAATAAATAGAAACTATAAATAACCTCATATCAATTCAGACAAGTTTATACCATTGATGCTAAAGGATTTCAGGTCAGTTCAGGTTTTGCTGCCAAATACTTTTCAAAAAATTTTAGATTTGGGCATTACAAATAAGAAATTGTTGATCCATACCAGGGGTCAGCAGATTTTTTTATATAAAAGGCCAAAGAATAAATAATTTAGGCTTTGCACGTTACACTCTCTCTGTCTTAACTATCAAACTCTGCTCTTTGTTCCTTAGACAATATGTAAATGAGTGTGACTGTGTTCCAATAAAACTTTATTTACAAAAACAGACTGTGGGTTAGATTTTGCCTGTGGGCCAGATTTTGCCTGTAGGCCATAGTTTGCCAAGCTCTGATCTAGATATCTTTATTGTTTTTAATTCTGTACCTTGTGTATTAAATACAGTGTCTAGTTTGTAATAATTTCTTTGAATTCACATTTTGAGAATGGGAAGACTTCTTTGAAAAGGGGAAGAGATTTCTATGGCTTGTCATCTCTTTTCGGCTACCTCTTCTTAATTTCACAATGCAAAAGTGCATAGAAAATAGTACATAGCTCTGGAATAGTGTGATCTAGATCTGAGTGTGATCTAGAATTTAATTTGTCATTGACTTCATTGTTAATATTATGTGATGTTAACATTTAAAAACATGGAGTAGCTAGGATCTAGTGGCGTCCGCGATTGTTGGGTTAGTGATCCTAAAGAAAAATGGAGGTTTTCAAGCTTGACTTTAACTTTTACTGTTCTGTGGCTGAAAACACCAGATTGAGCATTTGTCCTGTTAGTATTCTTCTTGCTTTGTTATGTGTTTATTCAATTACAAAGGCCAAGAGAAAGTATATGGTTGAACTAAAACAGATGAACAAATTGTAAACTGTTCATAGGAGTTTGTGTTTTTGTCAACATAATATGGAGCAAGGCTTTGTTGGGTCAAATTTGAAGGGCTCTTTTGAATAGGTTTGTTCTCTTGGTGGGTACTATCTGGAACTTCTTATCAAAGTGAGATTGGAGAATAGAGCAGTATTCACTGTAGATGGCCTCCCAGGGTGTATTAATCTGTTCTCACACTGCTATAAAAAATTCTTGAGACTGGATAATTTATAAAGGAAAGAGGTTTAATTGACTCACAGTTCTGCATGGCTAGGGAGGCCTCAGTAAACTTACAATCATGGCAGAAGGGAAAGCAGGCACATCTTATACGGCAGCAGGCAAGAGAGAGGAGTGGAAACTGCCACTTATAAAACCATTAGAACTCATGAGATCTAATCACCATCACAAGAACAGCATTGGGGAAACCGGCCCCATGATCCAATCACCTCCCACTAGGTTCCTCCCCTGACATGTGGGGATTACAATTTGAGATGAGATTTCGGTGGGGACACAGAGCCAAACCATATCACAGGGTGCTAAGAAATTATGGGCTCTCAATAGCTGATGGATTGATTATTTGAATGAGATTCACCTTAAGAGACACAATTATACATCTAAGAAGTGGGGAAAAAAACTCTTAACAAACTCTCAGCCATGAAAAGCTGATTCTTTAGTCCAGATGTGTGAAGCAAATAATTGAGACCACCTTAAAGACACAATGATATTTTTGCCAGTTATCTGCTAAGCTGACTGAGCAGTGACCCACACTAAGCATGGTGTATATTTAGGCATCTTTTCCTAACTGTTGCATATGCTTTCTTAGGATGACTTGCTGCCTGCATGTGCAGAGCTGCCTTCATGATTGGTCTTATGAGAATCTGGACCAGATTTTAAAATTTGAGGGACAATAATTTTTCCTTGTTGTAGTGCTAACCTTTCAGAACTTGATAAAATTTAAACAATGCTTAAGGATATTTTGTTTTTTTGGAGTTCCTTCTGCATCTTGAGGATATTTTTTTCATAGTGCTCCTCATATGGCTTCATACTTTGACTTTCATGCTAGAAAATTAGCTTTTTGAGAGCAGGAATAGGACTTTTTTATGTCTGTAATCTCAGCTTCTCTGCTGGTACCTGACATAAGATACACACTAGACTTTAGAATAAACAAATATGTATTATTAACATCCAAACATATTGTAATGACAATTGAAAGATAACCTAGATTAAGGCAATGAGACATAATATTGGCACTTGTAATTGGAATGGCAGTAGGGAAAAGGAGAAAAGTTTGAAGGATAAATTCATTTCTGTTGCTTTAAGCAGATGTGACTTGGCCAACTGTAAAGGAAACTATACAAGAAAAAAATGATTATGGTAGTAATTTCTGCTTAATTTATCCTAGATTTAACCTGGTTACTAACTGATTTGATTATATAAAGAGACAAGAAACTTACATCATCGATTTCTCTTTAAGGACTTTTCACTTAGCAACTGAAAAAAAGAAGAGTCACTTGAGCTTAGCAATCACCTGCTAAGGTACAAAGAGAAGCTGGAGTTAGGAGGACCAAGCACAAATAAAGAAGACAATGGGATGTTTCTAAATAATGCAATTATTGGCTGAAACAATAGTCTATTAAGATTCCACAGGTATAGATTGTACTATATTCTGTTTCTTTTTCTAGTCTGAACAAGTCAGAGAGACAATCTCCTGCCTCTCTTCCATCCCATCTGGAAACAAGGCCCATGTAGCAAGCAGACAATGACATCTACCCAGCTGCCAGGACTGTGCAATGAATGAAGCATCCCCTCAAAAAACTCTGAATGGATTGCCAATTTTTATTATGTTTAAGGCAGGCAGTAATTTCAGTTTTCAATTCTACTAAGTAATAATAGTTATTAATTAGTAAATTAGGCCACTGGGTTCTAGAGGTGAGCTAACAGAATGATTAAAAAGGAGAAAATTCACAGATAATGCTCAGGTTTCATAGAAGCCTGCCATGATTGAGAGTTTATGTTTGTACATCTCTTCAGAATGGATTGCTGCACTTAAGAGCAACTTACATTGCCTACAGTGCCGTCTGTTCGGTAATTGCAGCAAAGTGAGGTACTGCACCATACATTGTCATAAAGATGTCAAGAAATGAAGGGAGATGTTCGAGGGCTCAGCTTCTAATACTTACATTTTAAATCTGGGGGCATTAAATCTAGGGAGGAGAATTCCTCAGATTTCCCAACCCCACATCAACAAAAGGCAACATTTCCTGAGTAAAGGGCTTGATATCAACCCCAGGGAGGATTTCTGGACTCCAGGTAGGTTTAATTCATTTTGGAGGCTAATTTTTTGAGCTTTATATCTCGAACACAATAGCCTTCATAGAGGTTTGTGGACTGTGATTAAAAGTACTTTTCATGGCTGTATCTGGATAATAACAAAATCCTTGAAATATCGTTTAAAACTTCTTAAAGACTTGAAATGCTAAAACTGAAGTTTATCTTGCAGGGCTCCAGATGGGCAAAAATGCAGGTAACATATCTTATGGCTGTTGGAGTGAATTTCTGATACTAAAAGAAGTAGTTGAAAAGTGTGAAAACCAGTCCAACTCATTCTGAAGATACAAAATAGTAGCAATTTGCTGGAGTTAAATGTGATTTATAAAAAACTGTATGGAGGCAAACCAGATCTATGTATGAATACAGACTCTTCCTATAATGGCCAAGTGAATTAAATCATTAAGACTGATCCCTGGCTACTCTTTTTAAGAAAAATAGCATATTCTTATTCTTCTATTAAAATTAGCTATCTGCATGAATTTTGTTGAAATAAAAAATTGATCTATTTTACTATGCTTTTATAGGAATCAGAAATAGGTATTTCTCAAGACTTTAAGACAAATTTCTCTAACCAATTGTTCTTACCTTCTGAACACCCTCTCTCTGCCTTATCATTTTTGTTCCCTCAATAGAGATTGGTGCTTGAGGGGTTTTTTTGTTCCCCCACCCTGATTGTTTTCCTTTTCCTTCTGCTTTTAAAAAATCTTCTTTGAATACTTGCCTTTACAGTTAAAAAAATACTAGAAATAGTGGTTTTTTTAGTCCCACAGAAACTGATTAAACATTTGGCTTCACTACTCACTAGCCATTTTCAGCTTGGGAAAATTGATCAACCTCTAAGTTTTTCTTTCCTCATTTGTAATGGGGGGAAATGTAATACTTACCTCACACAGTGGTTTTGAGTTTCTCTGATGCCCAGAAGACTTGTTCTTGGAGTAAAGAAAGGAAAAAAAAATTGGAGGTGGTTAGTTGGCACATAGACAAAACCTTTTTACTGGTATTAGTATTAAACTGGATCAACTAAGATGTAATCTTTCTAGAGGTAGATAGATTTAGTAGCTATGAACATGGAGATTGAGTATTTAACTGTGACAGTTGGCGCTTTGTAGGTATTCAAAATATATTATTTCCCAAATCCCTGACCCTATTCTCATCTCAGACGTACACACACACACACACACACACACACACACACACACACACACACACACACAGCCTTAAGTCTAATCTATGTCTGTAGGTGTGGGTGGCTTCAGGACCTCCTGTCTATGCTTACCTATCTCTAGTTTCTAGATAAGGCATAAATTTCCATCTTATGCCATCTGGCCCCACTCTATTGTTTTCTTTTTTATGTGAATTCATTAGAAAATCTTATTTGCCATGAAAATGAACGTTAGGCTGTCCCTCTGGGTTTTGTTGTTTGGAGCATTCATCTGATATTGAGTCTAATATATACAGAATATAAGAAACAAACTGTGAATTTCCATTGTTGGAAGACAAGATTAAACACCTACTTAGAGAGAATGTTTTAAGATATACTGGAAAGGGGCAAGGATTGGGAAAGGAAATAGGATGGACAATATTAAATGGAAACAAGATTTTTAAATAAGATTTGAAATAAGTTCATCAATGTTCATCATAAAAGGTCAATCTAATTTTGTTTTTGAACAACCGACTAACCAGCCAACCTAAAAACAACAACAAAAAAAGCGACACCAAAATAATTTGTTAAGGAGATCATGAAACAGGAGATCATGAATATTTGAACATCAATCCACTGCTCATCAATTGACAAGGAAAAACAAATGTCTATGTTTTTATCTAAGGATGTGACATGTAAATTCCTAAGAATTCACACAAGGCTGGTCCGGGTGCGGTGGCTCACGCCTGTAATCTCAGCAATTTGGGAGGCCAAGGCCGGCGGATCACGAGGTCAGGAAATTAACACCATCCTGGCTAACGTGGTGAAACCCCGTCTCTACTAAAAATACAAAAAATTAGCCGGGCGTGGTGGTGGGCACCAGTAGTCCCAGCTATTCAGGAGGCTGTGGCAGGAGAATGGCTTGAACCCGGGAGGCGGAGCTTGCAGTGAGCCGAGATTGCACCACTGTACTCCAGCCTGGGCGACAGAGCGAGACTCTGTCTCAAAAAAAAAAAAAAAAAAAAAAAAGAAGAAGAATTCACACAAGGCTGTAAAGGAAAGTTTAGCAAAGAACATGACTAGATTGGAAAAGCATTTGAAGGTTAAGATACTCTCAGGGAGTTTCTTGTTCAGTCATCACTATCACTGAACTTTTCTGCCTTTAAGGGTTTGTAATATTTAAATTTAAATTATTCCATCTTTAAAGATACTCAGTGATATTTCTTTTTTGACCACCAGCACAAGGCAGTTTTCTTTTTCCTTTCCCCTCCTATCATCACCTATATAACATAGCAGTGTGCACAGAGCACAGCCGGGAGCTTTCATTCAAGGTCATCTCATGCCCACCATGGTGAGACATTTCGATAACTTGGAATTATTTTAACTAGATATGTTTGTAGCTGTCAGACTCCAATCTACATGGTTCGTGGAGGCTCAGTTTCTTTTCTCTATTAATAGCTCATTGAGCAAACATAGTATACCAGACTAAATATATATATATATATATGTATTTTTCAATAAACTCTGTGATCCTGAATATGCAATAAAAATGTTTCTATTATCTTTGCCTGTTTGCATTTCAAAAACTGTAAAAATGCATTGATTTTTGAGACAATTTTTGGGGCTTATAGAACTTATCCTCTTGCTTAGACATGACTTTTAGAATTAACAGGTTCATCATTTGTCCCAGGGGGAGTTTTCATGTTTCTGGACAGAAAAGGGATATTATGGGTTATGAAAATAACTCTGTCAAATTACAATGCAAAATACTGGGTGAAAATCGACAATTGCAGCCAAATATCTGAAGGTGTGATCTACATGAAATTATCTATAAAACATTAAAGAATCCTGATAAGCTGTCTTCTTAAGGTTTCTTTGTATCTCATGGCTTATATCTGGTACTTGATTATATTATCAATTAAGCTATCACACCAAGTAGAATATGTACTCAACCCCTAACAGACACAGTGGGCAAAACAAAGACATTTTGAGGCATTTGCCATGTAACTAAGAAAATAAGCTTTACATAGATGAAACAATTAGAAAATTAGTTAGTGACTAATTGGTATTGGAAGGGATAAATCAAAGTGGGATGTTAATAACAGGTAATAACTTCATGAAGAAGAAAGGATTTAAAGTAAAGGGCTTGTATTTAAATAGAGATAAAAAGGGATTTGGCTACATTTCAATGTGGGCAAATAGCAAGAGAAGTATAGAAATAGAAATGGACAATGAAAGCCAGCTTAACTAAATGGGAAGTGAGAGTCGGCAAGGAGTAGGGATAATTTGGATAGTTAAGAAGAAACCAATTTCTGGAACGTATTGTAAGTCAGCTAATGAAATTTGAGACTCATACAATGGGTAATAGGAACTCTTTGCAATACCTTTCTTTCAGGAGTGATGTGGCATTATATGAAAGTGCTATTTCTGTAGTGTTGCTCTGACCTCACATGCCAGTGTGTCAAGACTCTCATCTCTGGTCCTGGGCAAATTATATGGCAAGGTACAGAAAGAATGCAGAAAATGTTTATGGAACCTTCACCATTCTTTGGAAAACTTTGTGGAAAATGAGAATGGGAATGGGAATCGTACAAGAAAATAGAAAATCAGAAAATGTTCTGGGAACCAAAAAATAGGAAATGGGAATTCTGGAAACTACATGTTGGTAATCTTCATATCAATTTCTTAGAAGTTTCAGAATTAATTTCTAAATTCCCAAGTTGTGAATAAAAAGAAAAAAAAAATCTGAGTATTGACATTTACACAGGTTCACTAAAAACAAGTGATGACAGATGAGACATTTTCATTTTTGATGGCATTCGTGTCACAGGGTGAACCCCAAAATTGGGTTTCAGCATGGAAAGCCATGTGAGTTCTTGGCTTTGTGTGGAAGGAATTCAAGAGCAAGTTTATAGAGTGAAGTGAAAGCAAGCTTATTAAGAAAGCAAAGGAATAAAAGAATAACTACTCCACAGTCAAAGCAGCCCCAAGGGCTGCTGGTTGGCTATTTTTATGGTTATTTCTTGATCACTTGCTAAACAAGGGGTAGATTATTTATGAGTTTCCCTGGAAAGGGGCTGGTAATTTCCAGAACTGAAGTTTCCTCTACCTTTCAGACCATAGAGGTTAACTTCCAGATGTTGCCATGACATTTGTAAACTGTCATGGCCATGGTGCTGTGGTAGTATCTTTTAGCATGCTGATATTATACTTAGCACATAACAAGCAGTGAGGAAGACCAGAGATCACTTTCGTTGCCATCTTGATTTTGGTGGGTTTTGACCAGCTTCTTTACCACATCATGTTTTATCAGCAGAGTCTTTTTGACCTGTACCTTGCAAAATCAATCCTGCCAAACTGCTTTCTCATTACTGTGCCACTAGGCCTTATATTTTTTGTTAATCTTGTGTTGTTGAAAATGGTCTGATATGTGGTAGGTGCTTAGTAAACAAATGTTGCGTTGCTGCTTAAATATGTAAGTCAGAGGAATAGATTTGTTTAAGTCTAGATTTGTCAAAATTTCTAGTAATATTCTGTGAGAGAAGACAAAGAAGTGTGTAGAAAATAATGCTATAGTTAGATCAACTCATTCCTTGTTGATTAGCCATAATGTTTTGGTTAATAAATTGATTCCAATTGAGAAGGTCATCTTCAACATCTTCAATGCCAACAAACAAGCTGTGTTCTTGCTTCCACCTCCCAATATTTCAATTAACTCTTTCTATGTTGCTAAAAAATGGAATGTATATCACATTTGTCTGGGTGACATCAAGTTGTGAGGCATGGTTATACATTTGTTGACAGATTCAGGATGAAAAAAATTCTAAACAGGCTGAAGTAATGACTGCCCCCCTACCACCACCAAATAGTTAAATATATAACTTGAAGTGAAGAGTATGATTGGGCTGCAAAAGCAAAGAGGGGAAGGAAAGCTTCAGGATGGGCAAAAGGATTAGCTCAGAAAGTTACCTCCCAAGTCAGGGACAAGCCTGGGAGTCATATAAGGGCTCACACAGAAAGGAAGGAAGATTTAAGATAAGACAGATGCCAATTAATTATGTAGCATCATTCTTCTTTCTGGAGACGGAGGTGGAGAACCCAAAATTGCCTCTATTAAATTGACCACTGTGAATTGTTGCCATGAGGCCCATTTTAGACCCTGTTCATTTCTTAAGTGGAGTTGTTCTCTGTTCAGAATTGATTACTATATAAATAATTGAAACTCCCGCAATGTGAGGATTAAGAGAAGGAAGCTCCAACTGTGTCCCTTCCCATTAGCTACAGGAAGGCATAAGTTAGAGGCATGAAATGATTGAATACAAATAAAGCTAGCCCTTTAACAAGCTGTGCTGTGGGGATGGGAAGCAACAGGGGTAGCAACACCTAGAACAAATATGGCACTTGGTGAACACTCAATAAATATTTGTCTAATAAATGAAATATGATTCCTATGCTGTTCAGCCCCTTCATCCATATGAACTGTGACTAATTTCCTTACTAGTTTTCCTAACAATCACTCACACCAAGATAAATCTTAATTTTTTTCAGAAAAAGTTTTCTCCTTATAAAGTTATCATAACTTTTATCTTCCCCATTGTGAAGCAATTGCCTGGACATAATTTTTCTAAAACATTTGACTATTTTCTGGACCTAACTGAAATTTCAGATCTATAACACATTCAGGAGAGATGGCCTCACCTCCTTGCTCTGATGGAAGGGGTGCTGAGGCATCCAGTCTATCCCACCAGGCTAATAATGGCGGTCATTTATTATGCCCCACTCTGTGCCAGTTACAGCACAAGGTGCTTTGTACACATTATTGATTAAATCATTAAAACAATCCTATTGGATAGGATTGGGTAGCATCCTGATTTAAAAGATAAGGAAGCAGTTTTCTAAATGCTGCACCCAAGTTCATAGAACTAGGTAAGCAACAGAGCAAGGGTTAGAAACAAATGATCTGACATTTTGATGTTCCCAAGAGAGCAGTGGATCTAAGCCAGGGTGCCTGGATTCAATCCTGGCTCTGCCACTTACCATCTGTGAATTCTGTCAACACATGTAACTCCATTGCACCTCAATTTTACCAAGAGTAAAATGTGAATGGTAATATATTTATCCACAGATTTGTCCTAGGATTAAGCTACTTGCTTCATGTAAAATACTTAGAATATTGTTTGGAACATAGTAAGCACTTAATGTATATTGAATATTTTAATTCAAATTTCTGTAGAACTAGCCTTCAGTATCTTGTAATTTAGCACTTAGTAGTTTAATAATTTTTTTGTTTTATTCTCTGTGGTACATCAGGAATTAAATGATTTCATGAAGGAATCATTTAATAAATTGTAATCTCCTTAAGGGCTGGGTCCTTGGTGCACTTTCAAAAACTAGAGGATTACATAGTGAATATTAGATATACAATTAGTACTTCCAAATAGGGCTACAAAAGTACAAATGATCTAATCCACTACCGTTTCCAAACAAAGCCTTTCTTACAGTTGTGTAGAATTTTCTAGTTTGCAAAATGATTCCCAGACTTTAAAAGAAAAATTCCTACATTGACTTCTGCAAAATACATACCTTTATCCCCCATATCATACACATGAAATCTAAGGCTAAGGCTGGTCAACAGATTAAGGAGAATTGGTGTATGCTTTTCTTATATAATAAGGAATGCAGAGAAATGTAGTAGCCGGCATGATTTCTCTGGCTTGACGAGGTTAGGTCTCACTCTGCTGTCATTTCCTTGACTTTTCTCTGATAGTCACAATATAGCCACTTCACTTCTAGTCAGGATGTTGGCATTTAAGGCAGTGGGAAGGCGATAATTTCACAGGAGCCTCCTTCTTCATTGTCCTTTAATATGAAGGAAGAAAAGCTTCTCCAGGGGCTTCCTAACTCCCAGGAAAACTTTCTTTACATGTCCAGGGCCAAAAGCACATGATATGGTAGCCCCTAGTTGCAGGAGAGCCTGGAGGGGGAAGACGCTTGGCTTTTTGAACTAAGGAAGTGGTAGCAAGAGAGAGGGGCTGCACATAGATTTTGGTGGTCTCTACATAGTGTCTGCCAAGAATCAATTATTTTTAACGCTACTAGTCCTATCACTCCTACTCCTACTTCTAGTACTAAGGATCTTGCCTTAGCAGATATAGTGTGCTCATTTGCTATACCTTAAGTTCATCAAGAAATGAGAAATGACAAGACTTTTTCTAGCAGTGATGAACATAAGTTGGTATTCGAAGGTAAAAATAAGTGTCTTCAATCCCCCTGCTGCCCTTTAACAGAAGACATTGATGACTAGTATCAGGGACCTTTAAGAATACTCCACTCCTAATTGGTATTCAGTCAGGAGACCAGAGTTGTGGCTTGTATGTTTATGAGCTACTGGTTATGTGATAATTGGAATAAGCCATGGTTTGACATATCAAGCTCAGATTACACATGGAGGATTTCTAGAAGATTTGGTTGGGCTTAGATGGGGCTTGAGCAATGCCTGAAAAGGAGAAGGATAGAAAAAAAACTTAAAACTAAGTTGGGTCATTACCAGTCACAGATCTTTTACTTTGGTTTCCTGGGAAATTAGCAGAGCCTCTGGGGTCAATCTCCCCAAATGTAAAAATGCCTTTCCAATCCCAACCCCAGAGGCAGGGCCCTAAAAATACTGAGGAGGGAAAGTAATTGAAATATTTCTGTTTCACAAATAAAACAAACTTATGTAGATGAATTGGGTAGAAATACACTGGCATTTGGTCAAAGGATGAGCATCAGATAACTTTTGTCTTATGCATCTGTCATTCCCTCTCACATTGTGCACTAAAATGACACAGCCTAGAGCAGTGGTTGTCAAACATTTTTGTCCTTCCCCATATTTCCAGGAAGATGATTATATAGATAAGGTCACTTTGGGAAGCAAAGAGAATCCAGGACACAAGAAAAGTCTGGAGGCTGGGGAAGGGTGGGTGAGACAGATCTGTGTTAACTGGCTTTGTGTCCAAGCTATCATGTGCTGGCAGCAGAGGCCATTTTGAATTCAATATTCCCCAAGAATCCTGCAGCCACTCTGCTATTTGTTCCCTAAGTCATCAGCAGTTTTGCAAGCCAAGGTTGCGTATTGGAATTGGGCAGATAAGGAGAACTTGTCTATTAATTGAGTGTTTGGGAATGGGAAAAAATGGAGTGAACACACAAAGGCTCTTTGCTGTTTGGAAAGTTGGAAGGTCAAGGGTGGTATGTTTGCTTCAATTATGGTGCCAGTAGACCCAGCTAAACTAGATCTACTGCACTTTGTCTTTAGTATACATATGAACGTATTTGCAAATAATTGACACTTGGGAAAATGATATTTGGCCAAGCACATTTTCCATTAACATAAAACAAGAGTGACAGGGAAGGAAGGAAGGAACAAGGAAGGAAGGAACAAGGAAGGAAGGAAGAAAGAGAGGGAGGAAGGGAGGGAGGGAGGGAAGGAGGAAGGAAGGAAGGGAA
Organism: Homo sapiens; assembly: GCF_000001405.40. Lineage (NCBI taxonomy): Eukaryota > Metazoa > Chordata > Mammalia > Primates > Hominidae > Homo > Homo sapiens. Next base: position 59,226,425 of record NC_000002.12, read on the forward strand.
TGAAGGAAGGAGGGGTGGAAGGGAGGGAGGGAGGGAGGGAAGGAGGAAGGAAGGAAGGGAAGGAAGGAAGGAGGGAAAGAAGGAAGGAGGGAAGGAAGGAAGGAGGGAAGGAAGGAAGGAGGGAAGGAAGGAAGGAGGGAAGGAAGGAAGGAAGGAAGGAAAGAGCTTATTCAGGGCAAGGGGGAGGGAAATTTAATCTGATCCACTGCTTTATTTATACTTAACTCGACAAAATGATCAAAGTGGGTTAGTGTTTGGCTCTTTACTGTCTAAAATGTAGTGAGCATCCTTGGACATTCCTTTTCCCAGACAATAGGCCAGCTGTGACATGACAATGTTTCAGGATATTGGTTCCAAAGCTAAGATGCACAAAATTTGGCTAAAGGCAAAACCTATTCTCCTCTGCTCATTATCAAACACTTAAACCGCATGCAGTTAGCCCTTTAGCTGCCTTCTAATACCTTGCATTGCCATCTTGTAAATGCTGCTGCTTTGCTGAAACACCTACAGAGTTTCTTGGTTTATAAACACTATTTGATCACACACCAGGAGTAAGGTAGACTCATTTGCCTCTTGGCCAAACAGTTTAAGACTTAACTGAGCTGCTGTCCGAGCCCTGGATGGCCCCTTCTCTTAGCATGGCAGTCCTGTCAGTGGGGTGCTTTCTTGCCCTTGGCTTTAGAAGGGGAAAACTAGCAGCTTGAAGCAAAAGGAAGTCTATCACACAGCTGTACAGTCTATTACAAGTAGACTACTCACTAGCTTAACTAGTCTTTCTTTTTACCTCACTGATGCTACCCCTTAAGTATTCTTTCTCCTTGACAATATTCATCCCACAACATTGTCTCCAGACCCCTATACATTCTTAAAAATGACTGAGGACCTCAAAGAGCATTTGCATGTGTGAGCTACACACAACACAGTAAAACAGAGAAATTTAGACACTTATTATTGTAAAATAAGACCAGAAAGTATACAAACTTCTTGTTGTGTTTCAAAAAAAGAAAAAGAAGAAGGTAAGAGAGGGCGGTATTTCCAAAGAAAATTAATTTTTGGATTTCAAATTACCGGTACATTGGATTAAAAACAAGGTTTATAGCTAATAGAAACAAAGGTAAATGTCAAAAGCTTGATATAAATAAGAAAAAACTGAGTTAATTTCTGAAGACTCACATTTTTTTCCCAAAAACTACTACCTTAGAAAATTTTGGAATATGTCAGTACACATTCCATTAGTCATCAGAATGATACCATCACTATCACTCTTCATGTAAAATTCCTGAGTAACGTACACTTAATGAAAGAAAGAGTGAAAAGGCAAAAAAACAGTAAAAGAAAAATTATAGTTTTATTGTAAAAACAATTTTAACTTTGTGGATCCTCTAAATAGGTCTTGGTAATCTCCTAAATTGACCACATGTTGAGCATTGCTGGGCTAGAGTATCAATGCACTGAGTTGAGTCTAAGATCCACTATTAACTAGTTGAAGGGCTTTGAACAAATTAATTGCCCAATTTCATCACCTGTAAAACCAGATAATAAATATCAGAATGTGAATGTTTAATTTGTTTTACTTTGGAAAACTAAGTGGAATTGCTCCCTGACCTGCTCCCTGACACGCCCTGACCTGCCCCCAACCCTTCATTTGTTGCATTAAAAGAATTCAGAAGTTGGGGAGTAAATGGCCACTTCTCCACTTCACCCAAACCACTTCAAAATGACTTTTGAGGAGTAATTGGCACCACTCTCAAGTAAAGGTGGGCCAGTTTTCCTCCTGTTAATAATTGGGACTATGGGACAAATGATTTTAAAAGGTTTAGAAAGAAAGGAGAAAAAGAAACAAAAGTTTCTTGTCTGCAGGAGTAACGGTGATACAATGGTAACACTCTGAGAAAGGAATGGTTATAAAGTATCAGGGCTTAGAAAAGCAGTTAGGGACCCTGCTTTGTTTGTTCCAGGCAAGTGGTCTTTTTCATTGTTCGCAATTTACGTTAATATACATTAGCATATAGATCTCGAAATGCATGAGTATATATGTGTGCATATGTATAAGATTAGCCTGGAATATCTTATGTGAAAAAGAAAGAAAGTGTTCAAAGAATGAAGAAAACATGTTAAAAGGACACAAGCTCTAGTTTGAAGGGGACTTCCATGGGCCAACTCCAGGATAATTTGAACATAAAATAAATAAAGGCAGTGAGAGATTATAACTTATTGGATAAAGTAAGAATTCCTGAGTTCCCAGTGATACAGATGTATAAAAAGGAAGAGAAAGCTTTCCCCTGTAGTAGAAAGCCAATTAAAAACTGTTGAAGGAATAATGAAATTAGGAATCACCATTCGTAAATGTTAATTTCCCAGTTATACAAAGTTATGTTTTATGAAAATGCACTAGAAAATATTTTGGGGTGAGGATACAGATTGAGAAAGAGAGGAAAGAATAAATTTGTCTGAAAGGTATGGGTGTCTGGAGATTTTTTTGCATTATTCTTGCAACTTTTCTGTAAGTCTTGAAATTAAGTCAAATAAAAAACCCTGAAAACATTAAATTAATAAAATAAAGTACTTCCTCATAAACTGTACGACACACATGTATGGATTTGTTGATTTCACCTGATGCCCTAGGGACTGGTGATTAATATCTAAATGCCAAAATCAAGTGCTGAGTTTACATTTGGAAGATTCAAATTAGAAACTCATATACAGAGATGGCTGCATACCACTAATTAGTACAATGGATATTTAATATTAAAACATTTTAATCATAACTAACATAAGTAGTGTTTAGGATGTGTAGATTGGCTAGAAATGCTCTACAGCACATTAACCTTATCATGAACAGGGTGTAAGAATCTAGTCAGCCCTAAGTAACCCACTGTAACAGGACCTCAAGCTGAGGATTCCAAACAACAGCCTCTCATTGTCTCCAATTAGAAATCTAATTGAATCCTGCCAATATATAAGACATCTACATGTCTCATCTACATTCTTGACCCTTTCAGTAACAACTTAAAAGATGCCATAATTCTTGAGCTTATAGCATACATTGAATGATTGTTCTTGGGCCTACTTACTGGAAGATATTTATTTGGTTGGCGGTCCACTTTTACTGTAACACACCATCTGTATCATACCACCCAAGAGGAAGGAGACTGTTAGTTTTCTAGGGCTGCCATAAAAAAATACCACAAATTTGGTGGCTTAAACAACAGAATGTATTCTTTTTCTAACATTTCTGGAGCCTTAAAAGTTCGAAATAAAGGCGTTGGTAGGTTTGGTTTCTTCTGAGGCCTCTTTCATTGGCTTGCAGATATCCACTTTCTCTCATCTTTACATGGCCTTTCTATGTGCATGAGTACCCTTAATGTCTCTTCCTCTTCTAACAAGAATATCAGTCATATGGGAGAAGGACTTCACCCTGTAAGGGCTCATTTTAACTTAATCACTCCTTAAAGACCTTATCTCCAAACATGGTTCCATTCTGAGGCACTGGGACTGGGACTTCAAAATATGATTTTGGGGGGACACAATTCATCTCCTAACAAAGGCCTACAACCTACATTTTCCTTTAACTGTTGAAAGTGCTATATATCCTCAGCTAAGATAATGGTTACTGCAAACTTTCATTACAAACACCAACTTCATGGAATTTCTGTGATGATTAATATCCCTGGCACATAGCTGATGCATCATTAATACTACATACATGCTGATACTATCTAGGAAGGCTATTTAACCCTCATTTTGTATGGCCAAAGCTCAGCAGATCATCCTGTCATCGCCCTAAAATTGAATTACTGTTTATAGCATTGATAGTAAAATTTAGTTTAACAACAGGTATAGTAAATATTAATGCCAACGTTTGGAATAGTCAAAGGTTTTTCAATGTCAAGTTCTTGAGATCTCAAAATGAGCATGTTTCCTATTTGTATTTAAAGATATGTAATTATTCCAGGAATATTGAGTGTCCCAGAAGAAAGCAATAAGAAACTCTAAAGGCCAGATATTTAATAAAGACTTTTTAATTATGCCCAATAATTTTACTTTTGAGAAAAAAATTTAAAATAATACTTTTGTAATTTCCCTCTGAATCAGAATCCAACTGGCATAATATCTGCTGAGATATGTATGTACAACACCCATACACAGCCACATATTCATAGATTCTGATATAAAATGTTCAATTGCTCATAAAATATACATCAAACATATGAGAGGCTCCTTTCACAGCTCTCAAAGGGAACAGGTAGATTCCTGAACCTAACATGTTCTATGTTCATTATAACTTTTAATTCCTGGTTGAGAAGAACATGGCTTCCAACTTTCAGTGATGGATGAGTTTAATCCCAACTTCAAGATGCTTATAATTTTTGTTGTTGTTGTTTTGTTTTGATTTTTGGAAAAAGTGACTAGTTAGATTGGGACTGCATTGTATGAACCCTCATCCTCACCCGCATCCTTGGCTTTAGGGCTGTCTTGCCTCCCAGACCTGTCTTGCCTCACATTTAAGGCTGTTTTGCCTCCCAAGACCTCATGATTGATGGTGCTGCTTTCTATCTGGGGAACCAGTCAAACCCATTTCTGTTCATCAGCACAGCTGTCTTTACTTCTCAGTTATATGGCACTCACTCTACAAGCTTTGGATATTTAGGCATAGTCACTGAGGCCTGTGGTATACATGGAGATGAGCTGCCCAGATTATCCTTCAAGGAAGAACTTGCTGTCCAGCATTGGGGAGTGCAGTGAGCAGACTGCCTCCAGCTATGAGCACCTTCAGGTCCTGTTCAGGTGGCAAGCCCACCTTGTTGGACATCCTGCTTCTCTGGTGGCAGCTCACATCCAGTGACTGAGGGAGGCCAGGGCATCAAGGCCCAAGTAGGTTGGTCTAGGACTTATTGAGCCTGCATAGCAGTTAGGCTTCTGTCTCTGTCCATTCCTGCATCTTCTCCCTTCTGTTCACAGGCATTCACTCCTGATAAACACCTTGCACCCAAACTTCAGTTAGGATCTACCTCTGGAGAACCTAACCTTTGTCAGCCTCTCTATCTGATCTTTCATGTTACTTGTCTTTCCCTCCCAGATTCCCTGGAGCAGTGGAGATGAGATGTCTGGTAATAGCCATCAAGTTAATATCTTAGAATTAATGTCATAGAATTTGTAAAATGTACAAAGATTTTCATGTGTAACTTTTCTCTTCATATTTATTCCATCAACAAACACAGTGGGGTAAGACACACTTCCTGTTAGGAGAAGGTAAGCACTCAAGAGGGGCCACTGGCATCTGACTTGGGGCATTGGAGCCATTTCATAGACTCTGAGGGTGGAGATGCCAGAGGGCAGGATCTAAGCCAGAGCCCATTCCGTTTCTGAACCATGGTCAAGAAAGAACAGAATACTGAGAAGATTGCAAGGACAAATGGGAGGGAGGTTGAGGAAAAATGTACAGACCTTTTTTTCCTTCCGCTTTCCCTGGAGGAAAGAAACAGTGAGATTCTAGCAACAGAGATTTGTTTAGGATGACAAAATGGCCTCTGAATTAAAGCTCTACTGCATTGATATAAAGAAAGGACATATTGTCTTTCCATGAATATTCTCTCATACACCGGGCACTCACTGCCAGACACTTGTCTGATTTTGAGGCATTGTCACCATTCACTATTGCCACATGTGTTAATCTCCACTCATGTGGACTGAATATGTGTTTTAAGAGGTCAGGACCATCTGACACATATGAGGAAGTGGCATGAGTTGTACATGAGGTTTAAATTCCTGTGAAGGAATGGTTTTGCCCTTGATCTGTTCCGAACTATTTTTAACATTAATGTCCTATTTAAAAAGGCATCATCTGCCTCCAAAGTAGCTCGGTGGGGCGGCATAGAGCCCCTGGGCAGGCTACGAGGCCCAGAGTGAAGGAGCTGATTGCTATTTATCACACATTACTGCTGGCTCCCAAGGATCAAAACTTTAAGCGCAACTTGGTGGGGAAGAAAGGTTTCCATCTATTCCCTGGTATTGCAACTCTATGATTAATATGACCTAAGCTACCTAATTCTTGGAAAGATGCTAATATAATAATACTTCTTTTTAAAGGTCAAAACTCTGTATTTCTTTCATTAGCTCCATCACGTGTGTCTCCAAGTTGAACACACCTCTGTGGTGTCTCTTCAAACCAGCACAACCATGTTTTGTGGCAGGCTCAAAATACTCTTTTTGTTTCGAAAGAGGCGACATACTGAAAGACACATTTCCAGCCAAATTTACAGACTGCTTCTATCCCACCTTTCTTCCATGCTGCTAAAAAATATAGGATGAGTGCAGCCAGACAGATGCTATAACTACTGTAGGCAAGAAATATAGATTCTAGGTGGGAAGCTACAGACACCGAGATAGAACCATGAAAATGTAACGTGAATGGTTGAGCTTTAACTCAGCAGAAATACTTGTTCTATTTAGTGTTTGTTATTCTCAAATGGTAAATCTTAGAGAAAACAGTTCTAGAGGAAGTGAAACCAGAGGTTTATTATGAAAATGAGCACAGAACTGAAGACGTGTTACGAGTCCCATATAATTGCCTGACGGGGGCATAGCTAATCCAGCACAGCATCAGGCTGAGGCTAGAAGCTGGATTCAGCACAATTTGATCTGTTTTCTTCCCCAAAATATTCTCGTAGTGTTTTGTTTGGGGTGCTTCCATATCACTCTAACATGAATAGTGCCCAGGAATTCTGTTGTTTTATTTAGAGTAGGAACTTTTCTGAGAGAGAGAAAAAAAAATAAATCTGTTTAGTAATAGAACATGTTTTTTTTCCTCTATGCTGTTAGACTAAACTAAGTACACTTTTTCTCCAAAAAGTAGCAAGATAGCCCAGCCTACTTCAGAGTAGGACTGCTATTCATTCATTTATGTATTCATTCATTCATGGATAAAGCATTTATTGAGCTTATATCACAGGGGCTGAGATTATAAAATGAGTAAACTGCAGTTGAATTCCTCAAGGTGCTCCATTGCCTTTGTAGAGTCAAAATCTCCAGTGGTTAATTCCCCAGTTATTTACCCTCTTGTGTCCATGACTTTTCCATGTGACTGTGCAGTAGCTTGCCACTCTGAGCCCAGCCATGTGACATGCATGGCCAATAGGATAACCACAAATATGGAGCAAACAGAGGCTTGAGAAAGGTTGAATGATGGAACTTACTCATTCTTGCTGTCTGCCATCAGCAGGAGAACATGTCTGGGCCACTCTGCTGGAGGATGAGAGACATGGAACTGAGCCATGCTGCCCCAGACATCTATGCTGATGTAGATCCTAGATCAGTCAATAGCCAATCTTCCCCCAGGCATATGAGGAAATCCAGGCAACATCAGCAGAACTACCCAGCTGATTTATAGATTTCTGCAAATCCATGAGTGAATACAGTAAGATCAGCCATGCCCAGTCCAGGCCTTACAGATAATGAGCTAAAGTAATATCATTATATACCACCAAGGTCTGTGGTTGTTATGCGGCTCTGTGCAACTAGGGCTAACTAATGGATCACCCCAAGGGCTCAGTCTAGGACTCTTCTTGCTGTAGAGGCCTCAGCTGACCTTCACATGGGATTCTGAGTAGATCTAAAGCTCTTTACAAATCCTGATATTTTTGCCTTTGAAGCCATCCTGGATTTAAAAGCATCTGACTCACATGTGTTACATATACCATATGCTGCCAAATACACTAAGGGTGTTTTCTCTGGCCAGTATGGTTGTCAGTGAACACTGGCATCTCTTTGTTAGTGGATTTTCAATTAAGCCTTAGCATACAGGACTCTCTTTCCTAACTACAGGCATTGGAGGCCTCCCCCGACCTGTCTACCTCTATCCAGGTCTGGTTCCCGGCCTCAGGCAGCGCTTATCCAAGGGTTTTCTAGAGATCCCCCAGCTTTCATGATGTACAGCAATCTTTTCAGGCTGTCTAGATGACTGAAATAAAGTGCATTTGATTAGCTATGAGCTATTAGTGGTCAAATCACTTCACCTCTCTGAGCTTCAGTTGTTTTATTTATAAAGAGGATGATAATGCTTAACTCAGAGGTGAGAAATAAAGAGATAAGTATATGGAGCGTATACTGCAGTGCTTAGCAAATAGTAAACATCCAAAAGATGACAGCCATGTTAATTCTCTCCACTCTGCCTAATCTTTAGTAATATTGTTCCCATGATGTGCTGGGAGAGGACCCTCGACAAATTATAAGGACCATGGAATTAAAATACATAGAAATGGCCTGCTGGAAAACAGCATAAGAGCAAAGTAAGCAAAATTCCCAGCCCCAGAACCCCTCAAAAGACTTCATCACCATGTTAGAAAGAGGCTTCATTGTGTGCTAAAATGCTGCAAGAAGGGTGTTGGAGGCAGAAGACTTTCAGCATCTGTTCTTCGGAAAATGCCTTACTTAAAAAAAAAATAGATCTGTATCTCTATGTATCCTGAAGCTGTGAGAATACAGCTTCAGATTCTCTCCTTCACCCCAGACATACGTACTCAAAAGTGTGGAAAAGGTTATAAGTATTACAAAGGCATCTGTTTAAGAAGTTATGAGGGGCGTGTAATCTGGGAAGGTGACTTGGTCAGGACTGAGGTCAAAATTATGATGTGCAGGTAGAGAAGTTCTAGCAGGAACCCAAATCAGTTTTTGATCCTAACAGGTCTTTGGGATTTGTGGGTGAAGGTTAACATTTGGCTAACAGTGCTGGGCCATAAAGTTATATTTGAAATGTTGTACAAAGGAAAATAGCACACAAATCTAAAATCCAAAGCTTATAGTTACTTTGGAAACTGGTGTCTTATAATTTCTTACTGTGAAACAAAAATGGAATTAATGAGTTAATTTTAGTTTTGTTCTTGTTTGTTTGGTAGAGGTAATCAATGAGTGAAAGTTATTCCAGAATTGGTTCATATTATTTAAATGAAGATAGAAATGACCTGGACTCTTGGTGTCTGTCAGTGTTCTTATCAAATTGCATGGGGACAGTTACCTTAAGGAATTAAATAGCCACTAAGACATGGCATAAAACATGAACACACAAGTTCATTTCTATAACAGTAATACATTTGGACACTGCATTATTACCTAGGGCTGCCATAACAAATTGCTGTAAGCTGAGTAGTCAAAACAGAAATTTTATCCTGTCACAGTCCTAGAGGCTAGAAGTCCAAAAGCAAGGGGTCAGCAGGGCTGCACTCCATCCAAAGACTCTAGGGTAGAAACTCCCTTGCCTCTTCCTAGCTTCTGTGGTTGCTGAGAATCCCTGGCATCCCTTGTCTGATAGCTACGTCACTCGAATTTCTGCCTCCATCCCCAGATGACCCTCTTCCCTTGTGTGTGTCTCTGGTTCTGTTTGTCCTCTTCTCTTCTTGTAAGGACACCAGCTCATAATAAATTTAGGGCCACCCTAATCCAGTATGACCTTATTTAAACTAATTATATCTATAAAACCCCTATTTCTAAATAAGGTAACATTCTGAGGTTCCATTGGACATGAATTTTTGGGGAACACCATTCAAACTAGTATAGACACCCAAATGGAGATAATGAACAACAGGCTTTCTATCCTGCTTCAAAACAGCCAGGAAATCAGTCAATATTTCTTAAGTGCAGTGCATTGTTTGTCACATTATTTGTTATGTGGGAGAGCTGAGGGTGGTGGATATGAAACGCCTCTGGGTTTTTTTGTTTGTTTGTTTTCTTTTCTCTCTCTCTATCTCTCAATCTCTCCCCTCCCCCCACTGTCTGTTTTGTAAACTATATTGACATCATTCAACTTTCAAGTTGGTGGAAGAGAAACAAAAACAAAAACATATACTTAGCAGAAGATATAGGCATTTGCTATTTATTATGTCTCAAAATAACAGCCAAAGCAAAGCAAAGTTTTAATGGAGAGCACATGTAACAGATGCTTTTTTCATTTCTTCAATTCATCATATTGTGATATTTGTTTTATTAGCAAGGAATGTGTTGGGTGATGAAGAGACTGGAGAGAGAGAGAGAGAGGAAAAGACTGGGCTAAACCGAGTTGACTTTAGATGAAAAAATTTTTAAACCCATATATGCATACACAGTTTATGAGGTTGAGTTACTTAATAGAAAGTAACATATGCCAAATATGTCTGCTTCCTTCCCATTGCTGGTATAGAAAGCAGGAGTTCTGAGTGATTGATTGTAAGCTCTACCACTGAATGTCAATAATTTATCAACCTTTCTGTGTCTGTAAAATGGGGATAATTACACTTGTTCTATCTTTCAAATTCATTGTGAAGATTAAATGTGATCATGGAAATAAAATGAATTTGAATTCTAAAGTAAAAACATATTCTCGTGATTGCCATATACTGTTGGTGCACTTGAATACTGAATGGGTATTCTTGGCAAAGTCTAGGATTTATTGTCTTGTCCAGTTATGTAACAAGAGCGGCCACCATTTATTGAGCAACTGCTATAAAGTGCTGTGTGAGTCACTTTATAAAAACAATTCCTACTGCTCACAATGACTCTGCAAAATAGACTTTGTTGTCCCCATTTTGAACAGAAGTAACTGCAACAAGGTCTAAGTGAGCTCTGCCTGGTCAACTCGTTTTAGCTTCCGAGTAGCACAACTTGCACGTGGCAAGGCCAGGAATTTCTGCCAAAGTCAAGTTGGTTTTTCTTTCTCTCCCCTCCACCAAGATACCCCTGGGATTTCTCTCTCTCTGTCACACACACACACACACACACACACGCACACACACTCACATTCATCTGCATCTTTCTCCCTCTCCCCCATACCAAGCACGTTGAGCAAATTAGTTATTTATTTATTTTTTTAATAAATCAATCTCAACCATTATTAGATGGCACTTGGGCATAATCAAAAAGAATTGTTTGAGAGAATTTTTTGATTTTCATCTGGTTATTAGCAGGCTCTGAGTTTCTGTGGTTCAGTGCAGATGGAATCAAAATGAAACAAGAGTGTTCCACATGCAGTTTTGCAAGTCTAAGTACAACCATTTCCCCTACTTAATCCTCGGCTTAGTGCTGGTGTTCAGTGACGGCAAAAGAGGTTTCCCACTTGCTTCTCTGTTCCAGTTTAGCTAGACCCAGACCACTCAGGAAAACCTGGGGTCCTGCCAATTTCATCTGCCTCTCCTCTGTTGAGAATGGAGTGTGTTAATCTTCTAGTTTACAGAAGATAGAATTCAGGAAGATAGCATTGATTTCTAATTACTTTTTATCCTGTCCTTTAACATTTTCTGTTTGATAATGCTTTGTAATATATCTAATCTAGTAGTACAATTGCAGAAATATTGGAGATGTGTGCTCGAAAATATTTTACTGATGGACAATATGATTTAAAACAATTTTAAAACCACTGAACCGGAGCAGTAGAGGCATTTCGCTCCATCCTTGGCTTGGACTGGTGTTTTTAGAATCCTTGGCATGACCTATTTTGTTTGTAAACTCTATGAGATAGTTCTTTGGGTTAAAGAAGGCCAGAATGGCAATGACACTTCATTTTTTTTTCCTTCCTGATCACGTAGCCGGTTTTGCCTATGAAAATGAGTTAATGTACTAAATGCCCCATTGCCCATTCTTCATGGTTTACCCTGGTCATAACTGTGCAAGTGGGCTGTATCTCAATGATGGAGGAATTGACAACAATCAAAAAGCAGCTCAGCCTCAACTCTCCTTTCTGATATAGCAACCAAAATCATGGCACAGAATCACAGAAGCTCAGGGCAGGTAATAACCAGATAATGTTGAAAATTTCACTTAAGCTATTATTTTTTATTAAATCTATGTAATAATATCTAATAATAATTGAGATGAACTTATTTAAACCAAATGACTAATGTTTAATGCTCACTTTTCTAGTTAGTGACCGTTGTGACTCCTCATGTGACCCTAAGTCACCTTGGCTTCACCTTAATTTCCTAAACAGGCATGCAAATTCTGTTCATTATGCACAAAGCTCTTTTTTGCAATGGTGAGCATTGTCTCACCACCTCTTGACTTTTGTTAATCTGACAGCCACACAGTCCTTTCTTGGGGAATATTGCAAAGTGTCTTCAATTCAATTGCATTTCTGTGGTCGTGGGGTTTTATATAATTACAGAAGTTCTGTAGTTGATTTGAATGTTATATCCCTGTTGTGGAATTACGTTTGGACTTTATCCTAAAGGACAGGGAAGGGATTGTGTTTGTTTTGTTTGAACATTTCTTGTCACAGGACTATGTTGGAGACAAACCCCAATGACACAAACATTCAAACACCACCTTCAGATGTAATATTGATTTATAAAACAACAGTGCACAGCTGCCAAGCTTCGCTCTTGAATACAGAGGGTCTTCAATTCCCAACAAATTACTGGCATTTCTACCAATTTACAAATTAGAGTTTCCTCAGAATATCTCACAGTTCTTAATATTCCAGTCACCTTCCTTTTCAGCCTTCTCTCTTGAAATCTGTGTGTGGGGAGGAGGGAGGAGGGAGAAAGTAGAGCATTTGTAAAATTGGAGTTAAAAAAATCTAGATCAACTTTTATCCTTAGGCAAATTATGCACAGAGTTAAATTAAACCACTATATGTACTTGTAGATTGAAGAATCAGAGGTGGAGGAGGGGTCAGAGACACCGAGATCAAAGTTTCTGTTCTTTGAACAAAATCCCTTTGAAAAGCCCCCCATGCCACCTATCCTGCTTGTTAATGTTTTGACTGGGAGTGTCTAGCCGTGTCATCGGCAGCAGAATATTTTTAGTACCATATTTTATTTTATTTTCTGTGTGCAGCTAGCTCTACTTAGCAAAGCACCAGATCCTTTGCCAGCTCTGTTCTATGTCTCTTAGGGGAATATTTTTGTTAATTGCAAATATTTGATTGACAAACATAGGATGCAATTAGTAGTCAGGCACAGTAGGAATGTGCAGTGAACTGGATCCCTGAACCAACGGATCTCAACTCAACTCTCTCAGCTTGATCTGAAATCGACTAGAGCATTTCAACCATATGTTTGCCTCAAACTTTCTCTTTCCTATGAATGTTGCTTATTTCCCCAAACTAGCTTCTTTTCACCTTGGCTCACTGAGGGAGCTAATTCCTCTATGATCAAGCCAAATGAAGAAAGAAAATTCTTCACAAGTTTCAGTCTGGTGGGGCTATTTGACCATGGCTGTAAAAATTAATGTGGACAAAATTACACATGCCAGTTGTTTCTCTCCAAAGCCCTAGGTGGAAAAAAGAATCTAATCTCTTCTGAATTCAGACATTTTATTTTTCATAGCTATTTAAAACAACCTGGCAACATCTGATTATCTTTATCAATTACATTTTGCTTCTTTATGCATATAGCAAGATGAGCTGTTTGTTCTGTCTTACTGCAGTATGTGAAATAAATTTCTGTTTTCAAAATATACCATTTATTTTAAAGGTATTCTGTTTGCCACAAATCAATGGGAGGAACTGGAATCTGATGCTATCAGATATTCTGAACTTCCTTCCCCCTTGAGAAATTAATTAAAACTCACAAAATTTGAGGGGAAAGAGCAAACTTCAAAGCCTTAAGTACCAGCTTTAAAAAGTCTTAAGAAAATGTACGCTGTTTACCCACATACATGATGTAAAAAACAAAGTTGAAAACAAAAAAAATAATGTAGTCAAATTGGGGTTGTGGCTCTAAAACAGCAGTTCTCAATTTTTTTAACTCGTTGATGCAGTTCTCATGTTATTTTAGGGGGATGAGATATACAATATGAGTTGCTCTCTCTGAAGGATAAGCAAAGAGTTATCAACATTGTGGGTAAAGAGATAAGACATCTCTCAAAGCTGGAGGAGAGCATACTGTATGCTTACGAACATTCTGCAAGTTCATGGCAAATGATGTGGGGCCTTCAACGAAGATGGGGAACCTGAAACCCAGGGAGATTTTAAATTAGTTCAAGGACACACTGGAAGTGCTCGGTGATATGGAAATATAGGGCAGGAATCCTGACATGCAGCCCATGAAACCAGAATGCTTGTCAAGTCTGTCAATTATAATGTGCCACATTCCAAATAAAGCTTTAAAAATGGGTGTCGCAAGGCTGCAAGGCACTGCTGTGGTTCATCTTGACCATCCTCCTGCCTCTAGAAAAGCTGTGATTAATTTTTTAAAACTAGCAGTCTGCTTCAAACATACAAATAAAAGGTGTTCTTCATGTTTAGAATTTAAATAAAACCATAGTAGAGCAAACTAGGAATTTGGAAAAATAAGAAAACAATCTCGTGTTCTCTTGTTTTTCTCTCTCTCTCTCTTTATTTCTTCCTTCTTGGAATGATGATCCTAAGCTCAGTGACCATGAAACTATTGGGATGGATCTGGTTTACTGCGTAGAGCACTGACACAGCAGCTCCTTGGGTGTCTGTGTGCCCTGTGGCTTTTGCCATTAGTCAAGGCATTGTCTAAGCTGATCACATCAGCTAAGGTCCCCTAACTCACGTAAGCTCACCATATGCCTGGATGCCATAGATCCTTGGAAATAGACAAGTTTAGAGGTGGAAGGATCAGGAAGAAAATGTACCCATTCAACAGATGAGACATCAGAGGCTCAGCAAGTGGTGACTGTTTTGAATAACTTGAAGTAATACCAAAGCCAGCTTCTGAATGGTGTAATGGTTTGAGCTCTGCAAGCCTGGAAGAGTATGAGGCATGGGGGAGAAATCAATGAGAAGAATAAATTGAAGCAGCTACACAGATAGATTTGACTGATCTAGTGACAGCTTTCTGAGATGAACATTTTGTATGTGGGGAGGCGGGGCTTGTGAGGGAAGGACGGTGTATATTTTTTCGAGTAGAATAGGATAACACCTCAGATGATGAGTCCATAACCTCAAATTTTATGATAGGAAATCAGATAATGCACTGGATACTGTTGTTGGATTTCTAAGGTATATATTTCCCTAAATGCTGCCTTCAGAGAAAACTAGTGGCCCTCAGGGAATCAGGTCTCTTCTCAGAATTTCCTCGTTTGTCTCAGTTTGCAGTTCGTTCGCTAATGCTGTGGCCTGTAAGTGAGCTCACATCTGAGATTGTAAAGGCTTGTGTAAGGGGATTCTTCTCTTTTTTTTATAACTCTTAGTAGGGACTCTCTGCCACTCTACCAGAGACTGGCAAATGTAAGTGTGCACCAGAAGCACCTTCAAGGCCTATTAAAATGCAGATTGCTGGGCTCCACCCTCAGAGATTCTGATTTAACATTTTTGAGGTAGGGCCCCAGAATCTGCATTTGTATAAAAGCTCACCGATGCTACTGATGCTGCTGTTCCAAGGACCACACTTTGAGAAACACTGCTCTTTATATAGAAGCAATGTTCAGTGTATGCTATTGACTGAAAAATCTTTATGTTCACCTGTATAAAAAAAGATAAGAGTTGGAGAACAAAATAATATTGGCAGGTACCAGCTGCTCAATAAATATTTTTGATCGATTGAGTTGAGGATTGATGTTACTCTCCATTTGCTTATATTGCTCAAAACAAATTATGAAGTTGAGTAAATTCCAAAACTTTTTTCTCTGTCAGCCATATCCCAGGCTGTGTTCAAATATCATTATCTAATATTTTTAAACCTTAGTTTTCTCAGTTTTAAATTGGGGGAAGTAGGGATATTGTGGAGGAGTAAATAAAATAACTTTTGTTACAGTTCTTCTTAGCAGCGTGCTGTAGTGTAAACATACTCCTTTGTCTTACATAGCTATTGGTGAAAATACGTTTGCCAACTGGGAGGGGCCCTTCTTCTCTTTGAAATGAATTGGGAGGCATTCTTTAAGAAGTGCATCTTAAATTATGCCTCAGTATCCAATGATCTAAATGTGAAGAAATCTACAGGTAGCCTGTTTACTAATATGATTCCATGTGAAAAAGAGCATAGAAATCCTCTGTACTAAAAAATATTTCTATTAGAACATTTGAAGGAATTAATCAGTTTGTTTTAATTTATGGGGAATCACTAAATGGTTTAATGGGCTAGCACATAATGAATAAATAATGGAAAACCTTCAAAATCAGGACACTAAGTGGCCCAGATGTTCATCAGCTGTTTTGTAAGCATATACACCTGTGGCTTAGTATTCAAAAGTTAAGAATATTTATGTTAGTTTTCTAACAAAAATATCTTTAAAAAAATTTAAATATAAGTAAATAAAAAGAAAGCAATATGAAAAAAAAATTCGGAATAGATTTACATTCCTTGATAGTCTTTGGGTCAGATGCTTATACCTTTGGTTCTTTATATAAATAAAAATAAAGGATTCTTATTTTCCAGATAAGTTTTTATCTCCACATGAAATTAGAAGTAGATGACTCAGTTCTAGGTAACAAATATATTATTTACATATTTATTTTAACTTATATGAAAATTTACAGAGTTCTTACTATGTTCCTGGTGTTATTTTAAGTGCTTTATGAATATGAAGTCATTTAATCCTCATACCCCACGAGATGGGTATAATTGGTATCACCCCCATTTAACAATTAAGAAAACTGAGGCACAAATAAATTAAGAAAATTGCCTATAGTCACATAGCTAGTAAACAGCATAGCAAGGATTTGAACCTAGGTGATCTGGGACTGTGTTCCTGCTCATCCTACACTACTGTCCCAGCGACCCCAGTGACAAATACTGGACTGGGCGATGTGATGCGATGTATAAGTGGCACACCTTCGTGGAATTTACAGTCTCACTGGGATTACAAACACAACAGCATTCGTTAAAATTCAAGTGCTAAAGGACAAGTGCCAATATTTATGGTGTGTAGACAGAGGCCACAAACTAGAGAGCCCAAGATAAAATCTGGCTTGTGGATATGTTTTGTTTGGCTCATACAACATTTTGAAATTTTTGAGCTAATGGCTTACAATGAAAAATTATATAAATATTCCAGATTTTTAGTCATTAAAAAACACACAAAACTTAAACATTCACTGTGCCCAAATTTGGCATGAAACAAACAGATGGCACTAAATTCTCTCCTATTTGCTCCAGTCTCTGACATTCACACAATGTATATGTATGCATTTTTATCAGATGCATGCCATTCATTTATTTTTCTTGCTGAGTTCCTGAGTTGACCCATATATGTGTCCTGAGAAAGGGGTGTTGGATGTCCGGGGGACAGCTATTGCCTGGAATACTTGTAGAAGTTTCAGGAAGAAAAGTTATTTGCACTAAACTTCAAAAGAGGAGGACAGGTGGTTGTAACAAGATTGCAGTGAGCCTTCTGATTCTTTCTGACACCCTAGAGTGTATCTATACAAAACAACTCTTCTAAATTCAGCCAAAATAATGAGTAGATGTTGCAGTGTTCTGACACTTACTTTTGTAGTGGCTACCATTTGACTAGCCAAAATATTCTTGCCTCATTGTTTATTCACTGTAGTAGTATTGCTAGTCTCACTTCTCTGAATTAGAAAGAAAGCTCCTTCTAAGAAACACACTACACAGAGACAGGGATCTGTTTGTCTTGATCAATACTAAACTTCTAGAACCTAGTGCTGTGTCTGGAATGTTGTAAGAGCTCAATAATGTTCTAGGAAAAAAAGACAACTGAGAAAGACAAAATAAAAAGAAAGAAGAAAGGGGAAAGGAAAGAAGGAAGGAGAGGGAGGGAGGGAGAAAGGAAGGAAGGGAGGGAAAGAGAGAGAGAAAGAGAAAACAAAGCAAGGCATCTGATGACTTCTCTGCGAGTTCTCTTCCTCACTAAGTGTTAGTAATGGCCATTGCCGATATACATCCAGGAATAATAGTACAGGAACTTCGTGGGAATTTTCAGACTGTACAAGCTCTTTCTATGTTTGGTAAAGGTCAAATTTGTAACTCGTTTAAAGAATCAGGTAGAGCCGTGATTTATCAAAGTATATTCCCTAGATGGCCCACATTGGGAAGGCATGCTTGCTGTGAATGTAGACTCCCATGCTCCCCCAACCCTCCATGATCTAATGGCACACAGGAATTATGTATTTGTGCATGCCAGGTAATTCCTTTGCACCTTCAATTTTGCACACCAAATTTTGGTGGAAGTACCCTTAGGTGGAGAAGGTCTTAGCAACCTGTAATTTGAGCCTGCAATCACAAGGTTCACACAATCTGATTAAATTCAGTTGAGTTGAAAATTATACAGTTAATTTTGAATAGATGCTACATCAATCTGACACTTCTTGATTAAGCTGAATTTTTACCTGACTGGTGGGTGCTTTAGTTAATATAAGTTTATGTGCTGCCATGTATCTGCCAAAGTGTCACTAAAATTCTCTAGACACAGAATTTGGGAATTGGTTGTTTTATTTATTCATTTGTTATTATTTTAACTAGGTTGATTTAATTACGAAGTATGCAAACTACAAAAGTAACAAAATTCTATTTTGTTTGGTTGATACTGTGGTTTAAACAAGTGAATTTAGGCTGGGCGCTATGGCTCACGCCTGTAATGTCAGCACTTTGAGAGGTCTAGGGGAGGGTGGATCACTTGAGCTCAGGAATTCGAGACCAGCCTGGCCAACATGGTCAAGCCCCATCTCTACTAAAAATATAAAAATTGGCTGGGCATAGTGGTGTGTGCCTGTAATCTCATCTACCTGGGAGGCTGAGGAATGAGAATCGCTTGAACCTGGGAAGCAGAGGTTGCAGTGAACCGAGATTGTGCCACTGCACTGCAGCCTGGGTGACAGAGTGAGATTCTGTCTCAAAAATAAATAAATATGAGATGAAAAAAAAAAAAGAATGAATTTAGACGTCCTTATGAACATGCTCTGCCCAGTTTGGCCACAGGCTCCATCACTTCCCATTATATTTCACCAGGTTGTATTACACACTGATGGTACTAGCTCAAGTATTTGGGCTTGCAACCTCAAAAACCAAAATAAAACAAAACAAAATAATGAGCTGACAGCTCTACTCTACTCTGTATGGGATCCCAAATCCAACCATCCCTCACCACCTCCACTACCACCACCCTAGCCCAAGCTATTATTATCTCTCACCTAAAGTAATGTTATAATCTAATTATGGGTCTTTCTGTTTCTCTCACTGTCATAGCTCTATGTTCTCTACACAAAAGCCAGCTCAAACAGCTCATAACCCTCTCATAGCTTCCCATCTCATTGGAATAAAATCCAACAATTTTACCATAGGATTCATGCATGCTGTTTACAAAATATTTATAGGTCTCTGCATAGTGGACACATGGTAGAATTGTGCTCCCTGCCCACACACACCTGTCCCTTCTCTCCTCCTCCGCCATCATTGCATGTGGTTATATGACTAGATCTGGCCAGTGAGTTGTTTGTGGAAGTGCTATGTGTCCTTTCCATGCTGGAACATTAATTGCTGATATGAGATCTTTCAGAGATGTCTTTTCTCTGATAATATGTTTGGCAGTGATTTTGACAGTGGTTTCTCTGCCCATCTGTTTCCTGGGATGAGGATGACACAGTGCAGAGCCTCCAACCTAACTGTGGTAGACATGATGTGAGCAAAAAATAAACCTTTCATGTTTTCAGCCGTTGAGATTCAGGGTTGTTTGTTACCATAGCATAGTCGGGCATATGCTGACTGCTACTCTGACATTTGTCTACAAGGCCTATGTGAGCCAACCTCCACCTATCTCTCTGACTTCATCCCCATCCTCTTTTATCCTCTCCCCTTTTGTTTGGCTCTATTTGCTTTCCTAGTGAATTCCAGCTTTCTGCCCAATACTGGGCCTTTGCACTGTTTATGGATGCATCTTTCCATGTTCTCTTACTTCATCCAGATCTTTGCTCAAAAGTCTCCTTCTTAGGGGGAGCATCCCTGACTACAGATCTAAAACAGCACCCTTTATTATTCTATTCTTATCCTGTTTATTTTTCTCTATGTCTGAGATAGTTTTCCTTTATGATTTTACTTTTTGCTTCTAAAACTGAAGTATAAATTCCTTGAGGGCAGGGACATTTTGTTCACAGGTGTTTTCCCAATAGCATGAGCAATGCCTGGGGTAGATAGTTAATAAATATTAATATTTGATGAATTAATGAGTTATTCATTCTTATCACACAACTATCATTCTTCTCATCCGAAAGTATGGCTTAACATGACCCTCAACATACTCTACAATGTTATGTTATAGTTTCAGAAGTAGAAAGCACAATATATTTTATTTTCTCACCATAATGGTAGGTTAATTCACTTAAATGTTCTCATCTAAGGTGTTAAGAGAAAGCATCCTAACAATAAATAATGCCTTTGAGGCCAATGGGCTTGACCTTTGGGTTTCTCAGGTAGTTTACAGTCTCATAGTTGTTTCTTATGTGAAAATAATTCCAGAAGGAACTATGAGAACTGGCATGCACTGAAAGGCTGCACATACAGTTGAAATCCTTCATTCTTCTCAAAAGTGAATCTGGGTATCATTTATCTTGGAGGCATTGGCAGAGTTTTGCTTGGTCATACAAAGTTTATTGATTCTTTTCTAGCAGCCTTGCTTGAAAATTAATATGGAATTTAAGCAATGACCTCTTCTAGAAATAGTGAACACGTAATTTTTTATGCTGAGCCTTCTGAGCATCTAGTAATGGAGTATGGGTCACACTGAAATAGAAGCTTCACTTTCTAACCTGAATTTTACACAATACAATTTTACTTATAAAAGACAGCACATCTCAGTAAACTCTAGAAATATAAATTTGTGATTTCTTCCTACTTAGAGTCAGCCATACAATACAATTACCATGAGAAGATTGCTTTAAACATGCAATTATAAACATGGCATGATTCTATAAATTACCTGTAATTTATTTATAAATCTGCTGCAAGGGCTAATGTTTAACACATGCAGATATTTTTTTATGCTCCTTTTCCCTTCAGTTCTGTCATATCATTAGATAAATATACTTAATGAGGGTTTATTATGGAAATAAAATAATCTAAACAGTATTATATGGTCTACCGTATTATGAAAGAGTGATTTTAAAAGCCTATTAAAGTCCCTGCTTAGGCTTGTCCAAGTTAGCATAAGTGAGGAATGATAACCTAGAAGAAAATTCCTATTTTGATTATTCAATCAAGTATATTCTCTTGTATTATTCAATCAAATCTGCAGTTTTCTCTTTCTGCTACTCGATGTCTATAAGTTACATTCAGATAAAACCATAAAAGTCAAGAGACTAATTTCTTCTTCATGGTCTGTCTATGGTATTAAAAAGACCAGGTTTTGAGTCAACTTTTTCACCCACCAAAAACACAGGAGAGAAACACATATCCCTTACAAAAGACTACTGTAAGTTCTAAGCATCAATTCGCTTTTTAAAAAGAAATATGTTAAGTATTAAATATTTGTAGCTAGATTTTGCAAGTTCTGTATATAGCAGGAAAATTTGTTGTGATATTATAGTCAAAGAGATATACTTTAACCTTGCTGACAATGAAATGCTTCCATTTTGATTCGTAAAATGGGATTCCCCTAGTAAGTGAGACACAGAGGGTAATTCATGACATTTTTGGATCACAGAAAGGTCTTTCTTACATATCTAATCCCAATCCATGTGACAAAATTTACCCACTCTACTGTGCCCTCCAAAGAAAACAAACATTAATCAAGCTCTCCCCACTAAATCTCCCCAGAACTTGAGTTCTGGGGTCCTACCCTAATCATCTTTAGATCCTTAGTACCCAACTGCACCCTTCACCCACTAACTAACTATTTGAGGTATTCTATATATAATGATAACACAAGTAAGCTAGCACCAGAAAGGTGTTAAAACAAATGTAAAGGAGAACTCAAAACAATTCTACCAGGATCCCACACAGTATGTATGCATTTACATGTACAAATAGAAATGACTGGAGAAAAGTAAGGAAAACGCGATGTTGGAAATGCTGTATCTTTCTACATAAGTAACACTGATATGTGTATCGTCCACAAGGTATTAGGTACCCCATAGTTACAGCATCTGGACAGGCGACTGTATTTTTCTGTTACTTTTCTCATAGTCTTCAAAGGGCAACCTAGCACAACAGTTTTCAAGAAAACTCCCTCCTCCTTTTTTTATTTTTAATCTTTTTTTAAAGGCAAATGCTGCACTACCTCCCCCGAAATAAATTATACTAACAAACAATTTCAACAACCTCAATATATGAAAAAGATAAAAGTAAAGGTGGAAGAGTCACTGTGCTGATTTCTTTTTACATACCGCATATGGCAGCCATCATGGCAATGTTTAAGGCCATTACAGAGAACTCGAGGGCTCCTAGTTAGAAAAGCAGTGACCCAGATCCATAGGAAATAGATATTTTTCAATTGCACTAGACAGATGCATATATATCGATGTTGCATTCACTAAATAAATATATAAAGATATAAATTGACTATATATGTATATATATACACACATATACTCACACACACATATATATATATCTATATGATAGAGACCATAATTTGGTTCCATATTGTGATTGTGGAAAACAAGTGGTGATATATTTTTCCTCTATTGGACATATTTTCAGAATCATGCCTGGGGATTTATATGCATACCCTGTGCCATTTATAACAGTGCTGCAAATAACGAGGATTATGCTCATTAGCAAACATTGCCACTTTTTTGAAGGGGATGCTAGGCAGACATGGCTGAAATGAAAGTCTTTTTTAGACAGAAGCGACAAACCTGGAAATAGGAATCTATATCTTGGTCCTGTGACTGTTTAGTGCAGTGTTTCATGAGCTAAAAAAGAGAGAGAGAGCACAAGAGAGAAAAATGGTGCTTTGTATAATATCTTACAAGCACCGCAAAGAAATCTGATGTTCATCTTAAACAGGCATAGCTATGATTTTGCCATCTAGTTTCTCAAAAATATTCACTGTATCTAAAGAACTTCTATCTTGAAAAAGGGGAAAGGGGAACTTAACCAAACGTTCTTTTGAAAAATCTTTTCTCTCTACTGGCAAGTTTGGACAAATAATTGACATGAAGAGAAGATAGCTTTTTGTAAGAAATTAAAACTTCGTTATTAAGTTGCCCTTCAATTTTCTCAATCCCCATTTTACCCCATTTTCTCATCTGTGTAGCCTGTGTTGCGTTTGCGGTTGTTTTTCTTAAGGATAATTTTTGCTTCTAAATACTGAGAAAGAATAATCAGGTGCTTGAGAAGTGGTGTCTCTGCTCATCTCCCCACACGTGACTGCTTTCTGTCTGGTGCTTTGTCATGGTGCCTCCAGAACAGACTTCCTCAGCTTCCTTTGTTATCCTCTCCTGATAAATAAACAGCACAAAATTACCGAACTTATTATGGTAATTGAGAGAAGGGAACGGAATGCCGAGCCTGCCCCGCTATCTGTTACGCTGCCATTGCAAAAGTTGGGCAAACCTGTGCCAAACCTCAGCTGATAGTGTAACATCAGCCCCTCTCCTATGCGCCCCCCTTTATTGCCGTAGCCCCCCACCCTCCACGATGATTGCTTTCTGTCCATCTTGAGCTGGGTGTCACTTCGTTTAGATTTACATCAAGTAGTAAATTAAAATAATCACTCAGCAAACACTCTGAGCTCAGTTTTCTCTTTCAGTCAGGAGTTGTGCGAGCTGCTCGAAGCATTCAAGCAGAAAATATTGCTGTCTAGATATTTGTCCTCTGGGTGATAAAGGAGGCATTGTCTTGGGACCCACTCAGGCCTCGGAGCCGATCGTCGCTGTGCATCACAGCTGTGAAGTGCGCTTTGTTATGTGTCTGAGGATTCGGGTTCAGGACCTTGTTTTTCTTGAAATACCAGACTGATCAGAGCTGCATATGTTCGGGGGAAATCAGGGGTCGGTGGTTCTCTGTCCACATTTTTACTAGATTATTCTTGGACAGAACTCTGGGAAAATACCCTGCAGCATAAACCATCCCAAGAGTTTTGCTTTGTTTTAATTCATTTTCTTTCTTTCTCTTTCTTGCATCTTTATTTTTTTTCCCTCCATATTCTGCATTGTTACAGTCCTGGAAAATGCTGGAGTTTATCTGCATGAGTCAGAAACAAAGGCTTACGGCATTGCTGCTTCCTTTTGCTTTGAACCTGGTGCCATAATGTACTGAGTTATAAACCTGCTTCTTTGTGTTCTCATTACAGTACATCTATCTGCCCATTTGGAAATCAAAATGCAGAGTTCAGTCACCTGGGATGAAATATAGAGTGGGCTAAAGAGGCTTTTCACCATTTGCAAATGATCAGTGAGATCTTGAAACAAAACAAGGAGTTGATAGGAGAAAACAAATCGGAAATTTTGCTCTGAATGAGAATTTTTTTAAAAAGATAATTATCACTTGTAAATCTTAAAGTCATCACATTTTTATTTCAGCTATTTTGTAGGTATGCTATTGCTAAGAGTGTGAAGAAGTGAAATATTTGTTACTCTAAGTAGTGACAGAAAAACATTAAATGTTAAGGAACATGGTTGCAGGCGTAGGAATGAAAATTGAAATTTTTAGTCAATTATCTAAATTTTTACAAATAGTTCTGCATGCTTGGCTTATTGACTACTCTTATCAATTTTTGGCTAGAAATTTGGCATCGTGCTATATTTAAGCCAAGCTAGCTACAGTGAATGTGCTATTTGATATATTCCTTATGTCTGTGCTCTGGCTAAATATACATTTTTCAATTATAAAATTCTCCATTCCTACATAGAAAGAACATTACTATTATAAGCCAAAAAGAAATAAAGGAATGGGATGGACATGTATGTATTACAGGCACATATATATGGTCATGTGCATGATGTACTCATGAATGAATGATTTCATGTTCTTGAATTAAATGAGTTCCCCTTAGGGATGTTTTCATGGTGACCCCACTGCAACCAGCTGCAAAGCTTACCCTTTCGACCACTGTATCTATAGGAACCAGAGGTGCCATTAAAACCAGCAATGCTAAGTCCTTAGATTATGCCAATGAAAATAAATTTATTCACCAGAGTAAAATCACAGATGGCTTCCAGTCATATATTGTGGTTTGTGATGTTTTATGTCCAAGTCCCAATTTAGTTCATAAATATAGGTAAAAGGAACCAAACTAGAAAATTTGGTTCTGATTTTCCTGGGCTCCAGAGCCAGAGTCTTATTTAATTCCCCTGTCTGTCACTGATAGCTGAGTAACCTTGAGTAAATTACCTAGTCACTCTGATACCTCAATTTTTCCATCTGTGCTTTGGAAATATTATTAATAGGCACCTCATAAGTAAGTTTGTTAAAATTGTTTAATGAATATTAAACATATTAAATGCTTAGAATGATGTCTGGCACATAGCTAATATTCAAAAAATATTTTATTAGTGATAATGATGATGATAATAATGATAATAATTTCTACAACAAGAAAAAAGGTAACACTTATCTAGGAAACACAACTAAGGTGGAATAATAGATTTGTCCTACTCTTCCAAGGTTGGTATACACATTAATATTAGGTTGTCCTGGGGCTGGGTGAGGTGGCTCACACCTGTAATCCCAGCACTTTGGGAGGCCGAGGCGGGTGGATCACCTGAGGTCAGGAGTTTGAGACCAACCTAACCAACATGGTGAAAACCCATCTCTACAAAAAATAAAAAAATTAGCTGGGTGTAGTGGCACGTGCCTGTAGTCCCAGCTACTCGGGAGGCTGAGGCATGAGAATCACCTGAACCCAGGAGGCAGAGGTTGCAGTGAGCCAAGATCGTGCGGCTGCACTCCAGCCAGGGTGACAGAGTGAGACCCCCATCTCAGAAACAAAAACAAACAAACAAACAAACAAACAAAAATTAGGTTGTCCAGAATAAGAGTCACCGTTTAACCATTTACTAACTGTGTGCATAGGCAAATTATTTTATTTTCTATGTAATAAGATAATAACCGGTTACTGTGGCTGTTGTAAAGATGAAAATAGACCGTACACATCACTTGCTTAGTACCTTGTGTGGCCAGAAGGGCTGCTCCTAAGTTGTGTTATTCTCCAGGCCAAAAATTAAAAAAGGTCTCCTTTTTTATAACCAGTTTGATTTAAAATAATATTACAAACCTCAAGAGCCAGTTATTAAAAATTTAGAGAAAAGGGTAGAGAAGAAAATCTTACATATTTTTTCTTGTGTAATTAACGTGTGTGAAAGCTTTTCAGTGTCCAGGCACCATCTGTTCAGGTGCAAGAAACTTCTCTTTATGTTTTTTCTTTTACTTTTTGATTTTCAGAATTACCGGGTCTGACTAAATCACAACTCCCACTGTGAAAAAAGCTAGCAATGCTGATATTACTTACTCTGCCATGACTCTTCAGAACTTGTATATATTGATATAATATTGATGATCTTGCTTCTGAGCTTCCCTAGTACCATTTTGTAAAAGTCTAGTTATAATAGGACTTGTGTCACTTCATCATCCATTGCACTGTTTGTAGATATTGGTTTCCAGTAATTCTCTCAAAGGCTGTTTTTGTGCTTCATTGATGATGACCACGATTGTAAGTCTTACCCAGAGGATGCAGAAAATGTGAGGAATAACTTATTCCCTGATCATGTTAAGTTTACCGTTCAGAATTCTATAGCATACAAATAGAAACAATATATCTTCCAACCATGCTTTCTCATGAACTAATTGGGCTGTAACATTGCATTCCTAGAATGTGATCTCTTTCAATGTTGTCTGCATCCGTACCTTCCACTCACTTCCACTAGCTAGAAGGGTAGAAAAGGAGGAAGGCACTAAGTGAGAAAAATGGTCCTATTTGTACAAAAAAGTCTGTCCTTTGACCAGCATGGCCTAAATCTATCCAGAATTTCATGATGTGACCACATCAATTGGAGGCAATAAAGAACATTAATGGGAAGGCCCCCTTACTGTGTGGAGCAGTGGTCTTGGAAGCCTCAGGGGAGATAGTTGCAGCCACCTGGTAGATTGTCTAAATATGGTACAGAGCCTGCAGAAGGAATAGGATGACTGTTCTGGATGCCAACAGTAACGGTCCCATGAGTAAGTGATGTCTGGGGTTACCTCCACTCCCTCAGGTGCTGTAGCCTGAAGCCAGCACTGTGATTGGTCAGAACATGGGTGGATAAGCATGGATCACACATAGTTCAAGCTCAAGGCTGGCAGTGGACTATAGGTAGTCCAGAGTCCTAAACTCCTTCTGTGTCTGATTTGAAAGTCATACAAAATCAGCATGTCAGCACCATTATGACATGATACTCCTAAAGAAATACTGTACCGGCTAGCAGGAAAAATACATTCACCAGGTCACTTTCCTGGAACCAGATGTCCATGTGGCTTCAGGACAACCCCACAATGATCCCATAGGCTCAAGCTGCAGAGGTCTTGGGGCATCTGGTTGGCCCCATAAGTGCAGAAGTGAAATGGGGTGTCAGAGCACCCCAAAGGAAAAGGATGAGTCAGGACTCACAAGAATCTGTATCTGAGTTCTGTTAGACCTGCTCACATGCTACCTGTGCCCAAAGAGAGACTTAAATAAATTTAAGAAAAATTTGAGACTTAAACATTTTTTGACGAATTGGAGTTTCTTTTAGCGTGGGAAAGAGAAGGAAGGAAAGAATAGGTATACAAAGCAGAGGCAACAGCCTGAGCACAACAGAGTGGAATGCAAATGGTCTAGTTTTTGAGGGAAATGCAGGGGCCAGTAGGGGCACTGAAGTAGGTGCAGATTGAGATTAGAATTGAAACAGAAAAGTTACATGGAGATCAGGTTTTGAAGAGCTTTGAGTACAAATTATATCCCTATATATTTAAGGGGCTTACTTTATGCCAGGCTCTGAGCCTTAGAGACATTATTCCAGGTTTTGGGGGGAGAAGAGTAAATTGTTGAAAGGTTTTCAAGCAACACAGTGATCTGTGTTTTTGAAAGATTCCACTGGTGGAACTTTAAGGGTTGGATAACAGTGGATGAGACCATGAAAAAGGAGATTAAAGAGCTATGATCTTTAATTCATCACTTCTGGAGAGTGATGAAGAGAACCTCAATTAGGATAACAGAATGAGAATGGAGAAGAGGGAAGAATTCATTATTCTTGTAAAGGTAAAGTCAGCAAAATTTGAAGACAATTGAATGGGTGCTGGAGGAATAGACTGGTCACTTAATGTCTCTATAACTATGATATCTGTTCATTAATTTAGTTCATAAAATTTTGTGAAGCGATGTGTCTCCAAGTGCTAGGCCCTGTGTAGGAAATACAGAAGATAGAGGAGTTCTGATCATGATGGGCTTTCAGAGGTGGGAATCACTTCCATGTTAAATATGCAGAGAGCTGGGCCTCTCCCTGAGCAGGCATGGGTTCCAGAGTCCAAGGATTTGTGTTTTTAACAATTGCCCCAAGTAACACTTTTCATCATGAGAGTTTGGGAAATTCTTCACAAAATAATGCATTTGGTTTTGGATGTGTTAAGATAATCTACATAGAGAGAAATTATACATGAATGCAGATATAGGATATTCTACTACATTCACATAAGCATCATAGGCAGAAGATGTTAAAAGGAGGTTTGCTAAGCTACTCTACAAGGTAAAACAAATAGAAGAAGCTAAAACCATAAGGAATAAGCTCTCTGGACAGTGTACCTCTCTGGCACTGAGAAATGGGGCTGGAAACTTCTGCCAATAGAAATGTCTCGTTCGTTGACTGACAGATTGACTCAGCCTCCCACCCAAATCCAGCTTCAGGCTTTAGTATCAATTATGGTGATTGATATTGTGATTTTTTGTTTTACAGTGCAGTGCCTGCTATGAAGCACACACAATGCTTATCTGCTGCTCCATTGGAAAGCCAATAGCAAAGAAGGGAAAGGACCTTCTGATTGGAGAGTGGAGGAGTGAGTTAGAAGATGGTTTTATGTTTACTGCAATGCCCTTTGTCCTCATCAGAACTGTGAAGTGGAATTTGATTTTGATGCACTCTTTAACAAGGATGCTTTGTGTTATCCATGCAATCCCCTACTACTCTGAACCATAACATACACATGCTACATCCCAAAAGCCAGAACCCCCAAAAATGGGTTGTTCCTGGTTTCAGCTTCTAAGATCTAGCTTTCTTTCTCTCAGAGTCTCATTTATCCTTTTCTCCCAAAGGCAAAGCTGTTTTTATCTGATTACTTGATTTCTATGAAAATTTTAGTGCATTTTAATGACTTTGTAGTTTATCTGACCCAGATAACATGCACTTTAATAGGAAACTTTTACAGAGACAGTGTCTTAACCAAAAGAATGACTTAATGACGAAATTTCAGGTAGATGTTTGTTCACATTGAGGGAGGCTAACTAACCAAGTCGAGTAGAGGATGAACAAGGTTTAGGGAACAGTTCTTTTTATAATTTAAATTTTAAAATTTTAATTATAAGCTCTAAATATTAATGCAAGCCATATCAACTTCTTTACTGGACTACTTAGGACATTTAAATGAGATCACATATATAAAGCCCCAGCTCTAAGACTTGGAATTCAATAAACGTCAGTTTTTTCCTTACACCCTCATGCCCATATGGGTGAGTGTGGGTTGCCCTGTAATCTTTTGCTGCATGTTTCTTTTTTTAGATTATTCAGTTAAAAATTCTATTTTATTCGGAAGAGATAAGGCTTAAAGAAGGAACTAGTTTATTTATTGAGTGCCAGGTTGTAGGACTGGGGATTATATATGTATTATCTCACTTAAATGCTGGCAAATAGTCTTGTTAAATAAGTTATAAAAATACAGTAGAAACAGTTGCTACATGGCATGATTAAGGTGGGGATTCTGGAACAATCATCTTAGGGGGTGTGCCATGCTGTTCCTGTGAAAAATAATTAACTTGATGATTATTAGAAACAATAAGACTAGTTTGCCTTAATTTTTTTATACATGGAGAATCTTTAAAAACGGAGGCTTTCTGCTTAGGTACTCTCCAGATTGGCACTCCAATTTTGCCAAATGCTCCTAGTATCTGTTACTCTGACTGAAATAAATATACCATGAATAAAATGCTCAAGTTTCAGAGTATGGATATTATGATATCACTGTAGTGTCTCAGATGCCTTTCCCTTCTTTCACTTTCCTCTTCTTTCACTTTCTCTTGCTCAGGGGTATTCTGAATAGTAGAGGGTTGTCAAAGAACTGTGTGCTGGTGGAATGAAGTTGAGTTACCATGCTTTCCTATTCAACCCTGACTCAAAGTGAATGCATATGCGTGCATTGGAAATGCTGTCACCAGTGTTCTGGCCGTTTGTAGGTATCAAATCACTAACCTTGCCAACGAATAAGTTTGTGAACCTTCTTTTCAGAGGTTCTGTCTCTGATATTTCAGAACCATTCAATTATAATTCTGATGCTTTCTTTTATGTGGCAGTCATGGGTTGTCAGCAAGGATAGAATTAAGAGAGGCACATGAAGTGTGTTACGGCGGCTCATGCCTAAGGATCTCTATTTCTTTTGTTCATGGTGACAAATGACAGCCTTAAAGATATTTGTCCTGATTCCTCACTGTCCCTATGCAGGTAAAAAACTTTCACTGAAGTCAAACAAGCTTCATTGAAGTTAATGGGAAGTAATGCCCTTGAAGGGAAGGGAGAACTAGGGTGATTAATTTTAATTAGCCAAATATAAACAAGCATGTGTCTACAAGTAGTGACAGGAAAGTGGATATCTGTGACTTTTAACTTAGCTTTGGGGAGCTAGGTATGGCCATTTTGTAGAGAATCAGATGAAACTATTTCAACTCAGAAACATAAGAATGCCCATAAAAAATAAAATCCATTTTCCCTAGCTGTATCTCTGAGCTTCACCTTCAATACACTAATTCAACAAAACTCCTAAAATATTACCAATATTACCACACAGCAAACATGTTTCAGGCCTTGGGGAAAGAAAGATGACTACAACTGGAACCCCATATGGGACTCACTTTTAGGTCATGGAAATACCTCAGTAAACAGTTGTGGTACAAGTCATTCGTTAGTGTCTCTATCATTCATTTATTCATTGATTGATTGGTTCATTGAAGAAATATTCGGCACAGACTTTCTAAGTGTTTTGCCTCTGTTCCTATAACAGAGCATGTGCAAAGTACTACTAGAACCAAATGGGATAAAATTCTTGTTTTGCATGACATGGTGAGTTATAATCATGGAAAGATTCTTAGAGAGAGTGTCACTTGAGCTTAGTTTTGCTAGCATTTAGTTAGGCAAAGTAAAAAGGGAAAGATATAAGAATGTGGGAACTATATAATGGAAGGTATTTATTTATTAGGGAAATGCAAATCAAAACCAAATGCAATACCACCTTACTCCCTCAAGAATAGCCATAATGAGAAAATAAAAAAAATAATAGATGTTGGCATGGATATGGTGAAAATGGAACACTTTTACACCATTGGTGGGAATGTAAACTAGTATAACCACTATGGAAAACAGTATGGAGATTCCTTAAATAACTAAAAGTAGATCTACCATTTGATCCAGCAGTCCCACTACTAGGTATTTACCCAGAGGAAAAGAAGTCATTATACGAAAAAGATATTTGCAGAGGCATGTTTATAGTAGCACAATTTGCAATTCCAAAAATATGGAACTAGCCCAAATGTCCATCAATCAATGAGTGGATAAAGAAAACATGGTATAGGCATACCATGGAATACTACTCAGCATAAAACAGAATTAAATAATGGCATTCGCAGCAACTTGGATAGAATTGGAGATTATTATTCTAAGTGAAGTAACTCAGCAATGGAAAACCAAACATCGTATGTTCTTGCTCATAAGTGGGACCTAAGCTACGAGACACAAAGGCATAAGAATGATACAATGGACTCTGGGGATTTGGGGGAATGTGTGCAAGGAGGGTGCGGGATAAAAGACTGCACATTGATTACAGTGTACACTGCTCAGGTGATGGGTGTACTAAAATCTCAGAAATCATCACTAAAGAACTTATCCATGTAGCCAAACAACACCCGCTCCCTAAAAACCTATTGAAATAAATAGAAAACAAATTATAAAAAGGAAAGGTGTGGAAGCACAGAAACTCATAGCATGTTCAGAAAATATTTGAAAATGCTCTAGTGTAAGGGTCAGCAAACTACAGCCCAGAAGCCATATCCAACCCACCATTTGTTTTTGTACAGCCCATGAGCTAAGAATGTTTTGAAATTTTAAATGGCTAGGGGAAAAAATGAAAAATAAGAAGACTATTTCGTGGCATATGAAAATTACATGAAATTTATATTTCGGTTTCCATGAATAAAGTATTATTGAAACACATCAACAATCATTCATATGCATGTTGTCTATGGCTGCCTTTGTGCTACAAAGGCAGAGTTGGGTGGTAGTGACAGAGAATGTATGGCCCACATAGCCTGAAGTATTTACTATTTCCCCCTTAATGGAAAGTTTGCCAAACCTTACTCTAGTGTATGAGGTGCTGGTATATTGAGAAAAAAATTATGAAGGATCTTAAATATTATTTGAGTGAATATAAACATTATCTTGTGTGAACTGGTGAATACAATAGTTGAAGGATTTATCATTATGTTAAAAATTAACATTTTGGTGAACTTATCATTCATTTGATAAAATCCTCCATTCAAATGTAAGTGCCACATGACCATTGAGCCATAGTCAGGTTAGTTAACAAATCTTTACAATTCCTAAAGAGAATTAAAAGGTAGTTCAAGTATGTCTCAAGGCTTATAGGTCAAACAGAAAAAAATGAGTTTTAGGTTTAGAAAATCCCAAAGTGGTCATTTGGCACAGACAGTTTTCTGAGAAGAAAAGTCTGACATGTACCTACTTTATAGCCCAGTAGCTAAAGACTAAAAAAAAAAAAAAGTCATTTTATTTAAGCCATGTTTCCAATATTTTTGAACAAGAATGCTCCCTTTAAGGCCAAAAAAAATTTATAGGCCATTTTGCAACAGTAACAGTTGTACACATGTTGTAAGAAAATGTATAACGAAATCATGCATTTTAAATTAATTTTAATTTAAGACGCTTTTGTATACACAAAAATAGTAGTACAAATGTATGTAAACCTTATGCAATCTTTTGAATAATATTTGGTACGTGTGGTTTTAGAAACTCCTTAAAAAACTAGGGGGAACCAAATGTCCATGTTAAAAAGCCTAGGAGTCAATTGATGTACAATGCCATAGAACTATTTTGACTGAACTTCTTAATTAATTAACTGATTTGCATTTGCTTGTGTGATTCTTTATAGCCTGCTCATATTTGTTTTAAGCCAAAGAAAACCAAGTTTGTTATTAAAAATATCATCAAAACCAAAAAATTTGGTTAATCATATGCTAGGTAATTTCTGGACCTGATTGGATGATTTCTTCTACAATTAATTCCTTGAACAGCTAATTGATTTGTTGCCAGATAAACAGAAAAAGGTCATGCTAAAATCCAGTCATACCACATGCTCCATTTTGGGTTCTGGGACCAACCTATTCACTTACCTTTTATCCAGATAAATTCTAAATTTGACTCAGAGATAACTTACAGAACAGGTCAGAAAATACTAATATCTTTTGCATTGTAAACAACAAAAAAAATGTAGGTAGCTCTCCCTTTTTCAAAGTTTTGTTTTTGTTATTTTTTAAAATATTTAATGGCTTAGGAGATACATGAAAAATGAAAGAAGAAACACACCTTGGCAATAAACTGATAAATTGATGATATCATCAACGCTAATCATGGCACAGAAGCCTTCAACTACAGGATTAAAAAAGCACCACTGAAAATACATTACTCTCTGGCTTTCTCTTCAGAAAACTAGGCTAAATTCAGCTTAAAACTGCATTCGGTGACTCCTTTAACATTTTGACTGAGGGGTGATCTGGAGGTCAGTGTGGAGGTCAGGAGTAGGGCAATGTGATGAAACGTCCATTTCATTGTCAACCATGCATTTGAATGAAGTTCTTTTTTATAGGCGGAGTAAGAACTAAAGGCCAGTAGGGAAAGCCTGGGTTGTCAATTACTGCGTGTTTTATGTCTTGAATCATTGGCCCTAGAACCTGAAGAACTCTTTCTGTCTGTTTGTTAAGAATTGACCCAAGATCCTTTCTCTAACCCCTGAATATGCAGTAAACTTCAGAGTTACTATGTTTTTTATAATTATGATTACTACTCCCAATGTCATTCATTTTACATGTTGCTTTTAACATTTTTATTACCATCACCTCTAATCCACTTGACTTTTCACAATAGTCCTGTATTGGTATTTCCAGTTGACAGATGAAAAACATACTTGGTTGTTTATTTTAAAAGACTAAGGCAGACATTTTCACTA
The DNA here is from genome assembly GCF_000001405.40 of Homo sapiens. Classification (NCBI taxonomy): domain Eukaryota; kingdom Metazoa; phylum Chordata; class Mammalia; order Primates; family Hominidae; genus Homo; species Homo sapiens. Next base: position 59,260,708 of record NC_000002.12, read on the forward strand.
TTTCAGCATAGGATATTTCTGTGAGTTCATAAAAATCCAACTGTTCTTAGTTAAATCTCCTTCTAGTATACATCTTGTAGCCAAATAAAACGACTATATTTGGTCACATCATACCCCTACCTGATCAACATACGCCTAGCTGAAAATTAGGTCAAAGATGGACTAATAATAGTTTGCTTGGTTAACAGGAAGTTTTGCCCAAAGAAAATAATATTTTTTATTAATGAATGATGAATCCTAGATGATAAAGGTAAGGAAACTGAATCAAACACATAAAATCAGAAACTCAACAAATATCCATTAGGAACCTTTTATGGACAAGGCATTATGCTAGACACTGAAAGATATATATTAAATAATATAGTGCATTCATCTTCAAGATGTTTTACAAATCCATTGAAAGAAATGTATTAATTTATTGAAGCTCAAAGAGAACCTTGTCACTGAGTCTTCATTCTAATCAAAGCATTATCAGGGGAAAAAAGTCAAAACGATTGCTACATTGAAAGATAAACAGAGACTATATAATAACTATGATAAATATGTAGTTATAATCTTCTCTAAATTAAGCTTAACTGAAAAGTTATGTACTTACAAAGGCCCCAAGTCTTGATCATAAAAGACTCATGGAACCCTATAAAGAGTGCTAAAGATCATTTGGGTAAAACATTTTATTCAAGGCTATATAGTGGAATAAGAACTAGTCACCACCAGGCCTGCCCTAAAAGAGCTCCTGAAGGAAGCACTAAACATGGAAAGGAACAACCAGTACCAGCCACTGCAAAAACATGCCAAATTGTAAGACCGTCAAGGCTAGGAAGAAACTGCATCAACTAACGAGCAAAATAACCAGCTAACATCATAATGACAGGATCAAATTCACACATAACAATACTAACCTTAAATGTAAATGGGCTAAATGCTCCAATTAAAAGACAGACTGGCAAATTTGATAAAGAGTCAAGACCCATCAGTGTGCTGTATTCAGGAAACCCATCGCACATGCAGAGACACACATAAGCTCAAAATAAAGGGATGGAGGAAGATCTACCAAGCAAATGGAAAACCAAAAAAGGCAGGGGTTGCAGTCCTAGTCTTGGATAAAACAGACTTTAAACCAACAAAGAACAAAAGAGACGAAGGCCATTACATAATGGTAAAGGGATCAATTTAACAAGAAGAACTAACTATCCTAAATATATATGCACCCAATACAGGAGCACCCAGGTTCATAAAGCAAGTCCTTCATGACCTACAAAGAGACTTAGACTCACACACAATAATAATGGGAGACTTTAACACCCCACAGTCAACATTAGACAGATCAATGAGACAGAAAGTTAACAAGGATATCCAGGAATTGAACTCAGCTCTGCACCAAGCAGACCTAATAGACATCTACAGAACTCTCCACCCCAAATCAACAGAATATACATTCTTCTCAGCACCACACCATGCCTATTCCAAAATTGACCACATAGTTGGAAGTAAAGCACTCCTCAGCAAATGTAAAAGAACAGAAATTATAACAAACTGTCTCTTAGACCACAGTGCAATCAAACTAGAACTCAGGATTAAGAAACTCACTCAAAACCGCTCAACTACATGGAAACTGAACAACTTGCTCCTGAACAATGACTGGGTACATAATGAAATGAAGGCAGAAATAAAGATGTTCTTTGAAACCAACGAGAACAAAGACACAACATACCAGAATCTCTGGGACACATTCAAAGCAGTGTGTAGCGGGAAATTTATAACACTAAATGCCCAGAAGAGAAAGCAGGAAAGATCTAAAATCGACACCCTAACATCACAATTAAAAGAACTAGAGAAGCAAGAGCAAACACATTCAAAAACTAGCAGAAGACAAGAAATAACTAAGATCAGAGCAGAACTGAAGGAAATAGAGGCACAAAAAACCCTTCAGAAAATCAATGAATCCAGGAGCTGGTTTTTTGAAAAGATCAACAAAATTGATAGACCACTAGCAAGACTAATAAAGAAGAAAACAGGGAAGAATCAAATAGATGCAATAAAAAATGACAAAGGGGATATCACCACCGATCCCACAGAAATACAAACTACCATCAGAGAATACTATAAACACCTCTATGCAAATAAACTAGAAAATCTAGAAGAAATGGATAAATTCCTCGACACATACACCCTCCCAAGACTAAACCAGGAAGAAGTTGAATCTCTGAATAGACCAATAACAGGCTCTGAAATTGAGGCAATAATTAATAGCTTACCAACCAAAAAAAGACCAGGACCAGACGGATTCACAGCCGAATTCTACTAGAGGTACAAGGAGGAGCTGGTACCATTCCTTCTGAAACTATTTCAATCAATAGAAAAAGAGGGAATCCTCCCTAACTCATTTTATGAGGCCAGCATCATCCTGATACCAAAGCCTGGCAGAGACACAACCAAAAAAGAGAATTTTAGACCAATATCCTTGATGAACATCGATTCAAAAATCCTCAGTAAAATACTGGCAAACCAAATCCAGCAACACATCAAAAAGCTTATCCACCATGATCAAGTGGGCTTCACCCCTGGGATGCAAGCCTGGTTCAACATATGAAAATCAATAAACATAATCCAGCATATAAACAGAACCAAAGACAAAAACCACATGATTATTTCAATAGATGCAGAAAACACCTTTGACAAAATTCAACAATCCTTCATGCTAAAAACTCTCAATAAAGTAGGTATTGATGGCATGTATCTCAAAATAATAAGAGCTATCTAGGACAAACCCACAGCCAATATCATACTGAATGGGCAAAAACTGGAAGCATTCCCTTTGAAAACTGGCACAAGACAGGGATGCCCTCTCTCACCACTCCTATTCAACATAGTGTTGGAAGTTCTGGCCAGGGCAATTAGGCAGGAGAAGGAAATAAAGGGCATTCAGTTAGGAAAAGAGGAAGTCAAATTGTCCCTGTTTGCAGATGACATGATTGTATATCTAGAAAACCCCATCATCTCAGCCCAAAATCTCCTTAAGCTGATAAGCAACTTCAGCAAAGTCTCAGGATACAAAATCAATGTGCAAAAATCACAAGCATTCTTATACACCAATAACAGCCAAACAGAGAGCCAAATCATGAGTGAACTCCCATTCACAATTGCTTCAAAGAGAATAAAATACCTAGGAATCCAACTTACAAGGGACGTGAAGGACCTCTTCAAGGAGAACTACAAACCACTGCTCAATGAAATAAAAGAGGATACAAACAAATGCAAGAACGTTCCATGCTCATGGGTAGGAAGAATCAATATCGTGAAAATGGCCATACTGCCCAAGGTAATTTATAGATTCAATGCCATCCCCATCAAGCTACCAATGACTTTCTTCACAGAATTGGAAAAAACTACTTTAAAGTTCATATGGAACCAAAAAGGAGCCCGCATTACCAAGTCAATCCGAAGCCAAAAGAACAAAGCTGGAGGCATCACGCTACCTGACTTCAAACTATACTACAAGGCCACAGTAACCAAAACAGCGTGGTACTGGTACCAAAACAGAGCTATAGACCAATGGAACAGAACAGGGCCCTCAGAAATAATGCCACATATCTACAACTATCTGATCTTTGACAAACCTGACAAAAACAAGCAATGGGGAAAGGATTCCCTATTTAATAAATGCTGCTGGGAAAGCTGGCTAGGCATATGTAGAAAGCTGAAACTGGATCCCTTCCTTACACCTTATACAAAAATTAACTCAAGATGGCTTAAAGACTTACATGTTAGACCTAAAACCATAAAAGCCTTAGAAGAAAACCTAGGCAATACCATTCAGGTCATAGGCATGGGCAAGGACTTCATGTCTAAAACACCAAAAGCAGTGGCAACAAAAGCCAAAATTGACAAATGGGATCTAATTAAACTAAAGAGCTTCTGCACAGCAAAAGAAACTACCATCAGAGTGAACAGGCAACCTACAGAATGGGAGAAAATTTTCGCAACCTACTCACCTGACAAAAAGGGCTAATATCCAGAATCTACAATGAACTCAAACAAATTTAAAAGAAAAAAACAAACAACCCCATCAAAAAGTGGGCAAAGGATACGAACAGACACTTCTCAAAAGAAGACATTTATGCAGCCAAAAAACACATGAGAAAATGCTCATCATCACTGGCCATCAGAGAAATGCAAATCAAAACCACAATGAGATACCATCTCACACCAGTTACAATGGCGATCATTAAAAAGTCAGGAAACAACAGGTGCTGGGGAGGATGTGGAGAAATAGGAACACTTTTACACTGTTGGTGGGACTGAAAACTAGTTCAACCATTGTGGAAGTCAGTGTGGCGATTCCTCAGGGATCCAGAACTAGAAATACCATTGGACCCAGCCATCCCATTACTGGGTATATACCCAAAGGATTATAAATCATGCTGCTATAAAGACACATGCACACGTATGTTTATTGTGGCACTATTCACAATAGCAAAGACTTGGAACCAACCCAAATGTCCAACAATGATAGACTGGATTAAGAAAATGTGGCACATATACACCATGGAATACTATGCAGCCATAAAAAATGATGAATTCATGTCCTTTGTAGGGACATGGATGAAGCTGGAAACCATGATTCTTAGCAAACTATCACAAGGACAAAAAACCAAACACTGCATGTTCTCATTCATAGGTGGGAATTGAACAATGAGAACACATGGACACAGGAAGGGGAACATCACACACCAGGGACTGTTGTGGGGTGGTGGGAGAGGGGAGGGATAGCATTAGGAGATACACCTAATGCTAAATGACGAGTTAATGGGTGCAGCACACCAACATGGCACATGTATACATATGTAACAAACCTGCAAGTTGTGCACATGTACCCTAAAACTTAAAGTATAATAATAGTAAAATTAAAAAAAATAAAAAAAGATTAAAAAAAAAAGAACTAGTTTATCAATCAGAATACCTGGGTCTAGTCCTGGCTTTGCGTGAACTACTTTGATCTTTGAACTTAGTCAAGTTACGTAAAATCTTCTTTAAAACAGTTGTGGAGTTTGAGTAGAAGAACTAGGCTTCTTTTACTTTAAAACCTCCATTACTTTAAAGTTTTGAATTATGAACTAGTAAATATTATAAGATCTATGTATATGCCAATTTTACCCATGTTAAATAAGGTCCCCACTACTTATTTTCCACTACAGGAGGACAAAAATGTAATGTAGAACCATGGTTTGATTTTCCTAGACTTGCTGAGAGTTCCTCTCTACCATGGTAATGAGTAGAAGTGACCAGTTTTCATTATTGCATAGATTAGAATAGATGATGCTAGAAATAGTGGAAACTATAGCAAAGTAGAAGAGGAGGTTAGAGAAGTGAAGAGGCTTGCAGAAAAGTTTTGTTTTTCAGCCTATAAAAAGACAATTTTAGCCACTCAGCTGGGCCTTTTACATCAAACGTCTGAATCAGAGTAACAAGTGCATATGTACTAATGAAAAATTTCCTGAATAGAGGACCCACTACATTATTTCATTAAATTAGAAATACAAAAATAGCTATTTAATAAATTAAATCACAGTTTTAACAAATATTTACTAAAGAATCATGAAGTATTGCCTTGGCTTCTAAGATGACTAATAGGGATTTTCAACTTCGCTAAGCTTAGTTCTTTGTTAGAGGAAAAATCTTAGTGCGATATGACCAAGAACGCTAACCCTTGGAGTTCCAAGGGGTCTTTATCTCAATTGCTTTTAAATAGTGTTAGGCGTGCCCAACCAGAGGAACCAAGGTGAAGAAGAAGCTTGTGTGGACTGACTGTCGGGCTGACTGATAATTCCTACTGAGATACACTTCAATGCCATCCCACAACAAGATGCTGGGATTGGATTTAAAGCCAATGTAAGCTTTAAATGGAGTTTTACTGTGAAACAAAACACCTGTCTTTCATCCCAAGCTAAATTGACAAGCAATAATTTAGTTGTCTAAACTGAGAGCTTTCAGGATTCCAAACTGCATAATGTCAAAAGACAATGTATAAAGTTGCACTTGGAAGTTCAAAGGTAGAATGCCATGTAGGCAAACATATTATATGACTGGTCTTTTCCTCTCTCTCTTTAGTCCTTTCTTCTGTCCCCTCTGCCAGTTTCCTTTGCTACTATTTTTTTGGGGGCTGGTGAGGGGCTGGTGAGGAATGTGGGGGAGAGAGATTGTAACTATGCAAATTGGTGAGTAGGTGACAACAAAAGCATTTTCTCCCTTTTACTTTCCACAAGATGAGCACTTCCTGTGTTCAATTGAATTAATCAGAGATTGCATCTACCAAATAGAAATAAAAGGAAAGAAATAAAGAATACTTAAGCAAGATTACTAAAGTCCTCCCTACATAAATGTAAAATAATATAGCCTGAATTTTGTAGCAACTTTTTCCATACAAATTATTCTGTTTCTTCTATCTTCCACTTCAGTTGCATTTGTTAAAATCGGGGTACCTGACATCGGAGAGGCTAAATTTAGTCCCTTACACGTGACAACATTTTACACTTGTCCTTCAATAATTTCTTTTTAGGATAAATAGTAAAAGTAACCATGGCCTTTCTTTCTCCAAACTAAAATCTCTCTCTCTCTCTCTCTCTCTCTCTCTCTCTCTCTCTCTCTCTCTCTCTCTCTCTCTCTCTCTGTCATCCACACACACAGGGTATTTCTTTTACTTTTTTTTTCTTCTTTTGAGGTTCACAAGCTATCTTTTCTTCCATCTTCTTTCCCAAAAGAAAAAATGAGGGAAGCAGGGTCGATTAGCAAAATGAAACAGATGCTGATACAAAAGTAGTGAGCTAGTTCTGATTGGACTTTGCCAGCTGTCAGTGAGCATTTCTGTGTTTTGTTAATGAAGTGGTATTCACTTTTCTGGACTGGCATTGGCTGACATGTTTAGTGTAATGAATGCTAAACTGAGCCTAGATCATTTTTTAAATCATAGCTTAGGGCTTAACAGCCCTTTAAATGAATTCTATAAACAAGATAGTTGTTAATTCTCAATCAATGTATCACTAATCATCAAATAGTATTAAAACAAGAGATGGTCTTTTACAAACTCAGTAAACCTTATTAAAGTTACCAAATTATCCATTCAGGGGTTATTTTCTCATTCAGAGAATGTCAAGATTTGAACAGAAATATATTTGAAGATACCTATTTCTGTGGATTAGTAAAGGAGATGTGTGTTTGTGTGTGTGTGTATAAATGTGTGTGCCTTCATAAATTAATATGGCCTCAAGAAATGAGTAACTAACATAGCCTTAAATCTGAAGTCATTAATAAAAATGTAAACTGTATATCACAGTGAGTTCCATGTGTCTTTAGTTTGCTGACACCCACAAGCAAGCATTTCATGAGAGGAACCTAAGTATGGTGAAAACTAGAAAAGTATATGTAGGCTATTCTTTACAACAACAACAACAACAAAATTCTCCCTTTTACTGTGACACTATAACAATACAGGCTATATTATTTTGCATTTATGTGCAGTGTTTTAAAATTCATCTACAATTCCGTAGACTCAACACTTGGGGAGTAGTATAGTGATTCTAGCTCACCCTATCTCTTCTACTGTACTGCAACTCTGCTTTACTTTCTCATGGAATACTAAAATAGTGCCTGGCATACAGTACATGGTAAATATTTGTTTCATAAATGAACAAATGCAGGTGGAAGATGAAAAGAGATGTCAAGGCAAATAACATTCATTAACTATCTTTTATTCTCAATGTTAAGGTGTGTTTGGGACCTATTATTTAATTCTAATAGCAATCTCATTAGGTAGGTAGTATTATTCTCAGGTGTAATATTTAATTTTGAAATTTAATTATATATAAACTTATATTCAAATACACATTTAATATTATTCTAAAATGTAATTTCTTAATTGAATTAATTTAACAGTTATATGAATAATATTTAATATTTTATGTATATAGTTTTAAAAGTCAAATGATGATCAAAAGCTTACAATGGTAGTTTTCGCTCATTTACCCCTCTTCCTCTCCCTTTGAGGCCAGTTTCTCCAGAAATGTATTCTTCAGCTTTTTGTCTAGGGGTATTATGATGTTTGAAATGCCTTACAAAGGAGTGACAAATTTAGCATATGTCTTCAGAAGAAAGGTAATACTAGAAGTGTGTTGACAGATAAATGAGATTTATCCCTAGTTAGATGAGGGCAGAGAGGGACAATTGTAAATCAAGGGAAAAGCAAGTACAGGGATTAAAAGTTTAGAAGTTTCTGGTATGTTTGTGTAGCTGAGAGTGTAAGATGCTTGTATCTGTTGGCTAGATCAAGGAATATAGGCATCGGGAATGAAGCTGGAAGGATAATCCTTGACCGTTGCGTAAAGAACTTAAAATGCTATGCTGATAAATTTGTATTTTGTAATGTATGTAGAAAGCGAAGCAAAAGCTTAAGAAGGCACCACATCCATATTTTAGAAAGATTTGGTAACATTGTGGAGAAGGGATTGAGGAGGGCAGGAATTAGAGTTAAACCCCCTAGTTAGGAGGCTATTACAGTCACCCATGCAAGATGTATAGAAGACTTGAATTGCAACTATGTACTGATTGTGGTCACTGCTGAGGCCCTGGCAAACAGCTCAACTCTCACCCCTTCATTAGTAACTGAATTCCAACTGTGTTTATGCATCCATTTCTTGATGAGGCACTCACATCCTCAGTTCAGGGATAAATCCAGATTAGTCCAAGGAAATTATAGAAAATCCACTGAATTTGTTAGTGATTGGCTGAGGAGCATGCATGTGACAGTCTGATCAATGGGATGTGAGGGGAGTTTTGCTGAAAGCTTTTGAAAAATATTTCTTCATTTTATAAAGAGACACTGGTCTAGATAGTTTCTCTTCTTCCAATGGATATATTCATGCTCAGATGCAGTATTTTAAACTATGACAAAATATCTGACCATGTGGGAGAGCAGAAAGAAAGAATCTGGGCTTTTTATTACATTGCTGTTTGGCTGACTTAATTCTTATTCTTTCCATAGCACAAAATTTTCCTTTATCCGAACTAGTACACCACTTCTCCTCCTCCTCCTCCTCCAAATAATACCTGGCATTTAGGCAATATTATTATGTGCCAAGCATCACCTAAGACAGCCCTATAAAGGAGATTCCATGGTTATCAAGGGATAATAGAGAAAGACAGGGTGCAAGTTTGAAAAATGTATAAGAAGTAACATCAATAAGTTTAGGGACTTCATATATTAGATAAAAGACAAGATATCAAAATAATTATACATTTGGTTTTTAATTGAGTGACATTGGTGAATGGCGCTAAGATTAACTGAGCCTGCAAATAGCAGAAGTTTTGGATTACAAATTAGAAACACTATGTTGTTGAGTTTAGGACTGGTTAAGAATGTCTGGAATAAGTTCAATAGTTGGGGATGTGGGATCAGAATTTTTAATTACTGTTTCATTGTCATGTCTGTAGTGGGTACTTAGCAAATGCTTGTGCAATAAAATTAATTAATAAACTATTTCTGAATATATATAGAAAGAAGCATTCTCTTTCTCCTACTACCAACTGCCACCACCTCACTCAGATGAATATATAATCAAACGTGAATGGAACAAAGAGTGAGAATATAAAACATCACTGAAGCAGGCTTAATCTGATGCACATGTAGTGAATAAATAGCAATGATGAAATCTTTTATTTTTCCAAAGATCCATTTGGTGTATTTTTTACCCATATGAATTCATATGGGTAAAAATTCATATTCAAATATGAATTCAAAGTCAAACAGAAATCATAAATATTTTAATCTCTTTGCTGGTATTTTCAGTTAGCCAACTAACAATTAAAGCATCCCACAAGATAGTTTTTTCAAGTGCTTTGGGTATTTTCTTCCTGGAAGCATTAGCAGTGAGGGCCAACAGCCCTATGATACTTTGGGAATGACAACTAAGTAACAACATGGTGCACTGATTCATCTGTCACCATCCTTATGTTTTAGGTGCTTGTGGCAGAGATGTAGGTGAGACCACCAAGAAATGTACTCTTGAACAGTAAAGTGTTTTCTTAAAGTGAGCTAACTTATTGCAGCAAACGAGTCAAATTGAGGGGGAAAATAACGTACTTTAGAAGTGAGACACTTACTCAAGCCTCAAGGGCGAATACAAAGTGAGAATCAACTACTGATGATCAATAATTCAGTTAGCCAACTGCTTTGTCCATGTACTCATTTATTCAAATTATTTGTTTATTTGTGTACCTTTACTGATCATTTCTAATGTGCCAAGCACTCTGCCTATGCACAGGTTTGCTAAACTAAACATGATTTGAAGATAGGAAATGTCTCCCAAATTCTCAAAGCATTATAGAGGGTAAACAGCTTTTTAGGGTGAAGTGAACTGCCCTAGACCTAGGGAAGAGTGAAATAGCAAAAACATACATGGCCCATGGGATTCCTGTGTTGCAATCCACACAAAGTACATGTAAATGGCCGCTCAGCTGAGTGACCAGGTGACTCTAACAGACTTGGTTCTCAAAAGTACTGACAGTTTATTCAGGTAATCAGTAAATAAATTATTATTATTATTATTATTGTTTTTGAGACAGAGCCTTGCTCTACAGCCCAAGCTGGAATGTAGTGGCGTGATCTCAGCTCACTGCAACATTTGCCTCCGAGGTTCAAGCAATTCTCATGTCTCAGCCCCCCAAGTAGCTGGGAATACAGGTGTGCACCACCAAATGAGGCTAATTTTTGTATTTTTGATAGAGATAGGGTTTCACCATGTTGGCCAGGCTGGTCTTGAACTCCTGGGCTCCAGTGTTCCACCTGCCTTGGCCTCCCAGAGTGCTGGGATTACAGGTGTGTGCCACCACACCCGGCCTCAGGTTATCAGTAAATAAATACCCAACCACTGGTTTGACAGTTGTTTCATTCAATTAGTTGGCTTTAAAGACACTGAATATCTTTGTGGTTTAAAAAAAAATGATCCAGATTCAAATCCTGGTGTGACACTTTCCATCTGCATGTCTGTGGTTAAGCTTGCTATTATATTTAGTTACTTTACCTTCTCACATTTAAAATGATGATGAATATGACAACCACCTAGAGTGATACACAAATTACACAGTGAATGTGAAAGGCTAAGCATAGCATGGAGTACAAGGTAAGGGCTCAGCTAAAAGTAATCCATGTAATTAGTTCTGTTTTGTCATAAGGTTGGTGCAGTTTACCTTAAACATGTATATACATAGTATTTGACCAAGAATTTCTGGTAGCAGTCTACTTTTGTTTTTGTTTTACCTTATAATTCACAGGCAGTTAGATATTACCAGTGGTATGGATTTTCACCATTGCTTTTCAGCTATTATTACTCTAAACAAGGAAGAACTCTGAAAAAAGGCTAGAAATTATTGATTAGTAAAAGTAAATCCTAGGTAATCAGTTCCATTTGGTGGGTACTTCATTTGCTCTGTTTCACAGCCATGGGCAAGATTATAAGTACAGTACCTTGATCAGAAATATTTCAACTATGAAAAAACCAAATGAGTACAAAAAATGTAATAGCAGATTTAGGCAGTATAAAATTAATGCTGGAATTCAAATATATTATTATGGAAACAAGCATTTTATTTCTTTGTGCTGTGTCATTTTCTTTCTATTGGCTTTGGCACTTGAGTCCAACGGTTGTTGCCTTATGATTATAAGGTGGCTGCTACAGCTCCAGGCTTTATTTCTGCTTTCCAGACAAAAGAATGACAATTCTTTTTAACATTGTGAAGTTTTATATTTTTGTCCCAGGAGTCTTATCCTCTTTGGCAGCCTTTCAATTAAATCTTGTAGGCCAAAAGTGGGTCAGTCAATATGACCATCATTACACTACGAAATTTCAATAATTAATTTAGACCAAGGGGATAGGTAATGGCCTATCCAGGGACTGTCACTTACTACCTGAACTGAAAGGGAAGAAAAGCAGCAAACAGCTATTGGGAATTGGGATGAGAACAGTCTTCCATACTCCCAAGAGAAACTATGTTTGGTTTAAAATTAAGGACAATTAGAGCACTTACATTACAAATGGGATGACCTTGGATAAGTTATTGAGCCACTTAGAGCATCAGTTTTCTTATATGTAAAACAGAAAAAATAAAAGCAATCTGAGAGGTCTGAAAGCTTCTGGGCCCATCCCGGCTGATAAATAGTTTCTCAATAAATGTTGGTTTTCCACTGTGAAATGTTGATCAAGTTTACTTTGAAACTCTAAATCTCAGTTTCTTCCTCAGTAACATGGGTTTGATAATAGTGAAGCAATCTTGGAAAGCATTCAACACAGCTTCAAATAGTACAGCTCAATGATTGTTAATCATGATAATGGAAGATGATCAAGATAATGATCCTGATCTAGGCTGGTTAGTCTATTTTTGTGCTCTTTGAAAATCCAAAGAAAAATACTTGGCTGAAAATAGTTCCACATCTTTGAAGCCCTACTCCAAGGAAGACTTCTTGGGGCTTTGAAGGATCCTTAGTCATTGAGAATTTTTTCCTTAAATTCAAAAGTAGCACTGAAGGTAGGTAGTCCTTAATTTTGTTGGCTGCTATCAGTGAAAACTTTAAAAGGGGTGAATAAGAAGTATTTGAGTCTTTTCTGGATCTATTTATTTATGAGTTTAGTAAAAAGACATGGAAAATATCTTTTTCTCCCCCACTGTCTTCCCACCACTCACTCTGACTATAGAGACTATAGATCTAAGAAAATTCATTTACAGGAGCTCCAGTTCTCATGAAACAAACTCCTTCAAATACAATTTTTCTGTTATGATTTTAATAATTTGTTTCAGTAGACCCAGAAGAACTGGCTTCTGCCTCAGGCTAGTCAAGCCCACCCAGAATTGTCACAGGTTAAGCTCTGGACTGCAAACTTTGCTAACATGGAATTAAGGAACAATGGATAAAAGTGTTGTCCTCCTAAGGGATGTTCTGAGAGTTCCTCTTGTCTTACTTCTTGGGAAGCTCTGGAAAGTGTTTTGTTTCTTCTCCTTTTCCCCTGGTCTCCTTTTCCTCACATCCCAACAATTATGTCACTTTTTAAATATTTCAAATGAAAAGACCCCTTTCATTCATCATGGTGCCTTCATGGTGAGGAGCTCTTGAAGCCTGAGAGTTTCATAGAGGATTTCTCTGAATAAAATCTGAGAATCTGAGAGCATCCCTTAAACTCCAAGCTCAGCTGCCCGGGACTTCTAAAATTGGAGGAAGAACCAGATGGAGTGAAAAAAGGAAAAATGTAGCAAAAAAAAAAAAAATTAAGGCACTTGGGCTTTCTAATGTCCTCAATCTGCTTCTTGTCTTGTGTTTCCTATTTTGCTTTCTTTAACTTCTACCTTCCTCACCCCTCTGCAGGCCTGCAACCCAAATGGTTACTGTTGGTCAATTCTATCATAGTAGAACCTCACTCAATCCCTATAGCATTGCTTCCTGGCTGCCTCTCCCTTAGTTCAAGTGTGGAGAGAACCATTGCAGCCTTCCCTACTTCCCATCATTCTGCTGGCCCCAGGGCCCCCACCCCAATGGAAGACATTTTCCTACAAGTACAAGGTTATCCCCAGCCCACAATCTACATCCTCAGCACCTCCCTCTGCCTGCACAACTGAGGTTGCTGAGCACTACATGTAAGGTTTATTATGATATGTCTCTATCCTGCTTCTCTGCACTTATGTCCTGCTCTTTCTCCATCTTACTTCTACGTATAGCCACTCTCATCTTGATACTATAGGACTTTCCTTGCCTGTGTGTTCTGTTGGAGTCCTGTGCTTTATTGCCTTCTTTGTTTCAGGGATCACCAATCCAATTTAATTTTGAAATCCATCTGAGCTCCTCTTTTTACCTAACAACCTACAGCCAGTCCATCAGGAAATAACATGAGCTCTACCTTCATAATATGTTCAGAATATGAACTCTTCTCAGAGCCAGAGCATAGCCATAAGATGGGCTCCCCCTGTCCCACTCTCTCCCCCATACAACCCACACTTGCTTGACCCTCTCCTGCATCTCTTCCCACTGTTCATTCCAATGTCTTCTTCTCAATGAGCCAGCCTGACTGACTGACCATCTCATGCCCCATCCCCACATTCCTGATCCCCTTATCCTACTCTACATCTTTTTGTTTCCATAGCACTTGTCATCTTATAGCATCTTATATAGCATTCTATATATGTTGCTTTTTGCCTGTCTCCCCACCCCCCACCTTAGAAGATTATTGACTTTTTGAGGTTGGGAATCTCTGTGTGGGTTGAATGAAGGATTGTGCAGGAAGTGATGATAGATTTTTTCTTTATTTAACACACATTTCTATGATGCTGATCATATGCCAGGCACTATTCCAAACACTTGCCAAACTTAACTTATTTAAACTTAATACCAAACCCATAAGGAAAGTTATATTATGATCTCCATTATACAGGTCAGGAAAACAAGGTATGGGGAGGTGATATGGCCTGCCAGGACACATGTCTGGCCAGGATCACAGCCAGGATGTAAACACAGGCAGTCTGTATCCTGAGTCCTTGCTCTTCACAGTGACACCATTGGCCACTCATGGTGCTATTCTGAGTAAATGAATGAATGGATGCTACTGTTCACTACCCTTTTCCTATTCAGGAAGAGTTAGCTTCTCTGCCTTAGTACTTACTATATTGTATTATAATTCCCCTCTACCTCTAGGCAGTGAGCCCTTTGAGAGTAAAGAATGAGTTCAGGAACTGGCCCAACAGAGGACACCCATGAACATTTGCTGTCCCGAGTGGAGCTGAAGGAAAAAGAGTCATGAATTGTTTGCAGTGTGAACTTTAAAGAATATAAAATGCAAAATGCTCCAAAAATTGGGATAGGCTATTTGGAAAGGCAAAACAGCAAAACAGAGTTTTGCTGTTACTCAAGGAGAGACATTTCCTTGCCTGTCTAACAAATTTTTTAGACAGATTGTATTATCCTAAACATGAGTTTGTTAAAACTTGAATATACCTAAATAATGAGATTGTCAATGATTAAAAAGACAGGCCTGGTGCAGTGGCTCATGTCTGTAAGCCCAGCACTTTGTGAGGCCAAGGTGGGTGGATCACTTGAGCTCAGGAGTTCCAGACTAGCCTGGCCAGCATGGTGAAGCCCTGTCTCTACTAAAAATACAAAAATTTGCTGGGCGCAGTGACACGAGCCTGTAGTCCTAGCTACTCAGGAGGCGGAGGCAAGAGAATTTCTTGAACCTGGAAGGCGGAGGTTACAGTGAGCCGAGATTGCACCACTGCACTCCAGCCTGCAGTGATACTCTATCAAAAAAAAAAAAAGATTAAAAAGACTGAAAAAAAAAGAGTACATTTCTCCAATAGTACCTGTCTTCTTTATTTTTTTTATTATTGTAAGTTACTGACTATACTAAGTGACTATTTGATATTATGAGGAAATATATTCATGAGATGGGCAGTGTTCATTCACTTTTTCACATTCTTAGCCACCCAGTAGGAGGCGCTGTGCTGAGCTCTGCAAAGGGTACAAAGAGGGCTGCTGCACACTCTATGCAAGTGGTGGCCTTCTCCTTGGGAAGGTGAAAATAACAGGCATTAAAAGGGATAGACGAACTCCAAGTAGTTATATCAACAATAACAATAATATTGGCAGTCACTCTACTAATAGCTAACACTTTAAAACTCTTTTGACTTATCAGGTATTGTGCTAAAATCTCTAGATTCACTTCTCTATTTAATTTTTATAGTAATCCAGTAAAAATCCTATTAATGTCCCCATTTTATAGATGAAAAGACTGAGATTGTATAGAACTTAAGTAATATACCTAGTGACATAGTGTCTGAGCTGGGAAATGGCCCTAGATCTAATGGACACAAGAGTTTATGCTCTAAGATTAAATGTATGAATGGAAAACCCAGGAGCAGGAAGAGGGAGGGTTGCTAGGTCATGCAGTATGTCTCAAACCGAGGCAAAAAAACAAAACAAAACAAAACAAAAAACAGTTTTTAAAGGAATTAATAGAAATAGTCTGAAACTATTATGATTAATTATTACTTTTTTCACTATGATGATAATGTTGAAATAGTGAACCAGAACTTTTTATCTTCTTACCTATGTAAAGAAAAGGTATTTGGAGTCTTAGAGATTATTCTTTTGGATTCTTTTTTGTCCATTTTCCTCTAGCTTTCTTCTCTTTCCCTTTTGCTGTCTAATATTGATGCATTGTACTTCCATATCAGATCAAAAGCATATGGGATTTTGAACTTATTGACACTGTTCTGTTAAAAATTACATTTAGAAGCATGTTAAAAGGTCACCTCTCTGGTTACTTATTTCTTGACACTTTGCTAGCACGGACTGTAGCCTTGGTTCATTAGTCAAGGATATTAACAGCCAGGGTTCGGCTTTCTGAGGTCACGTGGTACAGTCTGGGCCCACACATATTTCTAAGGCTTGTTAGAGTCTTTATTCTTTAAGAATTACCCATTAATCTCTGCCCAAGAAGTGCAATAATAGGTTAGTTAGTCATCAGATACAAATCAGAATCATTTCTACAAGTGCCTTTAATAGCATTCATTAGTTCTGTGCTTATGTTTTAAGGGAAATGAAGGTAGGGGAGGAAAATGCCCCCTCTCCAATACTGAACATTTTCCTTCTTTAAGAGCATCTCATTTTGGAATCATTGAAATTAAGACACAGAGAATGTGCCAAATCAAATGCAGAAAGTGTGCTTTTCCTGTGGAAATGAGGGCTCCTACAATACTGACTCCTTTTTTTTTTTTTTTTTTTTTTTTTCACAGAGAGGCATCATCTTTGATCATCATCAGATTTTACAACTCATTGTTCCCTTCCAGTCCACAGGGTGAGAGAATCATGTAAATGGTCAAACAAACACTTGGATTATAGAAGACACTTGATATTAATAATGACAATAAAAATGTTTACCTAACTTGGATAGATTTTGTGTATAGATAGGATGTGTGTGCGCATGCACGAATGTGTGTGTGTGTGTCTGTGTGTGTGTGTGTGTATACTCCCCCCTTACTGGGAAAGGACATATCAGAAGATCAGGAAATGCATTACACAATTTTTGTATGCAATATTAGTCCATTTCTTGGCGGAGACCCAAATCTATTGTGGCGAGAAAGTAATAGATGAACTAACTAGGGACTCAGACTTACTGGCTAGTGTCCAAGAAACATTAAAAAATTGAGTACTGAACATAACAAGTAGGATGGTGCATGCAAATTTAGATGTCTTATTGAAAACAGCACATTTATTAATATATTAGACTTGTAGACGTGAGGGTGTTTTAATACCTACTCAGAAATTACTCATGGGTCGGCTTCACAGAAATATCACTTGCATAAGTGTGAGCTTCAGAGAAATGGTGCCAGGCATGAGTGATCATGGCTGGACTAATCTAAAGAAAACTGGAATGCCTGTAGTTAATGATACTATATTTTACACGTAAAAATTTTTAAGAGGGTAGATATCATGTTAACTGTTCTTATCACAATGAAATAAAAATTTAAAAATAAAACTGATTAATGGGCAAAATATGTTATTGTCATTGTCAAACTGTCATCTTTCTTCCTAATTCCTTAGAAACTGCTTAACATAACTTTATTTGATGCCTACTATGTGTCAGGCTATTTTCTAAGACACTAGAAATATCCAGATAAAGTAAAAAGATTAAAAGCATGATTATATAGGAACTACATTTTTGTCAGATTTATTTAAGATAGCATTTATGTACAGTAAAATGTACCCTTTAAAATGTACAGCTTGAGGAGTTTTGACAAATATATACAGATATATGACCATCACTACAATCAATATACAAAACTTTTCCATCATCCCAGAAAGTTCCCAGCTGATCTCTGTAGTCAATGCCTTCCTCAGACCCCCAGCCTCTGGCAACCACTGATCTGATGTTTGTCCCTGAAGTTTTGCCTTTTCCAAAATGTCATATAAATGAAATCATACAAAATATAACCTTTTGTGTCTGTTTTCTTTCACTTAGCACAATGCTTTTGGATCCATCCTAGTTCACACCTTTTTATCACTGAGTGGTATTTCATTTGTTTATACATTATTCAGTTGATAGACTTTTAAATTATTTTCAATTTTGTCAACTATGGATAAAGCTGCTGCAAGTATTTGTATACAGGTCTTGTCCATTGTGTGGGCTTATATTTTCAGTAGGCAAATACCTGGGAGTGAGATTGCCAGGTAATATGGTAAATATATGTTGAACATTGTAAGAAACTGCCAGAGAGCTTTTGAAATGATTCTACCATTTTGCTTTCTCACCACAATGAATGAGATTTTTAGTAGATCTGCATCCTTGTTGACATCGCCAGTCATTTTAATTTAAGCAATTCTAATCAATATGTAATGGTGTCTCATCACAGTTTTTCCTTGCATATTGCTAATGACTAATAATGTTGAGTACATTTGTATGTGCTTATTTGTCAACGAGGTCTCTTCTTTGGTAAAGTGTGTGTTCTATCTTTTGTCCATTTTTAAAAATTGGGTTTTTGTCTATCTTACTGAACTCTTCTGTGAATTTAAATATTGTTTCCTAATGTGTTAAATGAAGATAATGCCTATCTCACTGTTTTGTGTGTGTGTGTGTGAAAATAAATGAAACATATGTACAATTGACCCTTGAACAACTTTGTGCGTGCACTTACATGCAGATTTTCTTCCTTCCCTGCCACTCCTCAGACAGCAAGACCAACTACTCCTTTTCCTCCTCCTCCTCAGCCTTCTTAATATGAAGATGATGAGAATGAAGAGCTTTATGGTGATCCACTTCCACTTTATGAACACTAAATATATTTTCTTTTATGATTTTCTTAATATTTTCTTTTCACTAGCTTACCTTATTGTAAGAGTACAGTATATAATATATATAACATATAAAATATGTTAGTCAACTATTTATGCTATCAGTAAGGCTTCAGGTCAACAGTAGGGTATTAGCAGTTAAGTTTTAGGGATTCAAAAATTGCATGTGGGTTTTCAACTGTATGTGGGGCCAGTGCCCCTAATTTCATGTTGTTCAAGGGTCAACTGTATACAAAAATCTGTAGCATAGTGTCTAATTGTAGGTGTTACATAAATAACTACTACTCCACTTCTATTATTGTAAAATATAATTCCATTTGTAAGATACATACTATCTAGTTAAAATCAATATCCTTTCCTTTCTTCCAGGTAGTGTCCCATCCCAAACCATTCAGCATATTACCTTATCCTCAACTAACCTTTAATAAAGTACTAAATAGTAACTAAGACATTGCATGGTAACAGATAATCCAATAATCCCTGCAGGGCGATCTTCATTATTTAAAGACAAATGTCATCTAAAATCTTGAGGAGTGGGGCTGTGTTGGTTGAATGACCATTTGGTGCAGTTGATTTGTAGTGAGATGACTTCAGCTGGCGAATCTTTTTAAAATTGATACATAATAATTGCACATATTTATAGGGCACATGTGATATTTTGATACATGCATATAAAGCATAATGATCAAATCATGGCATTTAGGTTATTCATCACCTCAAACATTTATTATTTTTTGTGTTGGTAATGTTTCAAATCTTTTCTTCTGCTATTTTGAAATATTCAATAAATTATTATGAACTGTAGGCACCCCACTGTTCTATCAAACATCAGAAGTTATTCTTTCTATTGGCCATTAGGGCTTTCCTTTCTTTTTGTTGTTGTTAAACTGCTCTATTTCATTAGTGATTAGAGAATGCACATTAAAACAATTACTCCCTACCCTTTTACAAGTTTTAGACAGGAATTAAAATCTGATAACAAAGGGTTCTTGAAAATGTAAGGAAGTAGAAATTTCTATGCCTTATTGATGGAGGTGCTAAATTGTTAAAAGAATTTTGGAGAAAATATTGTCAATGATGGAAAACTTTGAAGATGTCCATTTCCTACCATCCATTAATGTCATTTCCAGATACATACTTTGGAGAAATATTATAAAGAGACATGTTCAAGGGTGTCCCTGCAGCGTTATGGACATGAAAAAGCATTCACTTATTTTTTTTACCACTAACTAATATGTTAAAAAACAATTTCTATCTCTAATTAGACCTTTAGCCTTTCATTTTTCTGCAAGTTACTTTCCAGAAAAATCTACCTTGCCCTGTTATGAACTGGCCTTCTTATCTGTCACATTTTGAGAGAACCAGGATCACCTAGGAAGGTTTCTACTACCTAAATAAATTCAGTGTTGTGCACAAGAAAATCTGCACTCCACAGGCAAATTTGAAAAAGAGTCTGCAAGAAGTCTTTAAGGAGCAAATTGGGAAATTTAGATAATTTCTTGCTGAAGTGCTTAATATCTGGTAATATGAGTACTTGAAATATCTTTGAAATGCCAGTTGGGAAAGGAAAGAATGAGATTTTCTGGAGTATAACCTTGAGACACCAGGGCCCTCAAATAAAGAGTTTGCACCCTCTGGTTCCCTTTCAAAAAGAGAAATAATCACACAGTACAC